>NC_000002.12:241855580-242183529 GCF_000001405.40 Homo sapiens
CCCGGGGCTGTGGAACAGGCCTGTGAGGTGGCGGTGGGGGTGCTCCCGCAGAGAGACCGCATTACAGGACATTGCTTTCCAGAAGCGCACAGAAGAAGGCTGCCTGCCCCGGGCGGAGGAACCTGCTGGCCCAGACCAGACCCGGCATCTCTGACCGTGGTCCCATTAGGGACAAGGAAACCGTCCCACGGGCTGTGCTGGGATGAGGACAGCGAGCTTGTCCCTAGAGGACCTGGCAGGGGTGAGGAGTGAGGTCTTCCAACTCCTCACAGTCGTGTGTGTGTGTGGAGGTGGGAAGGGCTGTGGGCCGAACCGTGTCCCCACAGATTCCTATGTGGAAGTCCTAACCCCATGACCTCAGAAGGCGGCCTTATTAGGAATAGGGTGACGGCAGCTGGGACTAGGTAAGATGAGGGCACAGGGCTGGGTGGCCATTGACCAGCAGGCCTGGCTTCCTGTACAGAGTCACCCGTGCAGAGATGAAGGCAGAGCCTGGGGGATGCTTCTGAACCCAGGAACACAGAGGGTGGCCACAAAACCCCCCAGCCAGGAGAAGCTGAGCAGAGCCCTCTCGGAGCACAGGGAGCCGACCCTGTGGCCCCTCGGTCCTGCATGTCCAGCCCCCCACGGCGGGAGGACAGGCTCTGTTTTTAAGCCACAGCCGGGAGAGGCTGAGCAGAGCCCCTCAGAGCACAGGGGAGCCGACCCTGCGGAGCTCCATCCTGCACGTCCAGCCCTCAGTCGGCGAGAGGGCAGGCTCTGTTTAAAAGCCACTCGGTCGGCGGAGCTTTGTCATGGCAGCTCCAGCCGCCCAGTCCCCAAAGCAAATGTGTCAATATTCTTAGTTATTGATTCTAGGTGAGGGATATTCATTGTTTTTAAACGTTTTTGTATATTTTTCAAAATAGTCCGTTTAAAATCTGACTTCAAAAGTTTGACTTTAAAAATCAGACTTTAAAAATATGTGTCATGGAGGCCAGATGCAGTGGCTTATGCCTGTAATCCCAGTACTTGGGGAGGCTGAGGTGGGAGGACCATTTGAGCCCAGCCTGGGGAACATAGCGAGACCCTGTCTCTAAAAAAAATGGAAGAAATTAGCCTGGCAGGGTGGCACGTGCCTATAGTCCCAGCTACTCTGGAGGCAGAGGTGGGAGAATTGCTTGAGCCCCGGAGGTCGAGTGAGCCGAGATCACACCACTGCACTCCAGCCTGGGTGACAGAGCAAGACCCTGTCACTAAAAGAAACAAACAAAAAAGTGTCAGGGGCTGGGCTGGGTAGTTTTCACAGATGACCCGATTTAATCCTCAGGACGCAGCCTTGCCAGGAGGCGTCCTCACCCATGACCCAAAGCACACGGAGAAGTCAGTAAGGGGCCAAGTCCTGTCGAAGGCCCAGAGCTCAGCAGTGGCAGCGCTGACTGGAGCTCACAGTGGTCCCACGCCAAAGCAGAGGCTCTTATTTATGCTCCTGCCCTCGGACGGGGCCAATAAGCAGCCGGGTTGGGGATATCTCATAAAACACAAGGGAAGCACACACCTGAGGTGGGAGTGGTGGCCCCGGGAATGACCGAATGGCGAACGCAGTGAATAGATCAGGAGGGAAAAGAGGCATCCTGGAATGAAGACCACTGCGGCCGGGGTGGCCACATCTGGGTCAGGACCCACAGGACCCCAGTCATGCCCACTGCGCCTTGCTGAGTGCCCTGTGCTGTTACCAGTGGGGAAACCGAGGCATGCCACCTGTGAGAGTCTTGTCCGGCACAAGCGCGGGCACCTGAGGCACGAGTGTCAGGCTGCGGACACCTTGCTCTTATCTTTCCCGCCTGGGTCGGGGAGGGTGGCGTCCCGAGGGCGTGCCTGAAGAGCCGGGACACGGGGGGAGAGGCTCGGCTCCCCTCCTGCCTCGCTCAGCTCCCCCTCCCCTGTGACGAGCGCCCCTCTGCCCTCTGGTTCCCCCGCAGTCGTCTCCCTGGGATGCCTTTTGGCCCTTTGCTCTTTGCCTTTTGCCCAGAATCTCCAGTTCTGAGTCCTGAGTGACCCACGGGCCAACCTTAAGAGGTGGCGCTGAGGCAGGAAGGCACGGCCCTGACAAGGATGCTGCCTCAGGTGCCGGGGAGCAGGCCCCGGGAGAGGGGCCGAGGTGGGGAACCCCCAGTCGCCTGCCACAGTGAAGGGGCACCAGGACCCCCGGGGCAGGAGCCTCGAGGGGGTGTCAGGGCGGCCCCAGGGGTGCCCCTCATCTTGTCCTCCCAGTGGTGTCACACCCCGGTACCCAGCAGGGCCCAGAGGGACTGTCTTAGGCTTGGCCTGGGTGAAACCACCCTCCCCAGGCCTTGGCATCCCCAGGTGCAGGCTGGCTGGGCACAGAGGGCCAGCCGGGCACAGAGGGTCCAGGAGCGGGCTGTGGTCACAGTGTACACAGAGGGCCCAGGGTCACGGGCAGCCCAGGAAGAGGCTCCCTCTCTCCTCGATCCGGGAGAGTGAGGCCAAGGCCTCCCCCACGGATGGTCTGAACAGGGCTCGGGGAGAGCCCTGGAATCTGGGCAGAGACCCAGGCGGGCACAATCCCCACCCAGGAGGGATCCTGGAGACAGAAGAACTGTCCTCACTCGAACAGGTACACTTTGGATATAATGAGAAAAATATCACCAGCTCATCTAAACTTTGACGTCGTAAAGCCAAGGTTAGTCCCACATGGGGCTCATCCCATCCTTAGGAAAACTCGAGTGAGGACCAAGGATGCCTGGGCAAGGCAGAGCCGCCACGCAGACTCCCCACGGCCAAGGTTTGGGGTTCTGGCCAGCCTGACCCGTCATTCTACAGAAACACGCAGCCCCAAGGACCGGCTGAGAGGGGACAGAGGTCCTGCCTGCCCAGGAGCAAAGAGGGGACTTGGGCCAGGGGAGGAGTTGGGGCCCAGAGAGGAACCCAGGAGTTCGAGCTGCCCAAAGCCACACAGCTCAGGGTAAGGGGCAGAGCTGGGGGCCAAGGCTGGGCCTGCCACAGCACCCCCCGACCTGCCAGGGACTGAGAGTGAAAGGTCCCTCCAGACCCCTCGCTCCGGGACCCCTGGGCTGCCAGGGCCAGGCCCGCCTCAGCACCCCCCGACCTGCCAGGGACTGAGGGTGGAAGGTCCCTCCAGACCCCTGGCTCTGGGACACCTGACCGCCGACCCCACCTACCTAAGAACCATCCTGGCCGCCAGCCCAGTTGTAGCACCGCCCAGACGACTGGCCAGGGCGCCTGTGGGATCTGCATGCCTGGAGCAGCCCCACCAGAGTGCCGCCTTCTCCACTGCTCAGGCGGAGGTGAGCGGAAGGGAAACTGTCCCAGGTCAGGTTGAAGGGAGGGTGCCCGCCCCTTGCTCCCGCCCCCTCTTCCTCCACATCCACGTGGGCGAGAGTGACAGAGGCAGTGCTGGGGGAGGAGGGGTGAGGAGGGGGTAGGACTGGGGAGAGGGTGGGGGAGGGAGAGAGAGACAGAGACAGGGAGACAGAGGAGATGGGGAGGAGGTGGGCCCGTGGCCCCCACGCCCTACCCCGTGGGGGTCTCCCCAGCTCAGGGCCCCTTCCTCCTCTGTGTCTCTGCTCACTGCTGTGGCCTCTTTCCATATCCCGCCCGAGCTGCCCCTCCTGAGGCTGCCGGGTGGGGGCAGGCCCTTCTCCTCCCCCATCCCCCCCATCTCCCTGGGGGCCGGGCCTCCCTGCCTGGGGAAGGTGGGTGGCCCCCTCTGGGCTCAGGTTCCTGGGCTGCAGTGAGGGGTGGGCTCAACCCCACTCCCATTCTGTCGGAGCCTCTGGGAGCCTCCCGGCTGCCCACAGCCTCTGCCCCTGCTGGGGGCAGGTGCCTGGCCTCTGCCTTCCCGGCCCATCCCCCTTCGCTGGGGCACAGGTGACCCTACTGAATGACAACTGTCCATGGCTAATCGGCTCCCCCTCAAAGCTTCCACCTTGTGGATGGCCTCACACCATGGCCACAGTTCCAGATCTTTCCACCGTGTGATGCCTGCAACAGCCTGACGGGGGGGCTGGGGCGGTGGCAGGGGCTGGCTGTGAGGCTGACCTCCCCTTCCAGCCTTGACCTTCTTCCCCGGGGCCCTGCCCTCCAGCCCACTCGTGCCAGGGTGGGGTGGTTCAGGGGGTCCAGTGCCTGGGCCTGGCTGGCGGCCCGGCGTTTGTGAAATGGCTTGCTTATCTCCTTGTATTCTGTGCTGAGCATTTTATTACAGCGAATGGAAAACAGGAGAAATGAAACTGCTGATATTAGTGATGAGATGCGTCAGGCTCATCAGCTTAAAATAACCGAAGCGAGGCTAGAAACCGCCTGACAGCTGGCGCGGCTGCCTGGCTCCGAGAGACACTCGGCCCGGCTCTGAAGGGAAAACATTAAAGCACCGAAACAGTGGAAAAAGAGCATCAAAGATGATGTCTGCGAGGCGCGGCCACGGCGAGGAAGCTCTCGTTTATGAACAAAGGGCCACTCCCGGGTCTCAGAGATGTGAGGCTGTGTGGGTGGCTTGGTGGGGAGGTGGGGGGGGCCCAGCTGGCCAGGTGGGCTTGGCGGGGGGCCCCCAGGGAGCCTGGCAGCACCCACTGTGCTGCCAGACAGCTAAGGTGGCCCGCAGCAACTGTCTCCTGGCACACCCACCCTTGTGCCTCAGGGGCTGGGGCTCTGGGGCTGGAGAACTGTTGGTTGGTAGGTGCCTCCATAGCCCTGTGCCTCGCCCAGGCAGTGGATAAGTGGCTAAGCTGCCCCTGCTGGCTGTACTTGTCCTGAAGGCAGATTCTGGACAGAACCTCCCTCTGCCCCCAGCCCTGTAGAGCCTTGTTCCAACCTCTGTTGAATGCTGTCTCTGTTCCAGGGCAGCAGTGGGCCTTCCTCAAGGCTCTGAGCTTTGTGGGACGAAGCTGTCCTCTGAGGACTGGGAATGCCACTGTGTGGGCTGGAGGGGAGGCTGGGCCCAGGAGGTGGGCTCTGAGATGGGAGATGCTATCAGACCCCTGGAAGGTCTCCTCACCACCAAGGCCCTGCCCCCAAAATTCCACCTGCCAGGGCTTGGACACATGTCCTGGAGTAGGGGGCGGGCACAGGGAGAAACCCAGCTTCCATCCTACCCCTTCCTTCCTTCTCCTTCTCCCACCCCTCTCCTCTCTCCCTGCAGTTCTTCCCTGTCACCCACTCTCCTTCCCTCCTCCTCTCAGTCCCACTGAAGGCCCCTGGGCCATGGGAGAGGAGACCTGGTGGGGTGGGCCCAGCGTGGAGCCAGGGGACTGCGGCCACTGAGGCCAGGGCTGCCTGATGGTCTCTCCACATTGCTACTCGCTGGAGCACCTGCAAAGAGACACATGGACCCAGGGAGGGTCTGCAGGGCTGCGAGGGGTCTGAGCCTGGAGAGCACAGGGCCTGCAGGGATGCAGGCATTGGGCATTGGGCCTGGACTAGTAGGCTGAACCTACAGGGTCCTGGGACCCCACCCCGAAGCAGATAGGCGGTCCCAGGGCTCAGGTGTGGGGTGGGGACTCATGGAGCCTGCACCCCAATATCACACTCCAGACCACTTATTGACACCCTCCCCCAAACACATACGGTGTCCCCAACACACGATTTCCAACACACCACACCCCAACACACACAGTCCCCAACACACACACAGTCCCCAACACACACACAATCTCCAACACACACAATCCCCCCACACACAATCCTCAACACACACACAAAATTCCCAACACACACAATCCCCAAAACATACACAGTCCCCAACACACACACAAAATTCCCAACACATACAATCTCCAACACACACAATCCCCCTGCACACAATCCTCAACACACACACACAATTCCCAACACACACAATCCACAACACACACACAATCCCAACACACACACAACTTTCAACATACGTAGAATCCCCAACACACACAATCCTCAACACACACACAAAATTCCCAACACATACAATCCTCAGAACACACACAATCCTCAACACACACACAATTCCCAATACACACACAATCTCAAACACACACAATTCCCTCACACACAATTCTCAACACACACACAAAATTCCCAACATGCACAATCCCCAACGTACACGCAATCCACAACACATACACAAAATTCCCAACGCACACACAAAATTTCCAACACACAATCCTCTGTACACATTGTCCCCAACTCACACACAACTCCCAACATGCACAGAATCCCCAACACACACACAAATCCCCAACACACACAATCCTCAACACACACACAATTCCCAATACACACACAATCCCCAACACACCCAATCCCCAGCACACACACAGAATCTCCCCCACACACAATCCTCAACACACACACAATCCCCAACACACCCAATCCCCAGCACACACACACAATCTCCCCCACACACAATCCCCAACACACACACAACCCCCAACACATACACAATCCCCAACACAATCCCCAACACGCAATCTACAACACCCACACACCACAATCCCCAACACACATACAAAATCTGCAATATACACACAATCCCCAACACACGATTTCCAACACACACAACTCCCAAACATACATGCTCCCCAGCACACACACTTTCCTCCCACACACATCCTAAGCCCGTGCCTTCCACCCAGTAGGCTTCCACTGTCTTCTGTCACGAGGAGGAAAGGCAGGCGGAGTCCGGGGAGCAGGGTAGATGGGGCTAAGGGGCCCTTGGCTGGCCGGCCCTGCGCACCCCTCCCCCATCTCCTTTTCTCAGCCTTCCTTCCCAGGGAACCTGGACACCCAGGCCCTTCCCCCACCGCCTGCTCCTTCCTCACAGAGGGTCATACCCCATCCAAATCACTGGCCCTGGGATGGCAGCAGCCAGATTCAATCCAGGGCATTCAGTTAAAAGATAATTTACAACAAGCAAAGTTGTATGTGGTTTTTGTCTGTTTATTTTCTTTTAGAGACAGGGTCTTGCTCTGCACCCAGGCTGGAGTGCAGTGGTGTGATCTTGGCTCACTGCAGCCTCGACCTCCTGGGCTCAAGCGATCCTCCGACCTCAGCCTCCTGAGTAGCTGGGACCACAGGCGTGCACCCCGTGGCCAGCTCATATCTAACATTTTTTTTTTTTGTAGAATTTGGGGTGGGGGCAGAGGAGGTCTCTTTATGTTACCCAGGCTGGTCTCAAACTCCGGGCCTCCAGCAATTCTCCCACCTTGGACTCCCAAAGAGTTGGGATTACAGGCGTGAGCCACCACACCTGGCTGATGGTTGTATGTTTTGGTTGAGTATTGTATCATTTACAATTGAGATAATTGTAGATTTACTTGCAGTTGTAAGAAATTACACAGATGTTTCCTCATACACTCTGCTCAGTCTCTCTGAATGATAACAGTTTGGAAAACCACAGGACAACGTCACAACCAGGTTAATGACTTTGATGTGACACCTCGATCCCATCCTGAGTCCCCGTTTCTGGCTAATGTGTGCCTATCAAAGGCTGCACAATGTGGGCACAAGCGAAGGCTCCTGCATCCCCTGACAGCGAAGCTGCAGAACGTCCCCATCACCACGGGGTCCTCCGGGTGCCCTTGGCAATACACCCACCTCCCTGCTGGTGGCCACGAGCCTGCCCTCCACCCCCATCACTGTTTCATTCCAGCGACAGCCGTGGGAAGGTGCAGTACGCATCCTTCCGGGATTCCCTGGAGATGCCTCCAGCGCGTGTGTTTCAGCAGCCCGTTCCTCTCTGTGCCGAGCCATCCAGGCTGTGGTGTGGATGTACGTACCACACCACAATTTAGTCAGCCATTCTTCAGTTTAAGTGAGTCTGGGTGGACTCCAGTTCTTGGTGACTATGACTAAAGGCCCCGGAAGCCCTCTGTGGGCCAGAGCGCCCAGGAGGCCAGGGGATCTAGGACTGCTTTCCGAGACTGGGGCCTTGCTCTCAGGGGCCTGGAGAAGGTTCCCCTCGCTGGGGGCCCTCCCATGCTCCTGGACTGAGAAGAGAAACCCTACAGTTTCCAAGGAGCCTGCACGTCATGACGCATGGCGCCCGGCGCACGGCAGTGGTGAGATGGGCCCCGTGTGCTGGAACATGAGCCAGCAGCGATGGAAAGTGGCGAGGGGAGGGGAATCCCCGTGCTCGCTCGGGCCAGTGGGAAGTTTCCATCCGCGCAGGGACGGTCCGGGGAAGCACTGGAAACAGCAGGACCATCCCGAAACTGCTTCTGCAGTGGGAGGCGCCGGGCGCCCGGCTGGCCGGGTGGAAACCACGCTGCAGCCGCCGGGCCAAGGGCACCGCGGTGGGGAGGCAGCGCCTGATTCACAGCAATTTCTGAGGTTGGAACAGGAAATGGTTAATAGTGTTTGCAAATAAAAACTCTCTGTTCTATCCTGTTTTCGAAACATTTCCCAGAAGTTAAAAAATAACACCCAATTTATCTGCCCAATTTAAGAATAAACTTTTTAAAAATTGAATGAGATATTTCCACAATTTATTATACACACAAAAAAATCGTTGGGCTGTTTGTTAAGGGGGGGTGGCAGGTGATTTCTAGCCACCCCCCCCGCTGTTTTCTAAACTTTCTAGAATGTGGTTAGTAGTTTAGATGTCAATTTATGTTCTAAATCTCCCAGTGTGTACATGTATATGTGTGTGTGTAGGTGTGTGTGTTTATGTGTACTGTATGTGGTATGTGTATTGTGTGTGTTGGTGTGTATCTCTGTTCATGTATATTGTGTGTTGTATGTAGTATGTGTTATGTGTGTTGTGTGTAGTGTACGTGGTGTTTGGTGTGTGTAGTGTGTGTGGTGTGTGTGTAGTGTGTGTGGTTGTAGTGTGTGTTGTGTGTGTAGCATGTGTGCTGTGTGTACTGTGTGTGTTTGTGTGTGATATGTGTGTGCTGTGTGTGGTGTGTGGTGTGTGTGTAGTGTATGTGGTGTATGTTGTGTGTGAGCTGTGTGTGATGTGTGTAGAGTGTGGTGTGTGTGTAGTGTGTTGTGTGTGTGGTTTGTGTGATGTGTTGTGTGTAGTGTGTGTGGTATGTGTGCTGTGTTGTGTGTGAGCTGTGTGTGATGTGCATAATGTGTGGTGTGTGTGGTGTGTGGTGTAGTGTGTGGTGTGTGTGGTGTGTGTAGTGTGCATTTGTGTGGTGTGTGTGGTGTGTGTAGTGTGCATTTGTGTGTGGTGTGTGTGGTGTGTGTAGTGTGTGTGGTGTGTGGTGTAATGTGTTTGGTGTGTGTAGTGTGCATTGTGTGGTGTGTGTAGTGTGTACGTGGTGTGTGGTGGGTGTAGTGTGTGTGTGGTGTGTGTAGTATGTGTTGTGTGTGTTGTGTGGTGTAGTGTGTGGTGTGTGTGGTGTGTTGTGTGTGTGGTGGGTGTAGTGTGTGTGGTGTGTAGTGTAGTGTGTGTGGTGTGTGTGTGGCATGTGTGGTGTTTGGTGTGTGTGGTGTGTGTAGTGTTTTTATGTAGTGTGTGGTGTGTGTCGTGTGTGTGGTGTGTGTCGTGTGTGTAGTGTGTGTGTGGTGTTTGGTTGTGTAGTGTGTGTGGTGTGTGTACTGTGTGTGGCGTGTTTGGCGTGTGTGTTTGTGTGTGGTATGTGTAGTGTGTGTGGTGTGTGCGGTAATGTGTGGTGTTTCTGTGGTGTGTGTAGTGTGTGTTTGTGGTATGTGTAGTGTGTGGTGTGTGGTGTAGTGTGTGGTGTGTGTGGTGTTTGGTTGTGTGGTGTGTGTAGTGTGCGTTTGTGTGTGGTGTGTGTAGTGTGTGTGGTGTGTGTACTGTGTGTGGTGTGTGTAATGTGTTGTGTGTGTGTAGTGTGTGTGATGTGTGGGTGTGTGTGTAGTGTGTGTGGTGTATGTGGTATGGTGTGTGTGCTGTGTGTGGTGTGTGTAGAGTGTGTTGTGTGTGTAGTGTGTGTTGTGTATGGTTTGTGTGATGTGTGTGTAGGGTGGTGTGTGTTGTAAGTGTGGTGTGTGTAGTGTGTGTGTGTGGTGTGTGTAATGTGCGTTTATGTGTGGTGTGTGTAGTGTGTGGTGTGTGTAGTGTGTGATGTGTGTAGTGTATGTAGTGTGTGGTGTGTGTAGTGTGTGGTGTGTAGTGTGTGGTGTGTGTGGCATATGTGTCTTGTGGTGTTTGGTTGTGTGGTGTGTGTGGTGTCTGGTGTAGTGTGTGGTTTGTGTGGCATGTGTGGCATGTGTGGTGTTTGGTTGTGTGGTGTGTGTAGTGTGTGGTGTGTGTGGGTGCGTGTGGTGTGTGTAGTGTGTGTGGTGTATGTGGTATGGTGTGTGTGCTGTGTGTGGTGTGTGTAGAGTGTGTGTGTGTAGTGCGTGTTGTGTATGGTTTGTGTGATGTGTGTGTTTGGTGTGTGTGGTGTGGTGTGTGTAGTGTGTCTGGTGTGTGTAGTGTATGGTGTGTGTAGTGTGTGTGGTATGTGTAGTGTGTGTAGTGTGTGGTGTGTGTGGCTTGTAGTGTGTGGTGTGTGTGGCGTGTGTGGCATGTGTGGTGTTTGTGTGGTGTGTGTGGTGTGTGTAGTGTGTGTGTGGTATGTGTAGTGTGTGTGGTGTGTGTGGTGTGTGGTGTGTGGTGTCCTGTGTGTGTGTGGCGCCCCTGCCTTCTCACTCCAGGGCAGTGGGTGTCACTCAGGCCCCTTGCTGGTCCCCCTGCTGGTCCCCCTGCTGGGCTCCAAAGCCGAAGAACCCGGGCTGAGCTGCGCGGGATGCTGAGCTGCGCGGGATGCTGAGCTGCGGGGGGATGCTGAGCTGCGGGGGATGCTGAGCTGCGGGGGATGCTGAGCTGCGGGGGATGCTGAGCTGCGGGGGATGCTGAGCTGCGGGGGATGCTGAGCTGCGGGGGATGAGCAGCGTGAGTGAGCGGTCCCCCAGGGAGGGATGCTCCGAGGGCGAGTGCAGGAGGTCCCTTGCATTCCTCCTTCGGAATGGCCTCCCCAGCCCCAGCAGGACTGCGGGTTGGAGGGGAGAGCAAGGGGCCTCTTGGACAGTGGAAGCGCTTTCAGCAACAGAATGGCTGGACAGAGGCTGCGTCCCCCCACCAGCTGCCGGTCCTGGGATCCCTGCCCGCCTGGGCAGCGCTGGGGCAGAGCCACACGGAGCCTTGGGCCAGGAACAACCCCTTGCCGGTGGGGCCTGTGGGACTGCAGGGCCTGGGGTCTGGGAGGCGGCCTTGTCCCTGCCGCTGCAGCCACGAGCTGAGGTCTGTGTTGGGAGGGTGAGCCCCAGCTGAGGTCTGTGGGGGGAGGGTGAGCCCCAGCACCTGCGAACGGCCACCGTTCTCTGCTCGGCTCCTTTTCCTGCCCGTCTCTTTCTCCCTCTGAGCAAGGACCACCATCCCGTCAGCCGACCGGTCCTCTGGCCCCACCGGGCCTTGGCGTTTGCTCCTCCCTCGCCGGGAGCTGCTGCCTCTGCTCCTCCAGGCCCAGGCAGTGCATCCGTTCTGGCAGGAGACTGTGGTGGGACTCACCTGAGCTGCAAGTTCTGCTTCCCAAGGGAGGGCTGTCCCCGGCCTGCCAGCTGCCCTCCCCAGAAGCTGAGCTCAGGAAGACGGGTACCAGCGTGTGAGGAAGGGGCCCCAGAAGGAGCGCGTGTCTGCGGGGAGAGGGAGCGCTAAGCCACCACACCAGGTGGGCAGCAGTGCTGAAGGGGCACCCGGCTTCCCCTGATCGTTTCTTTTCCCTGTGGCCCAATCTCCCACCCCCATCTCACCCTGTCCTGGAGCCAGCCTTCGGGGAGGCTGGGCAGGGAGCGGGGTCAGAAGGCGTCTGCCCCAGGCCTGGGTCCTAGGGCCTGTCCTTGGAGGGACCACACATGCCTGGAGAGAGGCTCCAGTGGCCGGCTCCAGGTGGGCGCTGATGCAGAAGGCCCAAGGAGGACCCTGCCACATGTTGCAGGGACCCGTGGGTGCTGTGCACAACCTGCCTCATCCATCCCCGCCGAAGAAGAGGGGGTGCTCATGGCTGGCTGATTTGTGAGGGGGCCACGTAAGCAGCTCTTGCAGGGCGTGGCTTGTGGGTTTGGGAGACAGACAAATGGGCAGTCAGACAGAGGCGTGGACAGGATGCCCTCTCTGCTGTCTGCCGCCCAGGCCTCTGGAGGTGTTCTGGGATGGGTCTAAGGAAAACTCAACAATTCTTGAGCGAATAATGCCCGGGCAACCAGCTCCCTGCATTTCATAAGGGCCGGAATTGCCATCCAAAAGGTTATTTTGGGTGACTGTGGTCAGTCATCATTCCAAAGCTTTTCCCTAAACTCAGAGCCAGGTGTGGCCTCCAGGGCTGAGGAGCCTGAGAGGTGGGACTGGCAGGCAGGGCTGTGGCCCCAGCGTGGCACGGAAGCAGCCAGGAAACACTGGCTCTGGGGGGCTGTGGTGGGAGGAGGTCCTCTGCAGGGACCCCTGTGGACCGAGGCTTTTGGAGGCAAGTGGACAGTAGGTGTCTCTTAGACCCCTGCGGGGGCACACGACCAGGACCACAAGGGGCCCACACACGCACAGTGGCCCGGAGCCAACCAGCAAACCCCAGGACCTTAGATACAGCCCGGCGAGTGAGTTAGGATTGCTCCGGCTAGCTGTGTGATCATCCACAGTGCCAGAGAACAGTGCCTCGAGACCACAGTGGCAGCTGGCTTACTTCTCGTGTGAACAGGAAACCCAGAGGTGGGCGACCCTCCAGTGGTGTGACGACTCCATCTGTCACCACAGCCCCGGGCTCCCGCCTTCCTGCTCCTTGGGCTCACAGCTCTGTGCTTGAGGCAGGTCTAAGACAGGCTGGAGTGCGGCCATCATCCCAGCACTGATGGATAGAAGAAAATGAAGCTGGGATGAGAAACGCGGGGCTTTCCCTGGCAGTCTGGCCCTGTATGGAGGCCCCTTCCCAGAGTGCGTCCCACTGGCTTCCTCTTCTATCTTGCAGTCACACCTAGCTGCAAGGCGGGAAGATGTCACAGGTTTGAAAGGGCCGAAAAGAAGGTTCAGAAATGAAAACTATGACAAGGCGCTTGCCAGCATTAGCTGCAGAGTCGACAGAGACGAGGAGATAATGTGTGAAGTGGTAGAAAAATGAGAAGAGATTGTTCAGTGTGCAGGGCAGAGAGATGGCGAGATGGGAGCTGTGAGGAGAGCCGGGTGGCCGGGAGCCTCCCGGGGGCAGATCTGTGCTGAGGTTTTGCAGGGATCAGCTGGCTGTCTCCGCCCCTGCACGTCCCGGCTCCTTCTCAGCTCACCCTTTCTTGTTGTGCCATGACAGGTGGCTGCCACGCACAGCAATGCTGTTGAATCTCAGAAATTAAACAACCTGAAAAGGCGTGAGAAGCTGGGCACATGCATGAATTGTTTATGTAAAGCTCAGAAGCTGCACAGCTAAAGGGCTCGGTGAGGGAGGCATCATAGGTGTTGAAGCCTCAACGTTGTCTGTGCAGGCACGGCCAGGCTGGTGGCACCTCTGCCAGGAGGGCAGGGGGTGGGGGTGGGGCCGCGGGCTGAGATCGGGAGGGAACAGGCAGCCAGCTCTGGAGGCTGGCAGAGCGAGGTTTTGTTTCTTCCTATAGGACGTGGTGACTTAAGACTTTAGAATAATTTGTGAAGCTCTGCATTTATGTTTTAGGCATTTTATGTAAATATTTTATATTTCTCACTAGTAAAAAGTTTAAGAGAATACACCCACGGGACAATCTGCAATGATACACGTTCTATAAAGTTCTTCTCAGCTTTGTTTGTGTGAAAAGCATTAGTGCTGTTTGCAGAGAGAAGCTGAGTGAATAAGTTACATGATAGCCACAAGCTGGAAAAATACCAAGTGTTCAGCAAGGGATGAGTGTGGGCCACCGCTCCTGATGTGCACTAGAAAGAGAGGGCTGTGGATGATTCCTTGGTGCGATGTGTGAAAACACCCGGGCCTCTACACGCACGGGTCTGGGGAGGCCCCTGCGTGTCCACGGGCCCACGCCCACCACCACCACCACGGTGCTGCCACAGGGATGCTCTCTGGGGGGCGGGGTCATGGGAGATTGCATTGTATTGTATTTTTCCTTTCTGCTTCCCATTTCTCGGAGACAAATCTGGTTGCCATGGAGACCATGCTGTTGTCAAGGTGGCTGATTGGCCGGCGCGGGATGCGGGGACGTTTCCTTGGGCCCCCGGCGGGCGCAGCCCTCAGCCCACACTGCGGAGCCAGGCGGCAGCATGGACCGGGCTGGGGCAGACATGTGGGCCAGCACCTTCACCCTGGCCATGGCCGAGAGGAAGCCCCAGGACGTCTGGGTTCTGCTACCTGAGCACAGCCTGGTCCCGGGATGCCTGGACGGCGGTGGTGTCCAGTACCTGCTGGTGGGGCTCTCGAGGTGCGGCCAGAGGTTGGGGACCCTGGGAGAGGCAGGGGGCTGAAGGTGCTTTTCCACGGGACCTTGGGTGGTCCCAGAGGCTGGGTGGGGCTGTTGG
This sequence comes from Homo sapiens, assembly GCF_000001405.40. NCBI lineage: Eukaryota > Metazoa > Chordata > Mammalia > Primates > Hominidae > Homo > Homo sapiens. The sequence goes on from NC_000002.12 coordinate 241,870,012, forward strand.
GCCTCGTCTTGTCCCCGAGACGGGAGGGTGGGGCTGGGTGCTCCTTCTCCCGCCGGAGCCCCTGCCTCGCCATGCTGGGCACACGGCTGCTGACGCAGGGGTCCCGGGGAAGACATGGCGGGTGCCTCATGGAGAGTTTGGTTTCCCTCACTCGGCTCCTTGGGCCAGCGCTGCCCTTGGACACAGGCTCATCTCCTGCTTCCATGGCACTGCCGTGGTCTCGCAGCCATCAGTGCTGACAGGTGGGCCCTGGGGCGTGCCGGAGCCTGTGGTCACCATCCGGCCCTGTGTTGCACACAGCGGGGTGCTCGGCCCTGATCGGGGGCCCGGGGTGGCTGTGGGTCACAAGTGAGCCTCACAGGCCGTCATCACGGTTGTGGTGCCGTCAGCGCAGCAGGGCGGGCGCCATGCGCTTCTCCAACTGGCAAGGCATCCACAGCTCGGCCGGGTGCCAGCTGGGAGGGGCGCGGGGCAGCTCCACATCCTCGCAGATGCCCGGCCTGACAGGCCCCCAGGCTGCTGGCTGGTCCGTCCCTCTGTGGAGACACCCTGGGCAAAGGGGGAGTCGTCCTGCCCTTTGACACAGCTCCTCAGTGCCTGAGACCCCTGGGGCCAGGTGTGTGCAGAATCCCAGCTTTTTCAGAAGCTGGGAAAGTAATAACCCGTGTTGGGGTCTGAGAAGTGCTGGGAAGCACATCACTGTTCCCACAGCCAGGTGGAGATGGCTCTGAGCGGCTCCCAGCTGGCGGGAGAGAACTGAGGACGGCTGCCCCAACATGCAGCCCCAGCGCCCGTGGCTTTGGCTCCTCAGTCCCATTTAAATAAAGTCAGCAGTTCAGTTCCTCCAGCACGAACGTGTCCACGGGCTCTGTGGCCAGTGTGGTTGGAGGCTGCAGGCAGGGCAGTGTGGCTATAGAACATTCTGTCATCCAGAAACTTCCACTGCCTGGAACTGAATCATAGCCTCTCACTCATGCAGGGTTCCCTGAAGCTCACAGCTGCTTGTGTGGCTAGCAAATGGTCACCGGTCTGATGACCGCCATGGACAAGCCAATCCCTCCCAGTGCTCTCCCCAAACCTCTCCTCGCCTGGTGACGCCCAGCAGGGCTGCCCGGGCCATGACCGCAGGCCTCCGTGACATCCTTCCCCTCAGCTGGCAGGCGACCTCCTGGATCGCCTCCTCTCAGTCAGGACAGGGACCCCCACTTGCTGAGCCCCCAGGGACAGCCCCCACATGCATGCTTTTCCCCTCCTAAGTGTGTCGGCAGGCCTGCCTCTTCCTGTGTTAACCCCAACTCACAAAACACCAGCAGAGCCACGCAGGTGGCAGGCTGCCGACGCCTCACGGAGGCCAGGCTGGAGCGGGTTTTGTTGAAAAACTGCTGAGAGGAGGTTTGCTTTGCTTCTCAGTGCTCCACATGAGGGGGCTGCGGGCTAGTGCGCATGGGCCTGCTTTTGCCTGTGTGTGGCCGAGGGGCTGGTGGTTTCAGAGCCTCGGCACAGGCAGGAGCAGGTGCTAGGCTGCCTTGGCCGCGGCCCTGGGTGGCTGGGGGGTGAGGTTTGAGGTTTGAGTGTGGGATGTGAGGCAGGGGGCAGCGAGGCGCTGGGGTCGGATGGGCAAGGAGGCCGCAGAGCAGAGTGCGAGGGCTGGGCGTGGGGCCTCTTTCTCCTGCACTCACACACACTTCTTTCCCCGCCGCAGGCTCCAGTGCGGTCACTGTCCGGGGACCTGGGACTCGGCCCATGTGCACGTCCTCTTCCACCTGTGGTGGGACAGGGCCAGCCACCGGGGGCTGGTGAAGATGCGCATCTGGGGCCAGCGGTGCAGGCTGTGCCCCGCACCCGGGGACTGCCAGGTGAGGCCCCCGGGCGAGCAGCCCTTCCTCAGCAGGCTGGTCTTGCACATCCTGCAGGACTGCTACGGGGATGGCCCCGGCCCAGCCCGGCACCCCAGGGAGGCCTATGAGGGCTGCTGTGAGGCCTGTGAGCTGGGGGTCTGCTTCCTCCAGAAGGCCCCAGACCCCGCCTGGAGCGCCAACGCCACAAAAGGCAACTTCCCCGCCACGGCCTGGGGTGGCACTGGCACCGTCTCCAGGGGCAAACCGCTGTCCACCCCTGGCGACGACCTTGGCAAGGGTGGCGTTGTCATCGCCATCCCCTTCTCCCTTGTGGGTACCAGCAATGACCAGGTGCCCATCGCTGAGGGCCCTGCCCCCCCTGCGGGGGCCTCTCTCCCTGTGACTGGCAGCTGTGAGGCCCTGGTCATCGGCCAGGGCTCCATCTTCCTGTCTGGGGATTCAGTGGCCATGCCTGGGGGCAAAGGCTTCCCGGTGGCCATTGGAGACCCCCTCTTCCACGGCCCCGGCCTCCTCGGCAGCAGCATCCAGACCTTCGAGCTCAAGGGCTTCCTCTTCAAAGGCCGGGGCTCCCTCTGCAGCCCGGTTGGCGTGGCCCAGGGCTGGGGCCCCATCTCCCTCAACAATGGCCTCGTCCCTGTGGGGAAACACACGCCAACCGTGTTCTACTGTGTGGGCCTCTCGGCCAGCGGGGAGGGCTCCCTCACCTTCCCCTCCTCCCTCACCAGCATCTTCACCAACACCCTCTCGGAGCCCACCGATGGCCCTGTGGCCACTAAAGAGGCCTCCATCACCTTCCCCTTCATCTTTACTGATGTCAAGGATGCCGTTGCTGAGGTGGCTGAAGGCAACGGGAAGGAAGGAGGCGGCCAGGGCCTCGTCCCAGTGGGTCACGACGCCCTGCCAGAGACCAATGCTGGTGGCCTCCCCTCCCAGGTCAAGGGCTCCCTTGCCCTCCCCTTCCCTGCTGATGTCCAAGGCAAAGATGCCTTTACTGACATCACTGAAGGCAAAGAGAAGGAAGGTGGCCTGGTCACCGCGGGTCACGACGCCCCTCTGGAGGCCAATGCCGAGGGCCCCATCACGGTTAGTGAGGGCTGCATCACCATCCCCTTCGCAGTCTTCGATGTCATAAAGCGCAAGGGCGGTGGCCACGTTGCCTACGGCCCCCAGGGCAATGGCTGCTTCTCCCAAGGCTATTACCAGAAGAGGCAGCTGAGGTCCAGGTTCCACAAGGCCCGCTGTGGGTGCCGCCGGGAGGAAGACGAGCGCCCTGGCCGTGCCTGCCGTAGGCCGCACGCCGAGCCCTACGAGGACTTCTGGATCTGGGTGTCCATGACCGTGTGCGTCTTCTGGCTGATGTGCATGTGTCGGCTGAACCCCGGGATCTACCCGCAGCAAGTGTGACGCCCCGAAGTTCAGGCAACCCTCGCCTCTGGGACCCCGCCTCGCCTCTGAGACACCCCCCAACCCCGCCTTTGAGATGCCCGCCCCGCCTCCGAGACCCCGCCTCCACCTCCGAGACCCCTTTCTCTGAGACCCCCGCCTCTGAGGCCCCGCCCCCCGCCTCCGAGACCCCGCCCTGCCTCTGAGACCCCGCCTCACCTCTGAGACACCCCCCAACCCCACCTTTGAGATGCCCGCCCCGCCTCCGTGGCCCCGCCTCCACCTCCGAGACCCCGCCTCCACCTCCGAGACCCCTTTCTCTGAGACCCCTGCCTCTGAAGCCCCGCCCCCCGCCTCCGAGACCCCGCTTCACCTCCGAGGCCCCGCCCCCCGCCTCCGAGACCCCGCCCCCCGCCTCCGAGACCCCGCCTCACCTCTGAGACCCCGCCCCCGCCAGCAGCTCAGCCCCTCCTGTCTCTTGCCCCTGGTTTTGTGGGTCTGCCCTGAGCTGTGCCTGTGTGCTCCAGCCTCTTCCTATGTGTGTAACTTCAATAAAACCAAGCAAAGCCAGCCACGCAGCCCTCCACCTAGGGGAGGTTTCCAGGTGAGAGAAACCTGGGCCGGTCCTTCTGTCCCTCCACCCTGCAGGGGCCCCTCACGCCCACCGCTTCTTCCCCTGGGGAGAGCTCCCTCTTGGGGATTCCGAATTCCTGGCCATGTGTGGCTCCTGGGATAGGAGAGGAAGCTTTGGCTCCGGCTCCGTGTCAGGTGCAAATTAACCTCCCTCCTGTGTGGACCCAGGGGTCTTGTGGAAGAGGCCACTTACCTCTCTCCAGGAAAGACTCAAGCCCCCACTGAGACTGGCTTGTCACGCCCTCCCTCTTCCCTCCAGCCTCAGTGTAGCCTCTGGAGGGATCTTGGCACCTCTCATCCAGAGGGTGGGAGGCCACGGTGGGGCTCTGAGCTTGTCTGGGTTTGAGAAATTCTATCCATTGCAGATGACAGAAAACTCTCCTGTTACTCAAAGCCACACACTGGATTTTCATTTTAAAAGAGTCCAGTTTCCATTTCCTAGGGGCGGGGGTGTTGGGATTCCCGGCTGTCCCAGCCAGGTGGGGGCCTGACAGTGGCAGTGTCTGGGTCCGACTGTCCGGCCTCTCAGGCAGGGTCAGCCCTGAGGGTCCTGGAAGGTTGGGAACTGCCTGGGGAGACCCTGGGGTCTGTGACTGGGGAAGCCCTGCCCTGTAGAAAGGGGAAACCGCGTCCAGGGCCCCTGGTGGGGAGGGGGGCCAGCCCAGAGATTCTGCCTGCCAGGCTGGCCTGGACCCCTGGGGTGTGCGGGGGAGAAGTGGCAGGGGGGGCGTTCTCCCACACAGCTGTGGTGGGCTCGGATGCAGGTGGTGCGGGGGCTTCAAGGGGAAGCAGCAGAACCTCTTGTCCCAACCCGGCACCCTCTGCTTACCGGGCACCGATGGAGACCCCAGCGGCCCCAGGAGGCTCCACCCTGCACAGAGGCTGGAGACAGCAGCCAGCCTGCGGGTGACACGGATGAGGGTCCAGGAGAAACCCCAATCCAGGTCTCAGGGCCCAATTGCAGGGACAGGGGTCCCAGGAGAAACCCCAATCCAGGGCCTCGGGGGCCAACTGCAGGGACAGGGGTCCCAGGAGAAACCCCAATCCAGGTCTCAGGGGCCGAAATGCAGGGACGGGGGTCCCAGGAGAAACCCCAATCCAGGTCTCAGGGCCCAACTGCAGGGACGAGGGTCCCAGGGGAAACCCCAATCCAGGGCCTCGGGGGCCAACTGCAGGGACAAAGGTCCAGGAAAAACCAGAATCCAGGCCTCGGGGGCCCAACTGCAGGGATGAGGGTCCAGGAGAAACCAGAATCCAGGCCTCGGGGGCCCAACTGCAGGGATGAGGGTCCAGGAGAAACCAGAATCCAGGCCTCGGGGGCCCAACTGCAGGGATGAGGGTCCAGGAGAAACCAGAATCCAGGCCTCGGGGGCCCAACTGCAGGGACGAGGGTCCCAGGGGTGCAGGTACCAGCCCCACAGGGTCGGTGGGCTTCTCCCTGTGTGTGGCGACGAGAAAGTGTAGAAATAAAGACACAAGACAAAGAGATAAAAGAAAAGAGAGCTGGGCCCTGCGGACCACTACCACCAATGCGCGGAGACCGGTCGTGGCCCCGAATGAATGTCTGGCTGCGCTGTTATTTATTGGATACAAGGCAAAAGGGGCAGGGTAAAGAGTGTGAGTCATCTCCAATGATAGGTAAGGTCATGTGGGTCACGTGTCCACTGGACAGGGGGCCCTTCCCTGCCTGGCAGCCGAGGCAGAGAGAGGAGACAAAGAGAAAGACAGCTCACGCCATTATTTCTGCATATCAGAGACTTTTAGTACTTTCCCCAATTTGACTACTGCTATCTAGAAGGCAGAGTCAGGTGTACAGGATGGAACATGAAGGCGGACTAGGAGCGTGACCACTGAAGCACAGCATCACAGGGAGACGGTCAGGCCTCCGGATAACTGTGGGCGAGCCTGACTGATGTCAGGTCCTCCACTAGAGGTGGAGGAGCAGAGTCTTCTCTAAACTCCCCCGGGGAAAGGGAGACTCCCTTTTCTGGTCTGCTAAGTAGCGGGTGTTGTTCCTTGACACTTTTCGCTACCGCTAGACCACGGTCCGCTTGGCAACTGGTGTCTTCCCAGACGCTGGCGTTACCGCTAGACCAAGGAGCCCTCTGGTGGCCCTGTCCGGGCATAACAGAAGGCTCGCACTCTTCTGGTCACTCCTCACTATGTCCCCTCAGCTCCTATCTCTGTATGGCCTGGTTTTTCCTAGGTTATGATTGTAGAGCGAGGATTATTATAATATTGGAATAAAGAGTAATTACTAGCAACTAATGATTAATGATATTCATATATAATCATATCTAAGATCTATATCTGGTATAACTATTCTTGTTTTATATTTTATTATACTGGAACAGCTCGTGTCCTCGGTGTCTTGCCTCGGTGCCTGGGTGGCTTGCTGCCCACACAGGGGAAACCTGAATCCAGGTCTCAGGGGCCAACTGCAGGGACGAGGGTCCCAGGAGAAACCCCAATCCAGGGCCTCAGGGGCCCAACTGCAGGGACGAGGATCCCAGGGGAAACCCCAATCCAGGTCTCAGGGGCCCAATGGCAGGGACGAGAATCCCAGGAGAAACCTCAGTCCAGGTCTCAGGGGCCCAACTGCAGGGACGAGGGTCCCAGGGGAAACCCCAATCCAGGTCTCGGGCCCAACGGCAGGGACGAGGATCCCAGGAGAAACCTCAATCCAGGTCTCAGGGGCCCAACTGCAGGGACGAGGGTCCCAGGAGAAACTGGAATCCAGGGTCCCAGGGGCCGAAATGCAGGGACGGGGGTCCCAGGAGAAACCCCAATCCAGGGCCTCAGGGGCCAACTGCAGGGACGAGGGTCCCAGGAGAAACTGGAGTCCAGGGCCCCGGGGGCGCAACTGCAGGGTGGCAGGAGCCCCACACGCCGACTCAGAGGGCCCAAGCCTGCCTCGTCCTGGGATGGGTTTGGGGAATCTGCTTTCCTCTAGTGGGGCAGGGGCTCTGGGGGCCTCCTGGGTGGGCAGCCTGGCCGCCTCGGGCTGACAGCAGGTGCCCCTCCCCACCCCTTCTGCCCAGCACTATGGGGCGGTGGTCTCAGGCGCTGTGGGTGGGGGAATCACAGGAACACCTGAGGCCCCAGGCAGGGGGCACAAGGCCCTGACCTTGCCCTTCTCCCATCGCCTGCCAGGCCACCTCTGGCTGGGAGCTTGCTGGGGCCCAGAGGGTGGGTGAGTTCTGGGGCCCAGGGCAGGGAGGTCGCAGGGAGGCTCTGTGTTCTGGATCCACGCCCCTGCCCTCAGTGCCACCCACCCCAGGAGCCTGTGCACAGGTGTCCCTATATGAGCACAAGAGGGGCCACCCTGCAGTGACCTCGCTTGGTCGCATGGCTACTAAAATGTGGCCACCGAAGAGGAAGAAGGGAAGGCTGGCACCGTCGCTACAACCCACCCAGCTCAGACTTCAGGATGGCTCCCAGCCCACCCCTGCCATCGGGCAGCTCCCAGCATCTGACCCTGTCAGGACACAGGACACGACTGTCACCTGGGACCCCCTTCCCTGCAGGCCGTGGGGGCAGCCTCAGGAACGGTGGGAGACCCCCACCTCTCCCAAGGGGCTTCCTTTTGTCTGCCTCAGGGCTGCCCAGACACTCCTGCCCTCGGGGTCCTTCCGCACCCTGCCAGGGGGCCCTGAAGTTTGCAGGTTCCCGCCCACCCTGGAAGAACACCCTCAGGGCTTCCAAAGGCACCCGGGATCCCCCAGCTCCCCGGCCACCGCTCAGCTCCCTGGCCACCGCTCAGCTCCCTGGCCTGCTTGACCTCAACTGCCCCCTACCCCCCTCCCCGACCTCCCCAGGGCCCCTACCCCGCCCTTCGCCCCCCACCCCCCATGCTCCTCACTCCCCACCCCCTTCCCACCCCCTTCCTGGTCCTTCTTTCCTACCCCTCCCCCGACCCTCCTTTCTCGGTCCTCCCAGCCCCCTCCCCGTCCCTCTCCCCTCCTCGTGTACCTGTCCAGCGCCCCTCTTTCTCTCTTCCCCTCCCCTCCCCTTCCTCTTTCCCCCTTCCCCCTTCCGGCCCCCCCAACCTGTCCCTCTCTCTGCTCCCCTCCCTCTCCTGGCCGCCCCCCAACCCCATCCCTCTCCTCGCTCCCCTCCCTCTCCCGGCCCCCCCACCCCCATCCCTCTCCTCCCTCCCCTCCCTCTCCTGGCCGCCCCCCCCACCCCTTCCCTCTCTCCTCGCTCCCCTCCCTCTCCCGGCCCCCCCACCCCATCCCTCTCCTCGCTCCCCTCCCTCTCCCGGCCCACTCCGCGCTGTCCTGCGGCGCCCCCGTGTGGCCGCTGTGGGGGAAGAGCAGACCTTGTTGTCGAGGGAGGCCTGGGAGGGCGTGGATCTCTGGGGCCGCTCCCTTGCCCTCATTGCTGTTGAACTGCTTCTCGGCTTAATCAGATGAGTTGTTAAAACTACCCATCATCAGCATTGTTACCATTGGTTTCATTAGTAATTGTATTTATTTAATTAATTGTTACATTCACTAGTAAAAATGGGAGCTAAGGCAATGCGTGCACTCACCGCTGTGAAGGCAAATGCGGTACTGTGAGTGCTGAATGCACCGCCATGGTCGCGGGAAAGCCCAGGCACAGACACTAGCTCAAAAGCCAAGGGTAGGCCTGGGGTTCACATGCCAAGCAGCAAGCTGAACTCTCACCCTGAGCCCACACCTGAGCCCTCATCTGAGGCTGCACCTGAGCCCACACCTGAGCTCTCATCTGAGGCTGCACCTGAGCCCACACCTGAGCCCTCATCTGAGGTTGCACCTGAGCCCTCCCCTGAGCTCTCGTCTGAGGCTGCACCTGAGCCCACACCTGAGCTCTCGTCTGAGGCTGCACCTGATCCCACACCTGAGCTCTCGTCTGAGGCTGCACCTGAGCCCACACCTGAGCTCTCATCTGAGGTTGCACCTGGGCCCACACTGGAACTTTAACCTGAGCTTACACCTGAGGCTGCACCTAAGCCCTCACCCGAGACTACACCTGAGGCTGCACCTGGGCCCACACCTGAATCCACACTGGAACTTTAACCTGAGCCTACATCTGAGCTCTTGCCTGAGTCTCCTATATGGTTGGAGTGGCCAGGTTGGGCCTAATTAAATATGAGGTAGCAGTAACGACTTTAGGCAACTGAGTTATTAGTAGAGATATTTAATATCAAAGTCAAAGAAGATGAAGGGCAGACACATTTTTAATGTAATTGCTATTAGTTCAGCCAAAGTTGAGGGGACTCAAAGTGTGAATACTTTTCTGACTTAAGGTACATTTCCTAGTGATGGGGGTCAGCTCATCCAGGGTCACATGTGGTTCCTGCTGAAACCAAGTCTGGGGTTCCCTGGGAGGGTCTGGCGAGAACTCTGACAGCAGCTCCCATCACCCTGTGGTGGATAAAGCGAATGCCTCTCTAAGTGTCTGGGGGTGGGGTAGGGTCTGTGCTGATTTATGTAGCTACCTGTTGCAGGGTTGGGTTAGGATCAGGTTGGTTACCCTGGACCCTGGGTATTCAGGTGGACAGGCGGGCCTTGGCCTTGGACAATGGCTAGCTAGGGTGGGCTAGAGCTGCTTCACCCGCAGCTTTGGCGAGGGGAGCGGGAGGCCAGGGAAGTCCCCAGGAGGAGTGGCCACGCTGTGATCCGGGCCCCGGGCTGGCTGGTAGGTGGAGGGTCACACCACCTGGGCCTCAGTGAGGTCCTAGCTGGAGCAGAGGTTCGGGGATCTCCTTCCCTTTCCTTCTGGGGCCTGGGACTTTGTACCTCTGTACAGGAGAGGCAGCAGAGGGCTGGGGTCCTGGCGATGCCTCCACTCTGCCTCCCAGCCTTTGGGGAATGTCTCCACCTGTTATGGCAAGTGTCCCTGTTTGCCTGGGACTTTGGGGGCTAAATTGGAGGCCTTTCTCTTTTTCCCCAAGTTCTCCAGCACACTTAGAAGCATCCGCCCACCCAGCTACACCCCTAAATTTTTCCCTTGATGCCCAGGGCCAGGCATCCTATGGCCATTTGATTACAGATGTCTGCAGGTGGCAATCTGAGTGCCTGTATGCTACTCCTGTGGGCAGCTAGCACCCTGGTACCCCTGGGAACAGAGCGTGAATGCCTTTAAAGCTAGTTGGAGCAGAGAACCAATTCCAGACACCCAGAGACATTTAGATAACTCATTACTAGGGTCCTGGCCCTGGGATCACTCCCAGGACTAGTTCTGTGTCTGTCCAGGTGTGATCCAGGAGTGCAGTGACGGATGTGGATGTGGGATTGGCACAGGACTTCCGCCAGCAGAAGAAAGGAAGGGAGGGGAGGGGAAGAGAGGGCAGGGGAGCAGAGCGGAGGAGAGAGGGGAGCAGTCTTTCCAGCTGGGGCTGGCCTAGGCTGCTGGGTCATTTGGGAAGAAAAGGTGATTTGGACTCAGGGAGACTGAGGGTGCCCTCGGGCCAGCATCTGAGGAGAGTGACAGGGGTTTCCTGGCTCCACAGCCCCAGGTGGCCTTGGTGGGTGCAGGCAGAAAATGACCTTTTCAAGTCCAGTTCCAACCCAGAGGGGGTTCCTAGACCCAGCGCCAATCAAGGGGCACCAGGGAGGCAGCAGAGGTTCCCGCAAATCCAGAGCAGAGTGGCTGCCAGACACCCCACATCCTCTTCGCAGCAGACTGAAGGCCACCCCACACTTGGAGGAGCCCGGGTGAAGCATCTGGGGAAGACCCTCAGCCCTGGGAGAGTCCCTCCAGGGGTGAGCAGGTGGGCTGCCCCTCAGGGTGCGGCTCATTTCGATGTAAGTTTTATAAAATAAGAAAAGGCGCCCTATAGCACCCCTTTGGGAGCCTCGTGTCACCTCCAAACATATACCTCGCTTCCAGGTCAGAAGTAGTGAAATGACCATTGCCAATGCAAATGGAACTGCCTTAGGACACATGGGGGAGGTTAGGGCCTGCTGTGGGGCCTTATGGTGGGCCCCGAGGGGCCCCGCACACCTGTGCTCACCTCCCAGGTCATCGCTGGGCCGCCTCTGTCCCCTGGGAGGCTCTGCCTCGGGGAGCCCTCTTCCCAAGCTCCCAGCAATGACTTCCAGGCCTCCCTCAGCATCAAGAGGAGCCACGTCTTCTTCTTGTGACCCAGCAGTATAATTCACCCTAAATAATGGCAGAATGGGTTGTGTGTAGTCTTTAAAAGTCAAAACAATTTTGCACACAACAGGAGTCATTCAGCAGTGGCTAACACTCTCCTGACCTGTGTCGGCGCTGGGCTCCAAGGTGTACCTCCGCACGCATGGGGTTAACTACGCCCCCATGACCATTCCCTGCAGGAGGGGCGGGACAGAGGACTGCGTTATGTTTCTCCTAAAAGAAAATCATGAAAGTCACACACTCCAGGTGCCACACTTATTATGGAGGGAGGGAAAGCAGATGAGCGGGCGGGAAAACTAGCGGGCTTGCCACGCCCAGGCAGCGCTGCTCGGGTTTCCGCTTCCTCCGCCCCTTCCTTTTTCTCTGTGCATCCTCAGTGACGCGGGGCACAGCTCTGCCCGGGGGCCTACCAGAGCCCACCTGGACCCCACACTGGGTCAGCCCTGGTGCGGAGGAGGCCGCTGTAGGTGGGCACGGGGCAGCACGCGTTAAGGGGCTGGACGGGGGGTGGCCATGCGTGTGAGGGCGCTGAGCAGGGGCGTGCCCATACGTGTGAGGGGGCTGGGTAGGGGCGTGGCCCAGCGTGTGTGTGTGTGTGTGTGTGTGTGTGTGTGTGTGTGTGTGTGTGTGGCTGGACAGGGGTGTGGCCACGCGCGAGGGGGCCGTGCAGGGGGCGTGGCCACGAGCGAGGAGACTAAGGGGCGTGGTCACGCGTGTGAGGGGCTGGGCTAGAGGAGTGGCCCTGTGTGCGGGGGCTGGACGGGGGCGTGGTCATGTGCGAGGAGGCTGAACAGGGGGCGTGACCACGTGTGGAAGGGGGCTGATCGGAGGTGTGGCCACATGTAAGGGGGCTGGGCAGGGGGTGTGGCCACGTGTGAGGGGGGGCTGGGCCGGGGCGTGGCCACACGTGTGCTGGCTCTGCTGTGGGCTTCCTTCCCTTCCTGTGCAGGTGGTGGTGCCCTCTGCGCCTTCACTGGGGCCCAGCCAAGTAACTGAATCCAGCCAGGAGCAAGGGCAGACGCTGGCACAGGTCCTGCCACTGTCCCCAACCTGGGTTTCAACACAGCTGAGGCCTGGCATAGTCTTTCTGGGCGCCTCTGGCTGGCTCGGTCTGAAAGGTGGGACAGATGCAACTGGGGCCTCCCCGGGTGCAGCGTGGGTGGCTCCTGGCTGGGGAAGTGAGAAGCCCTCCGTGCGGTGTCTCTGAAGCAGCCCCAGGCCAAGGCTGTGGCGTGCTTGGTGGTGCTGTAGGCCCAAGATGTTTATGGGTCGAGGGTCCCCGGGGCCGGGATTCTGATCCCTGGTGAGAGGTGGCTGGGAGGAAGTCCAGACGTGTCCTGAGTGGCCATTCCTCACACTGAGGTGACACCGCCTCTCCAAACACGTGACGTGGCTGGAAGCAGATGCTGCTGTCCGGTTCTCCCTCCTCTCCGTCCCTGGCTGGGACATGTGGATCTCACCCGCAGCCACTTTCTTCTGGCCTCTGTCCCCCTGCCTGGGACACGTGGACCTCACCCCCAGTCTCCTTCTCTCCTCTGCCCCCCGCAGGCGCGGCCAGGTCACAGTCGGCACCAGAAGTTTGGCAGATCTCAGTGAGGCGTTAGTTTGCATTTCCTTGTGACGGGTGAGTTGAACACCCTTTCATGAGTGTATTGATCACTGTGTACCTTCTTTGTTGAAATGTCGTCAGTATTTAAAGTCACAAATCTTCCTCTAAGACTATGCTACAATTTTTGTGTAATATTTTGATGGATATTTGAAATAAGTGCTAATTTTCTTTGGATTTCTTCTTTGACCCATGCTTTATTTAGAAGAATCTCTTTATGTGTGTATTTATTTTTTAAACCCTCTATTCTGAGAAGCATATTTAGAAGAGTATTGCCCACTTTCCAAATATGTGGAGAGTCTAAAAGGAATCTTGCTATTACTGATTTAATTCCATTTTGATCAAGGAACAAACTGCAGGATCTCACTTTTTAAAATTACAGAGACTTATTCTTACTGTTTAACATAAGCCCTATCTTTGTAAATGCTCCGTATACACTCAAAAATTACTTGTGTTCTGCAGCTGTGGGGTGGGATGCTCGCCAAGAGTTAATGAGGTGCAGCTGGTTGACAGTGCTCTTTAAACCGGCGAATCCTTCCTGTCCCACCCGCTGTGCTTGCAGTCCCGAGAGAGCTGTTACATCTCCAACTAGGACAGTGAATTTCTCTATTCTTTCAGTTCCGTCCGTTTTTACTTCGTGTTTTTTGAAACTGTTATTATCTTTTTAGGCATTTAGGATTTTTCTGTGATCCTGACAGTGGCTGACCATGGTGTCATCATGGAATGTCCCTCTTTATCTTCAGGGGTGCTACCTGGTCTAATGTGAGTGTTCCAGGGCTATTTTCTTATGCACAGAATTGGCACTGTGTATCTTTTCCTTTTTCTATTCTTTTTTCTTTTTTTTTTCTTTTTCAGACAGAGTCTTGCTCCATTGCCCAAGCTGGAGTGCAGTGGCGCGATCTTGGCTCGCTGCAAGCTCCACCTCTCGGGTTCACGCCATTCTCCTGCCTTAGCCTCCCGAGTAGCTGGGACCACAGGCACCCGCCACCACGCCTGGCTAATTTTTTTGTATTTTTTTTAGTAGAGACGGGGTTTCACCGTGTTAGCCAGGATGGTCTTTATATCCTGACGTTGTGATCCTGCCCACCTTGGCCTCCCAAAGTGCTGGGATTACAGGCATGAGCCACCGTGCCTGGCCACTTTTTTCCTTTTTTTTTTTTTTTTTGAGACAGGGTCTCACTCTGTTGCCCGGGCTGGAGTGCAGTGGTGCCATCTTGGCTCACCACAGCCTCGACCTCCTGGGCTCAAGTGATCCTTCCACCTCAGCCTCCAGAGTAGCTGAGACCACAGGTGTGCACCACCACACCAGGCTAATTTTTTTTTTGTATTTTTCAAACTCCTTTTTTTTTTTTTTGAGATGGAGTTTCACTCTTGTTGCCCAGGCTGGAGTGCAGTGGCGCGATCTTGGCTCGCTGCAACCTCTGCCTCCTGGGTTCAGGCAATTCTCCTGCCTCAGCCTCTCCAGTAGCTGGGATTACAGGCACAAACCACCATGCCTGGCTAATTTTTTTCGTATTTTTAGTAGAGACAGGGTTTCACCGTGTTGGCCAGGCTGGTCTGGAACTCTTGACCTCAGGTGATCTGCCTGCCTCAGCCTCCCAAAGTGCTTGGATTACAGGTCAAACTCTAAGACTCAAGTGATCCTCACTCTTGTGCCTACCACAATGCTGGGACCACTCCTGGACCACTGTGGATCTTTTTCTATCCTTTAGACACCCAACCTGTCTTTGTATCTTACGTGGGTGTCTGTAGATGGAGTTGGGTCTTGGTGACAATCCCTGCTTTGCACATGGAGTTTCTCCATTTGCAATTCCAGTAATGATTGATGAGGTTGCTGTAGATCCCCCATCTTGCTACTTGTTTTCTAAGTGTCTTATCTTGTCATTTGTTTTTTATTTGTCATTTTTTTGTTCCTTTGTTCCTCCATTCCTGCCTTTTTTGGGTTAATTGAAATTTTTTAGTACTTCGTTTTACACCTCTGTTGGTCTTTTAGCTGTGCCTCTTGGTATTACCATTTTTAGTAGTTACCCTAAAGACAACAAAATGAATCCTTAATTTATCAGCCTATTCACCTCACACAAAATGTGGGAAACTTGTAACGGTGTAATTCCTCTAACCCTGTTCTTCCTGTTACAGTTGCCATATGTTTAACCTCTACCTACATTACAAACTCCGTAACACAATGCTACTTTTGCTTTAGACAATCTTTTGAATAAATTAAAGTTAACTTTTTAAGAAATTAACTGTCAGTTGGGTGTGGTGGCTCATGTTTGTGATGCCCAAATTTTAGGAGGCAGAGGCAGGAGGATTGCTTGAACTTAGGAGTTCGAGACTGCTTTCGGAAACACAGTGATACCTCGTCTATTAAAAAGAAAGCAAACTAGCCGAGCATGGTGGTGTGCACCTGTAGTTTCAGCTGCTCGGGAGGCTGAGGCAGGGGGATCCCTGGAGCCCAGGAGGTTGAGGCCGCTGTGAGCCATGGTCACTTTCCTCCCCATCTCCCCTGTCCGGCATCCACACAGCTCCTTCTCTGTTGTCCCAGGCCAACCCCAGCCCTGGTGCTATGCCCTCCTCTCACTGCGCCCTTGTTTCCCCGAGCTCTGCCTCCTATGGTGGCAGAGTGGGAGGGGGAGGGTGGGAAGCATGGCTCACAGTTGGCTCCATCACAGTGGCCCTGTATTTGTCCAGTTTCACAGCCATTTGCTGGAGGAACGCAGGTCCAGCACTGGCTACCCTGTCACGGCAGGGGTGACCTCTTACCAGCCTAGCAGCCCAGAGGCGCCCCAGGTGGGGAGGTGGCAGGTGGACACCGGGTCCCGTGTGTTGTGGCAGTGAAGCCTGCAGCCCACCAGAGCTCCAACAGCAGAGAAACAGGCTGTGAGTGTAAGCGTGGAATTGCTGTGAGCCATGGCGCCAGCAGCATGTGCTGCAGAGACAGCTAATCAATTAGCCCCTCCGTGCTGGGTGCTGTGTGTGCACCATTAAAGAGCTCACGGGGAGAGAAATGCAGACTCCTCTGGGGGCCCCAGGGTGGATTGCACCACTCAGCATGTTCTATTGAGTGCCTTTCCCTGCAGTGCGTGCTTTCTGAGGCTGTAATTTTGAGTGTGTCTTTCAAGGCTGCAGCCCTTAAGCAGTACAGCCTGGGTGTTCAGCTGGATAATCCTGTAAGTGAAGTTTGAGTGGTTTAACTGCCTACAGCAGGTGGGAGCTCGGGTGGTGGGGAGCATCTGGGGTTTCGAGGAGTCTGAGCCTCTGTGCAGGGCTGCAGGCTGTGGACGGGTTACGCGGGTGCTGGTCTTTAACGAGAGGACCTTCAGAGAGATGCAACAAAACCCCATGTGAGGCAGAAATGAAGCCTCCGAGTTGTATTGGAAGAGCTGCTGTCCGTGCAGCCACCACCCCCCTAAATACTCTGTGAGGGTCCTGGCTCCAGTCCATCTGTCTATCATCTTGGGAGCAGCCCATGCCAGCCACGTTGTCCTCCAGGCTTCTCTGCACAGACCTGGCTGCTGCGGGGTGCAGGGCATGTTGTTTGCACGTGTGCACTCCACCTCTCTTTCACATGCGCGTTCTCTGTAACACTCAGGACAACCCCGTGAACTAGAAGTCAGGTCCCTTGTTGAACTGGAGTTGGCCTGAGAAAGATCTTGGAGGATTAAGGCAGAGCTTTGCTCTGGGTCTGCCTCCAGGAAGGTGCCTGAGTCTCCACAGGGGCTGTGCCACAGAAGCCCCCCACAGCTTTTGGAACCCCAGAGCCCTTCACTGCACATTCGCCCTGTAGCCTCAGTCTCCAGGGACCTGGGAAAGCCCCAGCGTCAGCTTTTATGTTCTTCTGCATCACCGTGTCCTC
Source organism: Homo sapiens (assembly GCF_000001405.40). Lineage (NCBI taxonomy): Eukaryota > Metazoa > Chordata > Mammalia > Primates > Hominidae > Homo > Homo sapiens. The sequence continues at coordinate 241,886,471 of NC_000002.12, forward strand.
TGCCTCGCTATGAATGAGTTTGTCAGGCCTCCTCCTTGGGGAGTGCGGTGGGGGCAGGTGGCAGACCTCGGGGCCAACAGAGAGTCATTAAGTAATCTCATAGTGAACGTGGCCTGGAGTCTTGTTTTTCAGATGGAAAAGGGAAAATTGGGCAAAGTTTGTAGGAGAAAAATACCAAGTTTTGTGGTGGTTGTGTTGATGGAGGGGGTTGAGCTGAATCTGAGAAGCAAGTACATTTGAGGCTTGGCTGCCACACTCACGGACACTGCAGAGAATGAGGAAAAATGGCTGGTTGTGTTTTCTTTCCACTGCACAAAAGAATAATTGCTTTTGTTTACAGATTTTCTGAAATGTCCTTCCAATTCCTTTGCCCCTGAATTATGAGCTGTGCCAGCTTGCGTGCAACAAATGGGTCTTATTGAGCACAAATACATGGGTGCAGAGCGTCTTTCGAAGAGGAGGCATCAGGGAGCCTCCTCCGGTCTCCACAGCCCCTGACAGGAGGCTGCTTCTCGGGATCCAGACCTGCCTGGGCTGCTTCAGTGGCCTCCCTGCCCTTCCCGGTGCGGCAGATCTGTGCCCACAGCAACGCATCCCCCGCACCTGCACCACCGCTCTTCCTGAGGCCCAGTGTTGATCTCTTTGTGGCCCCAGTGAGGACATTTTTGAGGCTTCATGATCTCTGTAGGATGCTGTCCAGGCCCATGCACACAGCAGGTGCATCCGTGAGGCACACCTCATATCTTAGCACTGCTGTGCTGTGATGCAAGTCCTCAGGGAGCTCGGCTCCACACTGTCACTCAGGGATCCAGCAGCCCCTTCCACCTGTGGCGCTGCCGTCCTCTGGTTTGGCGTCCTCTCCGTTCAGTACACGGCCGGGGAGGAAAGTGAGGAGGCTGTTGCGAGGGTCTTATGAGCCAGGGCCAGGAGTGGACTGCATCACCCCTGCCCAAGTTTCTTGGCTAGAACTAGCTGTTTGGCCAAGGCAAACCCCTGAAGTGAAGGATGCAGGCAGGGCCCACCTCTCTCTCTCTCTCTCTCTCTGCCATTTGCCCCTCACCCCCACCCACCAGACCACCCGCGCCCCCCAAGGAGGCTGCCTCAATGCCCTTCAGTAACCCACTTCTGTTGTGCAAATTCCTCTCCAACATTTCCTCTTCAGAGCGACTGCCCGAGAAAACTGGATAATCGCGCCTTTCCCTGTGTTTCTGTGGTTCTTTTATAATCCTGGTTTTAAAATCTAAAATAGTGCATGCTGGTATTTGCTTTTTAGGGTTGTAGAAGAAGGTTAACAAGGTACCACAAACCGGATGGCTCAAAACAGCGGATACTGTCTCACGGTTCTGGAGACCTGAAGTCTGAAACAAAGTGGTGATGGGGTCGGTTCCCTCCGGAGGCTCTGAGGGGGATGCAGTGGCTCTGAGGGGGCTGTGGGGGCTCTGAGGGGAGACTGGGGGTGGCTCTGAGGGGGATGCGTTTCCTGCCTCTCTCCGCCATGCTGGGGCTCGCTGCATCTTCGTGCTCCTCTGCTTGTGGATGCGTCACTCTGGCTCCGTTCTTCTTCACGCGGCATCCGTCTCCCTGTGTTCTCTGCTTTATAACGGCACCTGTCATTGGATGCAGGGACCGCTCTAATCCACCATGATTCTATCTGGAGAACCTAAACTTAATTACATCAGTAAAGACCCTTTCTCCATGAGGTCCCACTCGCAGGTTCTCGGGGGACATGTCTTTTGGGGCCACCATTCCCCCAGCTCCGATGCTCCTTTAAGCTCATTAAGCTTCATAGAGGGGATTCAGGTGGGGGTGCCCTCGGTCTCACTCAGTGGGTGTCAGGGGGCGTATCGCCTGCAGGCCGGCCCTTCTGCCCTCTCAGAGGCAGCCACAGCTCAGGTCAGGCTGGAGGGTGGGGTGGACTTCCTCCCTCCCTCCCCCTCACTGCCCCCCCCGCCGCCTGCTTCCTCCCATCCTCCCTCTCACTGGCACCCCCACCTGCTTCCTCCCATTCTCCCTCTTGCTGCCCCCCCACCTGCTTCCTCCCGTCCTCCCTCTCACTGGCACCCCCCACCTGCTTCCTCCCATTCTCCCTCTTGCTGCCCCCCCACCTGCTTCCTCCCATCCTCCCTCTCACTGGCACCCCCACCTGCTTCCTCCCATTCTCCCTCTTGCTGCCCCCCCACCTGCTTCCTCCCGTCCTCCCTCTCACTGGCACCCCCCACCTGCTTCCTCCCATTCTCCCTCTTGCTGCCCCCCCACCTGCTTCCTCCCGTCCTCCCTCTCACTGGCTCCCCCTCCCCTGCCAACCTGCTTCCTCCCTCCCTTCCCTTCACTACCCCTCACTCCCTGCCTCTTTCCTCCCATCCTCCCTCTCACTGGCCCCACCACGTGTAACTGTCTGTCAGGCTGGGAGGCAAGAAGCAGCAGGTGCCTTCCGTTTGGCCTTGTACATTTGTTGTCATGAGCTGGGTCTGCTCCCCTGGGCTCAGACCCTTGATTTTCAGGGCTCTTGGTGAGTGGGGGGTGGGCACCTGGGACAGCTGCCCGGGGATGGCTGCATGGGACCTCTCGGGGGGCATCAGCTGCTGTCTAGCTGGGGCTCCGTTACTTCTATTCTTCAGGTTTGGTGCCTTTTTATGCCATTGCATATGGAATTGTTTAACAATTTCATTTTTAAATTGTTCATAGAAATATAGGAAGATAATTGAATTTTGTACTTGATCAGATATCCTGCAACCTGACTAGATTCACTGAATCATTTTCAGTAGTTTGTTTTGTAGATTACATAGGGTTTTCTCAACACATAATCATGCTTGCAAATAATGGCTTTCTTCCTCTCTTTTTCCTCTCCCTCCCCCATCTTTCTTTCTGATTTTTATGCCCTCTGTTTCCTTTTCTTGCCTTATTGCATTGGCTGGGACCCCCAGTACAGTATGGAACAGAAGTGTCAAAAGTGGCCCTAAGTATGGGTCACTTTTAGTTTAGTTTTAGTTGTTAGTTTTCTATAAATGTATTTAATCAGGTTGTGGAAGGTCCCCATTATTTCTGGTTTGCTAAGAATTTTGTCATAAGTACCTACTGAATCTTTTTTTCCTGCTACTGTAGTCTTGGGGTTTTCTTTGTGGGAAGGTTTTTATGTACAACTTTAATTTCTTTAATAGGGATAGGGTTATTTGCAGCTTCCCCCTTATTTCCAGTATTTCAAGAACAGGCAATTTTAATGTTACATTGTGACAATCAAGACAAACCCTGGTTTCTAATAGAGATATGGCAGATTTCTGGTTGGGGACAGCCAACGTGCACAAGGGTCCCAGAACGTTTCATTGTGCCTGAAAGTGAGGGGGCTCTCCAGGACGAATGGGGCCTGTCGAGAAGACAAGGAGCCAGTTTGAAAGAGGTGGCATTGGTGAAATCTGGGACAACCTGAGCATCCAAAAGAATGAGGCCCATAGTTAACTAGGATACATCTAATCCATTTACATCCATGAATCCACAATGACACTCTAAGAAAAGAGAAAGCCTGAAAAACTCAGGCAGATCTTAAACCAACTCTTTATTTTGAATATTGGCAGCCAGAGGGAAAAATCAAACATTATCTTGTTTTGTGCTAGAAAGAGGATGCCAGTATAACCAAATGGCACTAGGTATGAGGAAAGACCTCCTTTAAAAAGGAATGTTGGGCCGGGCATGGTGTCTCATGCCTATAATCCTAGCACTTTGGATTACAGTGTTAGGGAGGCCGAGGTGGGTGGATCAGCTGAGGTCAGGGGTTCGAGACCAGACTGGCCAACATGGCGAAACCCCATCTCTACTAAAAATACAAACTTTAGATGGGTGTGGTGGCACACGCCTGTAATCCCAGCTACTTGGGAGGCTGAGGCAGGAGAATTGCTTGAACTCAGAAGGCAGAGGTTGCAGTGAGCCGAGATCGCACCATTGCACTCCAGCCTGGGTGACAGAATGAGACTCTGTCTCAAAAAAACAACAACAAAAAGGAATGTCGGCCCATAAATGTGAATGAGTGACTGAGTTAGAAAAATCATCTTTTCCAAACACCACTGAAATCATGGACTAGGACAAGGTTAGCCCATGAGTGTTTAGACCAGTGAGGTGAGCAGCTGCTGGGGACAGGACCCTTGTCTGGTATCGATGGCAGGGAAGGCTGTGAGCCTCCCCTCGTGTGGGCATCAGCCTCAGCCTCCCAGTGGGGGTCACCCAGGGAGCATATCTCCTGGTGAGAAGTACAGGAGCTTCACATTCCCTGGATACGTCCCAGCCGAAATGTTCACCGTGAATCCGGCAACCTGTGGAGCTGATTTCCATTTCTAAGGAATGAGGGGGGATGGGGAAGAACCCCCCAGGACAGCACCAACAGTCCCTGCGGGGACCTTTCCCGGACACCCGGCCTTCTCGGCGGTGAGGCAGGTGGCGGCACCGACAGGCCCGGGGGGGACCTTTCCCGGACACCCAGCCTCCTCGGTGGCGAGGCAGGTGGCGGCACCGACAGGCCCGGCGGGGACCTTTCCCGGACACCTGGCCTCCTTGGCAAGGCAGGTGGCGGCACCAACAGGCCCGGGGGGGACCTTTCCCGGACACCTGGCCTCCTCGGCGAGGCAGGTGGCAGAACTGGTTCCACGTCTGATCTTCCTTAGACAAACCTGCCTTCAGAGGAAATTGTGTTCAACTGGAGAAACTGGAAAATGTACTAGATATTGGCTGATATGAAGGATATATGTTTTGTTAAGTATGATAATTCGATTTTGGCTCTGTAGGGAAAGGCTCTTATTTTAAAAAGATGTGCACTAGAGAAAAAGGAAACAGCATGTAGCAAATACATCCACGGATGTCCTCCTGGTTTAATTGGTTCTGTGGCCTCGGTTTCTGTCTTCCTGATGGCACCTCTGTGACAGGAGCTCAGACCCCGGCATCAGACCGGCCTCCGCAGGGAGGAGCTGCGGTGCCCAGGCCAGGCCAGGAAGCACCATGGCCCACTGCCTGGGCCTCACCTCACGAACGCCAAGCACTGTGGCGGGCACAGGCGGAGCCTGGCGGCTTCACGCCCACACCGGCAGCTCCTCCCTCAGCCCCTCGCCCGCCGCTCCCAAGTCCGGCAGTTCTGGAGCACGGGAAGCTCTCTGGGGGTTGCTGGGCAGCAGGACCTGGTCTGAGATGACTGAGTCTGCCCAGGTCTTCACGCGCCTAACTGAGCGTGAGCGTGTCTGAGTCTTACCGCAGAAACATTAAAATGCTTGGTGACAGGTGTTAGGAGACTTCTGGGATCTGCACTGTACCACTTCTCTAAAACTGGGAATATTCTGAGTCTCAGAGCTTGTCTGGATGAGGAATCCTGGGGCCCGATTCTAGACCTGAGGCACCAGCAGCAAAGGATGTGGCCCAGCCCTGGAGCCCCAAGCAGCTCGGCCGGGAGTGCACCCTCCTACCTTCCCAACCCAGTCGCAGTCAGTTATGAAAAAGGAACAGTGCATGATTCCAAAGTTATATTTAAATGCCAACTGCGTTGAATTTGGCAACATTTGACAGGAGTTATGGAAAGCCTTTCAAAGATTTAGCAGGACAAAAACAAACTAGCAAGCGAGCATTATTGTGTGCTTTAAAAGTAAACAGGCTTGAGCAATGGTGTCTGTTTTAGAAAACTGACGAGCCTCCCAGGTGGATCATGGGAGTGCCTGCAATTACTGGTTATTCAACCAAGGTCCCCTCCGGTCTGTGCCTCATACAAACAATGGGTATTCTGCTGAAATTCACCTCCTGGAGCAAAGATTTCAGAAATGCCCTCTGTACACCAGGTGAATTGCAAAGGGGCCAGGTGTGAGGAGGGACTCCGGGCTCAGAGCCCTGGGGGCTGGCGTCCCTCTCCTCTCCTGGAAAGCCGGCCCAGCCATCCCTCTTCCCCTTGCCCCTCTCCTACCCTCCCTGGTCTCCTTCTCTCCCTGTCTCTCTTCTGCACTGGGCGCCTTCCAGCCTTGGGAGCTGGGCCCAGCTTTGCCTGAGGATTAACGACAAAACAGAGTGAAGATGTGGCTGGCAGACTGCCCGCTGCCCCTGTGGCCGGGACCTCTGCTGTCAATGGGAAGGTGACTGCATCGTTGGAGAGTAATTGGGTCATGAGGCAAGCAGGAGGGGGTGGCTGTTCTGGAAGGTTCTGCAGGGCCAAACTGTGATGAAGATTGCAGCATGAATATGCTCTTCCATCCCCCAAAAGTCCAGTCTGACACCTCAGTTTATTACGGTGTTGACAGTAATAGTGTTCTGAGGATATCATCAGATAAAATCACTCCTCCGCAGCCTGGGGCTTTGCAAAGATTAGCGAGTGGTTTCTGTTCATGAACTATCTTCAGGGCTGTTAATCACCTCCCTCCCTCCCTGCAAATCCCTGAGTCACTAGCGGTGAGGGTGGGGCCCAGTGCTGACCTGTGACCCCAGCCCTGGACATCTCCATGGCCAGTGTTGCGAGGGCCCTGGCTGCGCTTCTGCCCACTGACTGGCAGACCAGGCATCCAGGCACCCGGGCTTTGTGTCAGGTTCCGATCCTTCTTTCTGCACGTGCTGTCTGTGCAGTAGTTCATGGTCAGCCCCAGAAATGCACACTTGAGATGGCGTGGGCCTGCGTGGAGTCTGCACGTGGCACAGCAGGGACCTGGCTACGCGATCCTCTCGTTAGTGCTTTGTTGGGTTACCCATGACCTGCAAAGCTGGGGCTAATTTCTTTGTCTTTGACAAGACCCGCAAAGCTGGGGCTAATTTCTTTGTCTTTGACAACTTGACCAGAGGGTCCAAACAAAACAGAACCGAACCGCATCAACATCTACGACTGGGGAGATGATGTGAGATTCCACAGCAGCCCCAGCCAGCCGAGGCCCCAGTGCTTCTGTGTTCCTGAGGGCTGATCCCTGCGGCTATAAAAGAGCACACGCGAGGTGTGGGGTGCGGGTACAGGTGTCAGAACCGGCCTCGGCTACAGCCGAGAGCACCCTCCTCTGTCCAGGAGACCACCCCAGGTTCTTGACCGTCTGGCCTCTGGGCAGTGTGGCGGCCCCTCTCCCTCCCTCTGACCTGTCCAGCGTAGTTGCAGCTTGCAGTGGGGCTCCCAGGGCTCATGCTGAGCATCAGGAGGTGAATCTCGGCTCCAACAGCCCTCGTGGCCTTGGGAGATGCTGCCCTTTCTAAACCTGAACTTTTTCAAGTGTAAAAATGAGGATATTTAATTTTCTGAGATGTTTCAGGTACTAAATATGAAATAATTAAAGGAATTTTGGAAAAGGACAAAGCTTTATGCAGTATAAGGAATGTCCTGAAGTTGAAACTTATGTACATATTTTGATCAAAGGTGAAATAAAATTGCATTTAAATCTGCAAATTGGAGGTGGTCAGGCAGCTGAAGAGTCCCTGAGATGCAGCAGTTTCTTTACATGGCTTGTCGTAAGTTGGTAACATTGTGGCAAGTGTTTACTATGTAGAAACCTTAAAGACAGGAAGAAAATTTAGCACGAAACATTCAATCCAATTGACTTAGGTTTTATTGGGCACCAGAGATGCGCTAGAGAACCCTGGGACTCTGCTGCAGCGTGGACCCCGAGGTGGGATTATTACGGGGTCAGCGAGGTGCGGGCCATTTCCATGATGAAGATCCTGTGAACTCTGGCGTGGATGCTTGGACCCCACGCGTGGTGTTCCTTCTCCATGACCCTCCGGAAGCTCATGCAGAGTCTGGAGCTCGTGGGCCCTCAGGCCGCCTTCTTGTCCTTGGTGTGGAGGGACTCAGTGGCCTCCGGGACCCTGTCTGGGCATCTCCCTGGGCCCTGCAGCATCTTGTTCCTCCCCTCCAGCTGCTCAGCCCATCCCACGCGGAGCCTGGGGCAGGGCGATAATTTCGGCATTGTGAGTCAAGCTCTCGGAACTTAGTGACGGCCAAGCCCGTGTCTCTCAGCACCTGGGCACCTGTGAGAGCAGGAGTATGACACTCCCTGCCAGGGGTGGGGGTGTCACCGCATCCCTGCCCAGCCAGCAGCTGTGACCTTGCTGGGTCTCCCAGGGCCCTGGGATCTCGTGGCCGGCCTTGGCTCAGGCTGCTGACCAGTGGTTGGTGGGGGGGGGGGGGGGCGTCTCACTCAGGACCCTCCTCACAGGAGAGGAAAAATGCCTTCCCCGGGAAGCAGCCTGGGTCCCCAGTTCTGGAAGCTTCTGAGCCCCGGAGAGACTGTGCCTGAGCTTGAGCTCTTGCAGCCTCTGTCTCTGCTCTGCTCACGGAGAGGCAGGTGCCCTCGCAGGACAGGGCGGCCTCTGTGGCTGCCTAGGGCCCGCCTGCCTCCCTGCACCCTGCCCGGCTGCCTGTGGGTGCCCACTTCCTTCTCGCTTGCCTGCCCGCCTCACCTGCCCGGCCTGGCCACAGTGGACGGTGCTATGTTGTGATCTCAGCACCACGCATGGGCGGACCTGGCGGCAGGAATGGCCTGGTCAGAGTGGTCCAGGCTCCCCGAGACCTGGGCAGATCCCCACCTGCCCGCAGCTGCCGCTTCCTTCAGCCTCAAGTGCTTTTGGCTTTAGAAGTTGGAGAGTGGGGTGGGTGCCCGGCTCCAGCCAAGGGTGAGCTGTGTCCATGAGGACACTTGTCACAGATGCCCAGGACCCAGATGACGATGGTGCTGCTGAGTGGCAGGCAGTGTACCCCGGACGGCTGGGCCCCACGGTGATGGTCCCCGAGCAACAGCTATGTTCACCCTTGCCAGGCCATGGCTGCTGACTGGTGGGGCCCAGGGCAGCTCCATGCATGAGAGGGTCAGCTGGGCAGGATGTCAGCAGCTGCCACGGTCCCACAGACTTGGCGCCTCCGGGCCTGGAGTCCTCGGCCCTCACAGCCGGCCGCCCATCCCAGAGAGGCTGCCAGGACAGCCAGCCCCATGGTGGTGGAAGCAGCGGCCCCTGTCCCTTTACAGGGGACCGTGGGGTCCCGAGCCAGGGGCTGCGAATGGCCGGTCTCCCACATGGGCCAGCTCCTCTCTCACGGCGGCTTCCTGGGGTGGGCCTGGCCCTTGGGCTCACACCAGCACACGGGACCCTCTCAGCTCTCTGGGCTTCATGCGGGGAGGAAAGTTAGGCTACTCTCTAACGGGAACCCTAAGAGTGACCTCCTTAAAAGCAGTGGTTGGCCTCGTGGCCTGGGGAGAACCGGGCTGTGTGGGTGGATGGAGGGGGGTTGTGCAAATGGAGGCTCTGCCAGCCCCTGAGAGAACGCTGGTGCCTGCCTTGGACACCAACCTCCACCTCAGGGGCCAGAGAAGGCAGCGTGGACACACAGTCCCGGGGCCTGAGCCCACTCCTGGGATCTGCACCCAGGCAATGGCCAGAGGACACCAGGGCACATGGCACATGCAGGCACACGCAGAGGCACGCGGAGGCACGTAGGCACACACAGGCACACGTCCAGGAAGCACAGGGCGGGGATGAGGCAGGGCCCGTGGGGCAAGCACTCGGTGGTGGGGGGGGGCCTCTCCTTCACCATCGTCTGCCGAGTGCCTGCGTGGTGCTGGGCTCTGTGCTGGGTCCATGTCCGTAGTTGGGTAGCTGGTGAGTGGGGAGGGGCACCCCCAGGCTCTGTGGGACCGCCTCGGGCTGCTGAAGGGGTACCACGGCTCTCTTGCTCGGGGCCTGAGCACCGAGGGCTGCCTGGAGCCTCTGGAAGCTCCTGCTGTGTGCCGGCCAGTGTCTTGCAGCAAATGAGCTCTGCTCCCCACCCAGCTGTCCCTGAGCAGTGGCTACACCCTGGGTCGGCTCAGGGTCACCCACTCAGCACCCATAGACCCCTGGCCTTGGCCCTAGGAGAGAAAGGCGTGCTGGCTTGGTATCTGCCTTCCTGAGCAAGTCTGCTAGGAGGAGGAAGGGCACAAGTACAGATACGTCACTCAAGGGCAGTGATCTCAGAAAAACAAGCCAGAGAAAGACATTTCCTCCTGGAAAAGTTCCTGTGATCCTGGACGGAGTGTCAGGGAGATGGCGGGGGAAGGGGGTGTGGGTGAAGGGGGTGTGGGTGTTGGGGTGTGGGTGTTGGGGTGTGGGTGTTGGGGTGTGTGTGTTGGGGTGTGGGTGTGGGGGTGTGGGTGTTGGGGTGTGGGTGAAGGGGTGTGGGTGTGGGGGTGTGGGTGTTGGGGTGTGGGTGAAGGGGTGTGGGTGAAGGGGTGTGGGTGTTGGGGTGTGGGTGAAGGGGTGTGGGTGTTGGGGTGTGGGTGTTGGGGGTGTGTGTGTTGGGGTGTGGGTGAAGGGGTGTGGGTGTTGGGGTGTGGGTGTTGGGGTGTGGGTGAAGGGGGTGTGGGTGTTGGGGTGTGGGTGTGTGGGTGTGGGGGTGTGGGTGTTGGGGTGTGGGTGAAGGGGTGTGGGTGTGGGGGTGGGGGTGAATTGTCCGTGGGCATTGGGGTGTGGTGTTGCCTGGATAGTGATGTTTGATCTGAGCTCCTGGTCTCACGGTTAGCAACGTGGTGTCTTGTCATTTCCCACCTACTGTTCCAAGCGTGATCACTAAGGTGAGTGAATGGCTGTCAGTTTCCTCCTGGGTTGACTCCTTTCACAGGCCTGGAGCTGAGGGGTTTCATGGTGGGCTGAGGGCCAGGGCTGTGTCAGGGCACACTGCTGGCGGGGCTGTGCCCCTGGGTGGCGAGCGTGGCTCAGGCATAGGGGTCCCCGATGCACTGCACACCCCGACTCACTTGTTCAGAGCGCTTCTGCGAACCCTGATGTCCTCGTTCTGCAGGTGTCTTGCGTGATGCTCGATTTTTTTCTCCCAAAACATCTTTATCCCGCCTGAATCGTATGCTACTCTTCCAGGATTCTTAAGAGTGAGGCTTTTACTCATGTTCTGGAAAATAAAAAGTGGAGAAGAGCTCAGTCACCTTATGCCATTCCCATTGACGAGTTTGTGCTCCAGCACCCGGATGGCAGAGGAGCTGGCTCAGCCTGCAGCATCGTGGTCCCCGCCTTCCTGGTTCGTGGGGGATGGCGGAGGCTGCCCTCTGAGACTCAGGCCTCAGGTGGCTCCTGACCGGCTCCTAAACGCTCTACCGGCTCCACCTTCTGGAGCAGTCTCCTGGGTTGGCAGAAGTAGAAATGGAGGGCAAATTCCATTTTGGGCTTTTAGTCATTTTAAAATCTAAGCAATGATGCACTTCTAACTCTCTGTGTGTTAGTGTGGGTGATCTGCAGTCCCACCAGCGAGGTGAGCGTTTCTTGGATGGGGCTGTGGCTTCTGTGCCAGGTGAGTCCATCCCTTGTTTTTGAGACAGGGTCTCATTCCCATCACCCAGGCTGCAATGCAGTGGTGCGATCTCCCCTCACTGCAGCCTTGACCGCCTGAACTCAAGTGATTGTCCCACCTCAGCTTCCTGAGTAGCTGGGACTATAGGTGTGCACCACCATGCCCAGCTAATTTTTGTATATCTTGTAGAGATTGGGTCTCACTATGTTGCCCAGGCCGGTCTTGAGCTCCTGGGCTCAAGCAGTCTTCCTGGCTCAGCCTCCCAAAGTGCTGGGACTACAGGTGTGAGCCAGCGTGCCCAGCTCAGTTGGCCTCTCTCGACACCTGGTTATTGGGTACCTTTTGGTTTGAAATATGTAAACCCAGCAGTGGGGTTAAATGTGGCAGGTTACACTGAAAAACTTCAGCTCTGCTATTTGATGTAATATGCTAAAGTGAGGCTGACTGAAATGTTTACTTTCCAATTATTTTGGACTCGTGCATCTACGGGACACCAGCAATCTTAGAATATCAATCTACAGCCATCAAGAATGTCCAAGGCCGGGCGTGGTGGCTCACGCCTGTAATCCCAGCACTTTGGGAGGTCAAGGCTGGCAGATCACTTGAGCTCAGGAGTTAAGAGACCAGCCTGGCCAACATGGTGAAACCCTGTCTCTACTAAAAATACAAAAATTAGCCGGGATTGGTGGTGGGTGCCTGTAATCCTAGCTACTCTGGAGGCTGAGGCAGGAGAATCGCTTGAACCCGGGAGGTGGAGGTTGCAGTGAGATGAGATTGCAGCACTGCACTCCAGCCTGGGTGACAGACTCCGTCTCAAACAAACAAACAAACAAACAAACAAAAAAAGAATGTCCGTGACAAAGGGAAAGTGTCGACAGCAGCAGCCCCTTTTCTGGAGCCCTCCTCCCGATTTCACCCAGCAGTGGGAGCCCGGCTCTGGGTCAGCTCTCCCTGGGACGCGTGGAGCCTGGGTCCCTGGGCTGTGCCTGCCCTGGCCTGGCTCCAGGTCTCCGTAGATGGCCCTGCTCTGTGCTTGAGGATGGGGTTTACACAAGGGAGCCAGGGCCACGTTTCGGGGTGCAAGGCGGTGGGTCTCGGAATGAATGAGGCATCCACTGTTCTGGGGCTGCCTGAGCCCCTAAGCCGCTGTCCGGCCAGCTCCTCGGGGCCTATGGGGTGGGCAGAGCCATTTCTGCAGCCCTGGCTGGCTCCCTTGGGGCACTTTGTTCTTCAGCTTGGCCTTGCTTGGCCTTGGAGGCATTTCTCTTTCCCCGCCCCCCACTCTTCTCTCTTGCTGGGGAAGAACACAGGGTGGCAGGAGCGCGGCCCGAGAGGAAAACCAGGCAGCTGAGACCCGCGGGCTCGTTTCCTGCAAACACATCACCTGCTTCAGGTGGAGAGGGTAAGGGTGCCTTCTGGAGCTCGGCTCAGGTTGCAATGAACAGGTGCTGGGGACTCCTTCGAGGAGCTTGATGTGACCCCTGGCTGGGGGCTTCCAGCTGCAGAGGCGCGGGCGCTGTGGCCTGCGCAGCCTGTTGTGATGTGGGTGCTGGGCGCTTTGCTGGGGAGCTGCCCCTGGAGGGCCACAGAAATCGCCCATCGATGCCACGCCCTTTGTTCCAGAAACTTAGACATGCAAAGTTGATCATGAAGGGACTGAACTCAGCCACGCCTGCCTGTGCTGAGGACGCTGGCGCGAATTCAGTGAGTGAAAACTCATCCAATGAGGAGGGTGGGATGCACGGAACCCACCAGTCAGGGCCGGGCCCAGCTGCTTCCCCGGAACTTCGCACCTCCTCTGGTGTCTGGGCAGACGCCTCCCGGAGTGAAGCTGGGGCTGGTGTCAGATTCAAACCGAGTAACAGCTGGAAAACATCTGACAGCTGAGACCTGGCTGTTCTTGGCAGGGGCTTCAGAGAGCAGCGTGGGCGTTAGAGCTTCTGCTCTTAGGACACTTAGCCCCCAAAGGCAGCCCTTTAAACCCTCATGGGACAAAAACAAACCAGCAGCAAAAGGGAGAACCAGCAAACCAGCAGACAGAAGAAACAGACACGCGGCCGGGCGCGGTGGCTCAGGCCTGGAATCCCAGCACTGTGGGAGGCCGAGGCGGGCGGATCACGAGGTCAGGAGATCCAGACCAGCCTGACTAACACGGTGAAACCCCGTCTTCACTAAAAATACAAAAAATTAGCCGGGCGTCGTGGTGGGCGCCTGTAGTCCCAGCTACTCGGAAGGCTAAGGCAGGAGAATGGCGTGAACCCGGGAGGCGGAGGTTGCAGTGAGCCGCGATCATGCCACTGCACTCCAGCCTGGGCGACAGAGCGAGACTCCATCTCATAAACAACAACAACAGCAACAAAACAAAACAACAATGACAACAACAGACACACAAAGGGGTGCGTGTTGTGAGGCAGGTGATGGAGACACTCTCCCCCCACCAAAGGTGTTGACAGCAGGAATCCCAGTGGGAAAACAAAATTACAAAGTTCAGTTCCCCCAGCGAAATGCGGGTGGGCTCACGTCTTGTGCCAGATATGTCACATACTCTGTTCACCTTTTGGGGGCCCCCAAATGCAGCGCCAATCTCTCAAGCAAGGACAGCGCCTGTCACATCACAGAGAGCTTACTTTTCCAACCATTTCTCAGTGACGGGCAGGTTTTCCTGTCTCTGTTGAGGGTCCTCAGCCTGTCCTCTCCGGGGTGCACGCCTGTATCTCGCCTGCCGCTCTCTGTTACATGGGCTCAGTGACACGCATGCTTGGCGTCGGTTCAGTCCCAGAAAGACGCGCTGCCCTCTGTCTGGGCACCGTCCCTGGCAGAGCTGTCCGTCCGGAGGGCAGCTGTTGGCAGCATGGGAATCTGGAGGACGGCCAGCTGGGCCTCCTCTGCCCTCAGCCCCCATCGGGACTGTTTTTTTCTTCTTTCGACGGCTGCTCCCAGGAAACCTTGTGGGTGGGAGGGAGCATTGTCTGGGGAGGGGCGTCGGGGCACCTAGGAGTCCTGGGTTTTGCCCAGGCCTGCGTCTCAGGAATGGTGGCCTTTGCACTTACTGCAGGCGAAATGTATATCACAAAACGACGATGCAGACACACTCAAGGCAGGTGTGGAAATGCTTAGGGTCTCTCTGCCCCACCCATACATGGGTTTACGTATTTATTGTGAGGAGCTGGCTCTCGCGGTGACAGGCGCTGAGAGGTCTCGGGATCTGCCATCTGGGACCCAGGAAAGCCTGCGGTGTCAGTCAACCCGACTCTGAGGGAGGTTGGTGTAAATTCCAGACCTTGGTCCAGAGACGGTGAGATGAGGCGTCCTGGAGCAAGCAGGAAGGAAGGCAGGCGAGCAGGAGCGATTCCTCCTTCCTCCACCGCGGCACCTTCAGGCCGTCAGAGGATTGGATGACGCCCAGCACACGGGGGTCACCGCGTCCGGAAACACCCTCCCAGCCGCACCCAGAAACACTGTCCCAGCCGCCGCCCTGGTGCCATCAGGTAGATGCACAAAGTGAAGCCCCCAGGCTTTGTCCTGGACGGGGTTCCTCTCCCAGGATCCATCCCTCCAGGCCTCAGGGAGCCGGCAGCAGGGCCGGCCCAGGGCCAGCCTCCGTGATCTCGTTTCAGTCTCCCGGGTCACTTGCTTCTTTATGAGGTTTCCAAGTCATTGATAGTTTCAGGTGAAAGCTTTTGGGAAATTTTCGTTTACTATCATAAAGCAGACGGTACACTTATTTTTTATATTATCCTTCACAGTTGTTTTTTTTTAAACTGGAGTTCTGTGGGTGTCATCAGTGGATTGGGAGCTGTTCGTGATTTCCCGAGTCCTGGCGTGTGCTCAGGACACCTTGATCTGTGGCTCCCTGCGAACTGGGGTTAGGCCTCAGGACGCGCCGGGACATGCCGCAGCGCACAGAATGCACAAGGTGGAAAGACGGTGCTCAGGCAGCGCGGGTGGAAGACGCCGGTGAGAACCAGCAGCTGCTTCAGAAAAACCGCTGCGTGCAGCACCGATGGGAGGAAGCCACCTAAAAACGGAAAGGAATAGCCCCAGGAGAGGCGTCTCCAGCAGGACTGCGTTTTTGTAAAGCCCGTGGTGGTCTCCCCAGGTCCTATGCGCGAGCGCCCCGGGGATTCCCCACCTGCCCTGGAGCCGAGAGGCCAAACCAACCAGCAATCACAACACCGGCCTACACTTCAAAACTTGTCCTTCCAGGCCCCTTCCTTCTGACGTGTGTGCGGAGGGACGGCAGGGCGCCACCGTGCTGGCCGTGCCTGATGGAGCAGCAAGGCGGCAGGGAGCGCATTCTGATCTCCCCGTGTTTCGGAGTTTGTAGGTCAAGTGTGCACTATCTGCAGTCAGCCAGAGCGGAGGAGGAATTTGGGAGAATGCATTTGCCGCAGGCTGAGGCGTTTGCGTTTCTTCCTCTTTCCTGAGCTATCCCAGTGCAGTGGGCTCCAGACAACCCTGTAGCACCACGGAGGTTCTGAGTGGACTTTCCTGCACCCGCCACCCCCACCCCATCAGAGGCGGTCGTCCAGGCTGCCGGGCTCCAGCTACCGGGCTCAGCCGCCTTCCAGCCCAGGAGTCCCGCCTGCCGCCTCCCCTCCGCCGCCGCCTCCCCTCCGCCGCCGCCTCCCCTCCGCCGCCGCCTCCCCTCCGCCGCCGCCTCCCCTCCGCCGCCGCCTCCCCTCCGCCGCCGCCTCCCCTCCGCCTGCCAGCCCGGAACGCCGCCTCCAAGCCTCCTGTGCCAGCCCCGTCCTGCGCCCCTGTACCTGGGCTCTGTGACGGTGAAGCCGGCGTCCTCACAGTCGCAGCAGCAGCACAGGCTGAGCCTTCCCCGTGTGCGGCATCACCCAGCTCTGTCCTTCGTGCCTCCCGGGAGCCCAGGGAGTCGGGGCCACCGGACGCTGGACCTGAGAACCTGGACCCAGGCCCGGTCTGCCCGGGAGTTGGCAAGTGCTGAGCACTGTGTCCCCTTGCACGGCCACTCGGGGCCTCCACGCACCTAAAGGACAGCTCCTGAAGCATCCTGGCCCTGCACTCACGGTGGCACGCGGGCGCCGTCCCCGAGCCCAGGGGCCAGGCCCAGGGCCCTTCCCCGAAATCTGCCATGAAGGTGAACTCGGTTACACTCAGGCCCAGGGCTCCCGAGGCTGGTGGCGGCTGCTCCGCATGAGGCCTGCTGGCTCCCAGGGGCCGCCCTCCCTTGAGAAGGGGGTGCCCACTACGGCTGGGCCATCTGCAAGGGGCCCGGTGATCACATTATGGAGTCATTTTTGAACTGGGTTCTATTAACTACTAATTAGTGAGCCACAGTCATGACATCCTTTGTAAGGAAAAATGTTCCTAACTGAAGCGCTCGCCCATGTCCGCGGTGAGACGCCTGCATGGGGCGGTCTCTGCTTCTCCCCAAGGACCCTCCTCGCCGCCCGCTCGGCTGCACCGGCAGATGGTGGCAGGGGACAAGGACGGCGCGGTGGGCCCCGCGCCCAGCTCACCGCGAGTGCTGCTCCCTTCACAAAACGCTAGAGAGACCAGCACCCTCCTTGCCCCGCCCCTGCTTGGGGCCTCTCTGTGCTTGGAGAGGAGGCCCAGGCTTCCTCCTCTTCCTGGAGCGGGCGTGAGGAGGGGTCTGCAGGCTCTGTCTCCCGGACAGAGCAGCCTGGAAAGTCCCGTGCTCCGGGGACGCCTGTCTTTGACTCTGTTCTCCTGGGCCGCAAGGCTGAGGCCCGAGTGCGGAGGCTGCACCTGCTCAGCTCCACTGTGACCTCTTGGTGCCGGGGACACGCCTGCCCCCGCGCACATTGCCGCCCGGCCCACCTCCTGTCTGAGCCCTCTCAGCAGACAAGGTCCTTGGTGCCTGGAGTCATCAGGACAGATGGTGGAGCCCAAGTCCCTGTGTGGGGAGGGGAGGAGCAAGTCCTAGTGTAGGGAAGGGGTGAGTCCCAGCGTGGTGAGGGGGTGTCTTTCCCGTCCATGGTGCCCCGTCGAAGCTCCACACACTGGACAGGCCACAAGTTCTCATGGGACTCGGGCCCATGCCTGGCCCAGTGTGGACGCCCTACTGAAGCGGCATCCCAGGCCCCAGCAGCTCAGACTCCCCCCAGCTGCCCTCCCCATGCCCAGCTTGATGGGTACACAGTGTTGCCCGCTAGTGTCCACGCCCTCCCGAGGGGTCCCTGGGCTACAGCAATGTTTGGTCTGAGTGAATGAGCCATGGGGGAACAGACGCCCCTGTAGCTGCAGACCCCCTGCCACAAAGCACAAGGTGGCAGGGGGTGTCCCAGAAGGCCCCGCAGAGAAGGCAGCTTCGCACCAACCTCGTGAGGCCTTGGGGGTCAGCAGCTGGGCCAGGAGCTGACCTGGGAGGCAGGGAGGCAGGGATTACCTCTGGAGCCATATCTGGGGCTGGGACTTTGCCTGAGCCAGGTGTTCTAGGAATGCACTTTAGCTGCAGAGTCCTTATCCATCTGGCTCAGCGCTGGGGAGGGCAACAGGGAGTGGTGGGGTCTGTGGCAAAGTGAGGTGCCGCCATGTCCACGGGCGGCTGGTGCTGAGCTCACAGCTGCTCTGGGCAAACTTTTTCCATAGATGCCTCAAATCTGAATTTTTAGGAAGCATATCCAGATTTTAAGGTGTTGACTAACTACTATTTCACCTAAAAAAAAGCCACTGAGCCGGCTCCCCCATGTGGGCCGGACACAGCATTGTACTAGAATCCCAGCAGCGAGGGGGATCCCGCACTTCCTGGGGGCCTGCGGGGGCTGCAGTGGGTGTCTGGGATTCCAGGGTGGGGGCGAAACCCTGCTTTTGAGGAGCCCTCAGATGGGGGCGGGGAGGGAGCCATTCAGGGACGTCCTCCATCGCAGCAGGCAGGAGCTGAGTGGCTGCTGGGAAGGGTGAAGACATTCTCCTCTACACTCAGGAGGCACACGGGGCTCTCAGATTAGACGGCACCGAGTGGGAAGGTGGTGGTTTCATGATCAATTTCCTGACCAGAGCCACCTGCAGAGGAATCTTTTTCCTGAATACCATATTTTCTAAGCTATTAGGAGCACAGCTTGGCAATGACTGAGGGTGTCTGGACGGTGAGGTGTGCGCTGGGAAGCCTTGAGGTGCCGTCTGGTCTGGCGTGCCCCAAGGACACATGTGGGGAGGGTGCCAGGCCCTGAGTCTGTGGGTGTTGTCAGGAGGTGGCCCCTCTTTTCCTGGTTCTTTGCCTGCTGGTGCTGGTCTGTGAATGCCCTCGGGGCCTCCTCCTGGAAGAGCCTCTTCCCTGGGCCCGCTGAGCTGCAGAGGCTGCAGGTGCGTCTCTGCATGTGGCTGCGCTTTGTGGGCTGTGTCCTTTCTCCTGCTGGCTGGGATTGGCTGCTGAGGCGCCAATCCTTCCTCTGCCCAGATGTGGCTTGGTTCCGTTGGAGTCCAGTGTCAGAGGGCTGAGTTGGATGTTTCTAGATCAGCTGTGTCCACAGGGGCACTGGCCTCCTCGTCACAGTCCCTTCCCCGGGCCCGTCACTGGTGCTGGGCACCACACTTAGGCCTGGCCGTCCTCTGCCCAGGAGAAAAGGGGGAGTGGGTGCTGGGAGTGTGCACAGGTGTGTGTGCAGGGCTGTGGGTGTGCGCACACCTGCGTGTTTAATCATAATACAAAGTGGGCCGGGAACCTCACCCTGAAGTGTGAAGGGCAGTGCGTCATTTAGAATCCTTCTCTTTTTCTCCTTCTTGAGCAGCTGAACGTTGAGAGGGGCCCCGTCTGGTGTGGCCGTGTCTGGTCCCCCATGCAGGCCCTGCACCGTGGACTCCCAACCTGCGGGGATCCGTCCCCAAAGACGCCACTAGTTCTGCCAGCCCAGGGTTTCCTGAGTGTTTCCCGAGAGGCCCTGGTTGCACGGAGTAAGTTCTAGTTTAGTCCTGGTTCGTTCTCCCCAAACGTCTCTCAGGAGCTGTGTTTCTTCTTCATGACCTTCCCCTTAGACCTGTGTCAGATCAGGGTTAGAGGTTGGTCTCCTGGCCTGTGTGGCCACCCTGGCGCCCTCGACGCTCTGCCATGGGCTCCCTTTCTTTCATCGGAGGCAGCATCTGGCCATAGTGAAACTGAGTGTGGGGAGGGGGACGCAGAGCTCCCAGGTCCCAGCCCACAGGTGCCTCGGTGGTGAAATCCCCTGACACACTGAGTGGGGCTTCCAGGACGGGGGACGGAAGGAAAAGGATTAAGGGGTTAGGTAAGTGCAAATATGGCTTTGAAGGTTTAAAATCCTTCACTCATGTTGTGAGGGAAGAACAGGTACTAGACTAGAAGCCATGTCTGGTTGCCCTTGAGGGACCCCTCAGCCAATGTGAAGACGTGTCCAGGCAGCCCTGGGAGACATCCCTGTGGGGGGGCCAGTGCAGGAAACGGACCGCCGGGGGAAGCTCCTGTCATCCCAGGGTGGGCCAGGCTGGGACTACAGTCATGTGCACAGCATGGCTGAGATAATGAGCAAGACTCCAAGGTCCACCCAGGGGCCCGATGGCCTTTAGGGAGACCTAGCACTGTTGCAGGATCAGGAGGACCGGAGAGAGACCTTGGAGTGTACACAGGAGGATATCTTTATCATTGAGTGCACTCAGACCCAGCAGACTCAATGTCCAAAGACTGGGCCCAGAACAAAGACAGCGCCTGACTTTTACACACACTTCACAAAAGGGGGTGGGCTAGCTTGAAGCAAGCTTACAGTGGCGTGAAAGCAGGGATACAGAGGCAGGACAAACTCAGGATTGCACATGACTGTTGCCAAGCAACCCACATGTCCGTTATCTAGGTTAACCTGGGCACGGGCTTATCCCATAACCTTCACTATGTTGCCCAGGTGGCCGTAACTCAGGCCTGCTCAGAGGCTCATGACCTTCACTTTACTGCTTAGATAAAACAATGCTTGAAGTCAATAGTTACAGAGAACAGGAATTTATAAACTCATTCCATAAAACAAAGGAAAATTTGTTTTTCTTCTCCCTATATTGAGGGAGTGCTGGGAGAGTCTCCAGAGCACATTAGATAATATTATTATTAAGACTTTTCCTGGGTTTGGGCTGTGCTTGTTGCTGCCTCTAGGACAAGTTAGCCTAATACGGGAAAGCTTATTTCTCTTTCTTTTTAATTTTATTTTTCTTTAATTTCCCACCTCAACACGACCTGAACGTGGCTTAGTCTGCTGCTGGTGTTTGTGGAGGGCTGAATAGTGTCCTTAGGAAATATGTTCAAGCCCTAACCTGTGAACACAGACATTTTTGGAAATGGGTTATTGCAGATGTTATGCATTAGGATGACCTCATGATGGATTAGGGTGGGCCCTAAATCCAATGACCAGCATGCTTTTAAGAAGGGGAAATGTGTGCACAGACACACAGGGAAGGTACGGTGAAGCCGGAGGGAGAGAAGAAGGGACGCGTCTACACTCCAAGTGCAGAGAGAAAAGGTTCAGGGTTGAGGCTCCTGAAACAAGACGGATTCACCAGAGAAAAGCGAACAAATGTATTTTAGTTTTATGTGACTTGGAGCCTTCGTAAGGAAATGAAGACCCAGAGCCAGGTGGACCTGTGTGTTTGTGCTTTGGCTTGATGAAGAGGGGATGGCCGTGGGGAAACGTGGATGAGGACGGGAGGCTGTGATGTGATGGGTGAACTGGGCACCTCAGCACGGCCTGTGTGCCCGGGGGAGAGGGGATAGGTGAGCAGGGAAATGACTGTGTTGACTATACACAGCCACCACCTAAACCTCAGTGTTTGCTTTGTAATTGAGCTCACGCAAGCAAAGCTATCTCCAGCGGGGACTCTCTTCTAAAGAGCACGCACACTTTAATTTTTACCTGTCCTCGAACCAACCCTTTGTTCATTATAACAGTGAAAAAGATACCCCTGGGTGGAGATGTAAGATGCTAATGAGACACACCACCTACAAACAAGCATGTGTGCCGACGACCACCAGACTGTGCTTCCTGATAACACCTCTCCCACTTTCTTTTTTTTTTAAGGTGGGGTCTAGATCTATCCCCAGTCTGGAGTGCAGTGGTGAGATCTCAGCTCACCACAGCCTCTGCCTCCCAGGTTCAAGCGATTCTCCTGCCTCAGCCTCCTGAGTAGCTGGGATTATAGGCATGCGCCACCATGCCCAGCTAATTTTGTATTTTTTTTTAGTAGAGACGAGGTTTCTCCATGTTGGTCAGGCTGGTCTTGAACTCCCGACCTCAGATGATCCACTCGCCTTGGCCTCCCAAAGTGCTGAGATTACAGGCATGAGCCCCCATGCCCGGCTACCTCTCCCATCTTCTTATGGATCATCGGGTGAGACTCCCATAAAGGCAGCCTCCCTATGGCCGGTCTCTGCTGTCTCACCCTCATGACCCACCCTGAGTCCTTTCTCCCTTAGGGTGGCCTGTCTATTCTGCACCTCACTTTCAAAATACTCTTTTTTTTTTTTTTAAAGACAGAGTTTTGCTCTTGTTGCCCAGGCTGGAGTGCAGTGGTATGATCTTGGCTCCCTGCAACCTCTGCCTCCCGGATTTGAGTGATTCTCCCGCCTCAGCCTCCCAAGTAGCTGGGATTACAGGCGCTTGCTACCATGCTTGGCTAATTTTTCTATTTTTATTAGAGATGGGGTTTCACCATATTGGCCAGGCTGGTCTCAAACTCCTGACCTCAAGTAATCCGCCCACCTCGGCCTCCTAAAATGCTAGGATTACAGGCGTGAGCCCCTGCAAAATACTTTTCTTCTTTTGCAATAAGTTACTCTGTGCTGCACTTCTTTTGCAGTGTGTCTCTTGTTTAAATTCTTTTGAACTGAGAAGACGAGAACTGTCATCACGTCAGCTGTCAACACCAGTTCTCTGTGTCCTGTATCTTCAGAGAGAAGGGCGTGTCTTTTCCCCGGGTTTCGGGAGGGCGTCTCACATCAGGGTCTTGGGGACCTGCTGTAGGGGAGAAGGCTGAGGGGAGGTGAGAGAGACCTTCCTGCTTCTGCTGTTTTCACAGTGCCAAGGTGCCATACTTTGGGGTAGCGTGTCCCGAACCCCATCAAAAGCAACACAGAGGGTTGCTGGGGCATGGCCGGGAGCAGATTCCCTTTCACATCTCCGCAGGAACTGACCCTGCCGATGCCTGACCTCAGACTTCCGGTCCCCAGGCTGTCAGACAGATTTCTGTTTTGCTTAGTCGGGCAGACGCTAGGCTCTGTCCCCTACGGTGGCACCATTGGTGCCGCTCATCGGTTCTTTTCAGGCGGCACAAAGTCCTGCACACGTGTGGGCCAGGTCTCCAGGAGATCTAGGCAGAGTGAAATGCAGATTTTGGGGTCCCCTCTGGCTCTGTCCTTTCCAGGAACTCCTCTTTCCTCCCTGGCTGCCACAGTCACCCCGTTGCTCTCTGGGTCCTCATGCCGGAGGGACGGTGGTTTCCTACCCGAGGCTTTGCTCCCCTGCGTGGGCCAGCTGCTCTCGAGTGGAATGCCTTACAAAAGGAAATCTGCCTGGCGCCACGGCTTTCCTCCGAGTACGGACGCCTGTTCAGTCTCTTTCTGCTTCCGGCTGTGCCCGGTACCTTCTGGTGGTTGGTGCCTGTATCTGTCCAGGGGATGTAGGTGGTGTGTTGGACTGACATGAGCTGCTTTGCCATGACTGGAAATGGAGCCTCAGTGTTACTGGAAAAAGGGTCTCAATCAAGACCCCAAGAGAGGGCTTTGGATCTCTCGTGGGAAGAAATTCCAGGCGAGTTGCAGAGTGCAGTGAGAGAAGGAAGTTTATTGAAAACTACTTCATTGCAGATAGGGCACCCTCAGAAAGCAAGAGAAGCAACGCCCCAGCTTTAGGTTTTTCTTATATAGGGGTCTCGTCTGTGGAAAGACCAAGCCAAGCTGTGCCTACATGTAGGTGAGCAGAGAGCATGATATTTTCTTATTCTATGTAAGGAAAACTGTCCTTGACATTTTCGTGTGTGAGTCCATCAAAGCATAACTGGAATGATCTTAACAGCACACATTGCTGGGGTTCTGGACGTCTGGACTCTGTTGTTGGAGGAGTGTGTTTTTGCAGGCGTCACCAAGCTGCCTCTTTAGCTGTGAACATCTTAGGACCGGGGGTCATGACTGTGTCCGGCGAGTGGATTTTAAAATGGTGTGATTCTGGCTCTCCTGGGCTCCTGCCTTCCTAACACCAGGACCTTTCTTTTGATAAGAGGACGTTGCCCTTGCCCTCTCCGGGTCACTGTGAGGACGGGGGTGGACGGAGCTGAGTGCCCAGCAGAGACTTGTCAGAACACGTGGCCTGAAACTCAGCATATGGCCGCCAATTTTGAGCCAATTTTGACCCAAAGCACTTTTGCAAGGAATTGTGTCCTGGAACCTGGTGGCCTGGTTAGGGTTGGCCTGGCCCCTGGTTCTCCCTCTGTGAAGCGGGGATCGAGGGAGCTCAGGGGTTGTGTGTTCAGCACAGAAGCAGGGCCTTGCCTGCAGGAATGCCAGGCTTTATTGCTTTAATTATGATTGTCGATCTAGAAAATAGCACATACAGTGTCGTATCAGTTCTCTCAGGGGTCCCAGAAAAAATGGGTTCTGGGACCAGGTGAGAACCTATTTCTCTCTAACTCTATATTTGTCAAATGTATTTGATAACAGAATGCATCTCTATTTTTGTGAAAATCCAATTAATATCCTGAGACAGATGCCCTGAAAAATGTCTTTGTAAATAGTCTGAGTATTGACAGCATTCTAAATAATCTGGGTTTCATCCATGCAAAAATCAGACACCACCCACTCCAGACGGCCAGCACCTCCCGCCTCAAG
Source organism: Homo sapiens (assembly GCF_000001405.40). Taxonomy (NCBI): domain Eukaryota; kingdom Metazoa; phylum Chordata; class Mammalia; order Primates; family Hominidae; genus Homo; species Homo sapiens. The sequence continues at coordinate 241,910,536 of NC_000002.12, forward strand.
GTGTCTCCCTTGACCCTGGTTTCTCCGTTGATTCCCTTTTTATCCAACTCATCATGTTTCTAGATGCTGCTTCACATGCAATTAGTTGTTATAAGGAAATAAATCACCTACTTTCTAGGGGAAGAAATACATACATTTCTGCAGACTCGGGGGATGTTAGGAACAATGGAAACGTCACAGAGCCGAGTGGTGTTGCCCGGATCGCTCTAGAGACTGATTTGGGGACTGCTTCCGAAGCACAGAAGCGTCTGTTTGCTCTGCCTCCTCGGCCTCCCAATCACCCCATCTTCACGTGGAAATGCACTTCCCAGGAGCGTGTTCGCTGTGACTGCTGCCTTCCCATGGCTATGCGTGACCCTGAGGTAGGGAAACGTTTCTTAAACAGGACAAAGACCCCCAAACCCAAAAACAAGATGGCAAAGGGAATGATGAACAGAACTGTATTAGAACTAAGATTAGAAAATCATCAAAAGTTCAAAGGGCATGAGAAGGGAGCATAGAGTGGGAGAAACGTCTGCAGAGACTCGGCTGCGAGCGACTCTGTCCGGGACCTGCAGGGAATGTGTGGAAACCAACCAGAGGCAGGTGGCAGCGCAGGCCGAGAGGGGCATGAGAGCTTTGAAGACACTTCACAGAAGAGGACAAACGTGGCAGGAGCTATGGGATGAAGTGCACACACACAAACCCAACACACACCCACACACCCACACACACCCACACACACACACCCCCCACACAAACCCAACACACACACACACACGACACACACACCCAACACCCACACACCCACACACACCCACACACAGACACCCACACACCCACACACACACACACACAAACCCAACAAGACAGAAACAAGCAACAACACAGCGATGCAAAACTAACAATGATCACGCAAATTATACGATTTCTGAGCGCTCTCAGTGTAAGCAGAAATGAATACCAGCTGTTAATGTGTTAATGCTAACTTTAGTCATTTAAAAAGAATTTGCAAGACAGAACCCCAAACCAGTTTCTTTCCTAGTGATGGGGCCACAGCTGAAGACCACTGATGCAGACGCAGACGAGCTCGCCTTCCTTGATGGAAGCCAGTGGAAACTCCCCCCCACAAAAAGGAATTTTTTTAAACAGCAAATAAATTCCAGACCCCCAAATGAAAAACCCTGGAAGATCAGGGATCCCTGGAGGAAAGGGCTCCCAGACTTCGGCAAATCGTCCTATCAGTTTGGGCTGTGAGGTGCCCAAGCCGGTGCCAAGCACGGATAGGTGAGCTGCTGCAGGCCGGGTCACCTTCACTCAGGATCTCTCCAGATGTCAGTCGAGAAAAATGACAAGTCTCAATCATCTGTGGAGGTTTATTTGCCAAAGTTCAGGACACATCCCTGGGATTCAGGTCTATGCCATTCTCCGGAGATGATTTTGAGGTTTTGAGGGCTCCAAATTTAAAAGGCAAAGGGCGAGATACTGGGAAGTACACAATTTTCATGTAAGAGGCGGGTAGGGAGAAACATTCATGCCTTTGTCTGGCTCAGTGAATCTGCATTTTTTACATAAGACGACATAGACAAGTGGCATAGAGGAAGAACAAGGGAATCTGTATTTTACGTAACACAGACAAACAGGGCAGGGGAGCAATCAGATATGCATTTGTGTCTGACGGGCAGGAAGGTGACGGCACCTGTAAAGATAAGCCTTCCGTTTACATGCATGGAGAAATTTTAACAGAAACACCTTCAGAGATCTTGCGGCGCTAGGAATTTCCATGAGGGCAACACCGGGGAGGCGGGTGGCTTTTCATCTTGCAGCTGTCTTATTTAGGAACCAAAAGTGCGAGGCAGGTTTTCACGAGCCAGTTTCCAGCTTGACTTTTCCCTCTGGCTTAATGAGTCTGGGGTCCCAGAATTTAATTTCCTTTCACATGACAGATGGGAGCATCGGGCCAGGGTGCTGCCCGTGGCCCCACGCTTCCCCGAGGGGCTGCTCCCATCGTAAGTCCTGGCAAGATGGTGGTCAGGTGGGGGTCTTTCACAGCGCCTCCCCCATCTTATAAAAGCCAAAGGATTCCAGGGTCTCAGGTGGGATTCTAATCCTTTATATGCTCATATGGCAAAACCCCTGGACCCTTTTTCAGAATAATGTTTTCATAGTTTACATAAAAATGCAATAACTATGAAATACTGTTATCAAAATTTTAAAGATCGGATGTAATGATATAATTTATTAATGCATAAAACAGAATCTGGTGATGGGTCTAAAACCCACCATAATTTTGAAGTTATGACTGTAAATGGTATTTTAAGATATCTTCAATAATTGCAAAAAGATTGGAAATGCCTGCGATTTCTTCTGGTAGAAAAGCCACAGGTTCGGTTAACTGAATTCATTTTGTTGCTTCTGGTCAGGATCGAATGACAGTTAAATTTGATTCATGATTACTGAAAAATGGGTGAACCCTGGGGTGTGTGGGCCCTGAGTCTGGAAGGTCTGGTCTGGCGCAAAGCACCTCTCACCACCTCTGCCCCCTGTGTGCTTCACATTTCAAACTTAACAACATATTTTCACATTCGTTATCTTATTTAATTTGCTGATGATAAATATATTAAGCATCCAACCCAAGAAACTAGTAAGAGAGTAAGAATATTCACCCAAGACAATTACATGGCAGGAAGAACGAAGATTAAAAATAAATGTACACAGTAGAAAATGTCAACAAAAATTAGACCTTGTTAACAAAATACTAGATTTAATCAATGAAAGCCACAGATGGTTTGTTGAAAATAAAAATAGAGAATAGAGAAACCTATTAATAATTTAAGTAATTTGGAAATGTATATTAGGGCAAATTTAAGATAAGAACATATACAAAAGGAAATATTATGTAAAACTCAGAGAAAAATCTAAACAAACATATTTTCTGAGAGAATATAAGTTTAAAAATTGACTTCAGAAGAAATAGAAAACACAAGTAGCTCGATAACTATAGTAGTGACGAAAGAGATTGGCTGAGCTAAACTAGTGTTATAAGCACCAGTCCTTGATGGTAACTCAGAAGTTTTGAAAAAGAGAAACAGAGCAGTGTGGAGTATGTGTGCGCAGGTTCACACATGTGTGAAAGTGTGTGGGATGTTTATCTGTGTGTCTGTGTGCACACGGTGTGTGAGTGTGTATGTGTGTGTGTGCTTGTTAAAGTAGGCAGATGGCCGGGAATCTGTATCCTGCCCTCACAAGGTGGGCTCCCACCTGCAGGCTCAGGGGAGGAGCCCCTTCCGGGCCCCCTGTTCCTGACTTCTGACCCCTGGCGCTGCCCCACGGTAAATGCCAGTGCTTTTAGGCCACTGGGTTTGTGGTTATTTGTTATGTCAGCAAAAAAAGAACTAATACAAAGAGCAGGTAAATTGGAATAGCCTCTTTACAGGGTAATTTGACTTCATCTATAAGAATGTAAAATGCAGACACTGACCTGGAAATTCCACTTTCAGCATTTAACCTTTAAAAATATCCACACTTGTTATCACATAGGTACATGCAAAGATGTTCACTGTGACATTATCTTTAACAGTGAGAAATTGTGAGCATAAAACATTTGTAAAATACCAATGAACAGAATGGCAGAACACAAGAACACATCATTATATTTTTATGCATGGATCGGATACTGCAGGATGCTTAAGAAGACAGTGAAAATATTTCCCAGACGTTTTGTTAGGGTATGGGAGTCCCAGGACAGCAGCGCCTGCATGACCCCATTTAGGAGGAGGAGGAGGAGCAGCCAGACCACCCTTGAGGGCCTGCCCAGGCCCAGGTGGGGATGCTGCTGCTGGGAACAGGGTCACCTCCTTGAGGGATGTGGAGAAAGGGGGTGTGAAGGGGGTGTCACTCCTTGGTTTGCAGGTTTTTGTAACAAGAAGGTCCTTTTGTATTTTTGGTTCCATTTTGGAAATTAAATGGAAGAATGCACGTGCATCAAACGTGTGGTTTGGTTTTTGGGGGGATTCCCAGACCCACTCTCCATCATGGAACGCAGGTGGACTCCTGTCCAGATTAGTCTTGAAGGAGGTCTGTGCCTGATGGGAAGGCAGAGCCTCTCACCTGGCCTGGCCTCAGCTGGCTTTTGGGGTGCTCTGCAGCAGGGCAGGCACGTGGCCAGCCACGAGGAAAGCCAAGGGGACTCAGCCCGGGAAGCGGCCTCGCTGGCTCAGACGTGGCTGTGGTGCCGGGCCTCCTGGGGAGCAGCCTGGGGACAGGGAGTTGCCTTCTCTCTGCCTGGTTGCCCTCTGCGTGGGGTGAAACCTTCCCGCACGTCTGTGTTGCTGTCTGACTTTTAAACACTGCATGAAACAGAGGCCTTGCCATGCCGTGGCTGCGTGGATCTGTGGAGCCAGTGGAGACTCACAGCAGTGAGCAGTCCTGGGGGCCCAGGGTATGACCCCCGTCGTCCAAACCCCGGCCCAACGTGTGCAGAGCCCTCCCACCATCCACTCGCTGCAACTTTTCTTTAAATATGCCCATCTTTTTACTCAAATTTACTTATTTAAAAGTTAATTTTGGGCTGAGTGCAGTGGCTTATGCCTATAATTCCAGCACTTGGGGAGGCCAAGGTGGGCAGATTGCTTGAACCCCGGAGTTCGAGGCCAGCCTGGTTAACACGCTGAAATCCCATCTCTACAAAGAATACGAACATTAGCTGGGTCTGATGGTGTGCAGCTGTGGTCCCAGCTACTCAGGAGGCTGAGGTGGAAGGATTGCTTGAGCCTGGGAGGTTGAGGCTGCAGTGAGCCATGATCTTGCCACTGCTCTACAGCCTGGAAGACAGAGTAAGATCCAATTTCACACACACAAAAAAGTTAATTTAACAAACCCCTTTCACTATTTAATTGAACATACTTCAAAATTAGTTAAATTAGGATCAATAATTTGTATAAAAATTGTAGAAATACCGGAACAAAGTGCAGATGAACACTTTTGTCCCAAGGGGCCTGGGCCATGCTCTATAGTCAGCACTCAAGTGGGAGAGGAGCTCACACTCTCAGAGCATTGAGCATTGAGAGGCAGCATGGCTGCAACTGTGAGGAAATATAGGGGAGCCACATGACCGAGCAAGGGCTTACCTACTTACCACTCTGCCTAAGAGCCACCTACTGGATCACATCCCAAAGCTTCAACACCAAAAATGCCTCACTAACATATCCCTGCTGTAAAACCAAAGACCAGAAGTCAGATATAAATAAAGACCCTGCACAAAGCTTCAGCCCTGTGAAAACATCCAAAAGTCTATTGACTGTATTCAATTTACACCACAGTTAAAGGAACACCCACATGCAGAGATGAGAAAGAGCCAATGCAAGAACTCTGGCAACTCAAATGGCCAGAGTGACTTCCATCCTCGAAACGATCACTCCTTGTTTTCCAACAAGGGCTCTTAACGAGGCTGAGTCGGCAGGAATGACAGAAATAGAATTCAGAATATGGATAGAAACAAAGATTATTGAGGTTCAGGAGAATGGCAAAACTCAATCCAAGGAAACTAAGAATGACAATAAAAGGATACAGGAGCAGACAGATGAAATAGACAGTGTAAAAAAGAACCTAACTGACCTGGTAGAGATAAAAATTACACTACAAGAATTTCACAATGCGATCACAAGTATTAACAGCAGAATAGACCAAGCCGAGGAAAGAATCTCAGAACTTAAAGACTGACTGTCTGAAATAAGACAGTCAGACAAGAATAGAGAAAAAAGAATAAAAAGGAATGAACAAAACCTCCAAGAAATATGTGGTTATGTAAAGAGGTCAAATCTATGAATCATTGGTATCCCTGAAAGAGATGAGGAGAAAGCAAACAACTTGGAAAACATATTTCAGGATGTCATCCAAGAAAACTTCCCTAACCTCACTAGAGAGGCCAACAGTCAAATGCAGGAAATACAAAGAACCCCTGCAAGATTTTACACAAGAAGATTATCCTGAAGACACACAATCATCAGATTTTCCAAAGTCAAAATGAAAAAAAGAATGTTAAAGGCAGAGAGAGAGAAAGGGCAGGTTACCTAAAAAGGGAACCCATCAGGCTAATAGTGGACCTGTCAGCAGAAACCCTACAAGCCAGAGAGATTGGGCATATTCAACATTCTTTTTTTTTTTTTGAGAGGGAGTCTCTCTCTGTCACCCAGGCTGGAGTGCAGTGGCACGATCTTGGCTCACTGCAACCTCCACCTCCCAGGTTCATGCCATTCTCCTGCCTCAGCCTCCCAAGTAGCTGGGACTATAGGCGCCCGCCACCACGCCTGGCTAATTTTTTGTATTTTTAGTAGAGACGGGGTTTCACCATGTTAGCCAGGATGGTCTCAATCTCCTGACCTCGTGATCCGCCCGCCTCGGCCTCCCAAAGTGCTGGGATTACAGGCGTGAGCCACTGCACCTGGCTCAACATTCTTAAAGAAAAAAAAACATTCAACCAAAAATTTCATATCCAGCCAAAATAAATTCCTCAGCAAAGGAAAAATAAGATCCTTTTCCAATAAGCAAATGCTGAGGCAGTTCACTTCCACTAGACCCACCTTACAAGAGATCTTGAAAGGAGCACTAAATATGAAGAGGAAAGGTTGTTACCAGCCAATACAAAAACACACTTAAACACATAGACCAGTGACACTATAAAGTAACTACATGAACAAGTCAGCATGATAACCAGCTAACAATGATCAAATTCACACATATCCATACTAACCTTGAATGTAAATGGGCTAAATGCTCCATTTAAAAGGCATGGAGTGGCAAGCAGATAAAACAGCAAAACCCAACAGTATGCTGTCTTTAAGACACCCATCTCACATGCAATGACACGCATAGGCTCAAAATAAAGGGATGGAGGAAAATCTATGAAGAAAATGGAAATCAGGAAAAAGCAGGGGTTGTAATCTTAATTTCAGATAAAACAGACTTTAAACCAACAAAGATCAAAAACTCAAAGAAGAACATTACATGATGGTAAAGGGTTTAATTCAACAAGAAGACCTAACTATCCTAAATATATATGCACCCAACTCAAGAGCACCCAGAGTCATAAAGCAAGTTTTTAGAGACCTACAAAGAGACTTAGACTCCCACGCAATGATAGTGGGACACTTCAACACTCCACTCACAGTGTCAGACAGATCATCGAGGCAGAAAATTAACAGACATCCAGGACCTGAACTTAGCATTGGACCAAATGGATCTGATAGACCTCTACAGAACTCTCCATCTCCAAACAACAGAATATGCCTTCTTCTCATTGCCACATGACACATACGCTAAAATTGACCACATAATTGAACATAAAACAATTCTCAGCAAATGTAAAAAGAACCAAAATCAGACCCAACACACTCTTGGACCACAGCACAATAAAAATAGAAGTCAAAACTAAAAAAATCACTCAAGACCATGCAATTACATAGAAATTAAACAACCTGCTCCTGAATGACTTTTAGGTGAATAATGAAATTAAGGCAAAAATCAAGAAGTTCTTTGAAACTTATGAGAACAAAGTCACAACGTACCAGAATATCTGGGATGCCGGAAAGGCAGTGTTAAGAGGGAAATTTATAGCACTATATGCCCACATCAGAAAGTTAGAAAGATCTCAAATTAACAACCTAACATCATGACTGAAATAATTAGAGAAGCAAGAGCAAACCAACCCCAAAGCTAGCAGAAGACAAGAAATAACAAAAATCAGAGCTGAACTGAAGTAAATTGAGACATGAAAAACCATTAACAAAATCAATGAATCTAGAAATTGGTTTTTTGAAAAAAATTAATAAGATAGGTCCCTAGCTAGACTAATAAAGAAAGAAGATAAAAATAAACACAATTAGAAAGGACAAAGGGGATGTTACTACCAACCCTACAGAAATACAAATAAGCATCAGAAACTACTGCAAACACCTCTATGCACACAAGCTAGAAAACCTAGAAGAGATGGACATATGCACTCCCCCAAGGCTGAACCTGGAAGAAATAGATTCCCTGAATAGATCAATAATGAGCTCTGAAATTGAATCAGTAATAAATAGCTTACCAATCAAAAAAAGCAGTGGAATTCCACCAGAGGTCCAAAGAAGAGGTGGTATCATTCCTACTGAAACTATTCCAAAAAATTGAGAAGGAGGGACTCAACCCCAGCTCATTCTATGAGGCCAGTATCATCCTGATACCAAAACCTGGCAGAGACACAACAAAAAAGAAAACTTCAGCCTAATATCCTTGATGAACACTGATGCAAAAATCCTCAACAAAATAATTGCAAACTGAATCCAGCAGCACGTCAAAAAAATAATCCACCACAATCAAGTAGGCCTCATCCCTGGGTGCAAAGCTGGTTCAACATACACAGATCAATAAATATGATTCATCACATGAACAGAACTAAAGATAAAAACCACAGGATTATCTCAATAGATGCAGAAAAGTCTTTTGATAAAATTCAACATCCCTTCATGTTAAAAACTCAATAAACTAGGTATTAAAGGAACATACCCAAAATAATAAGAGCCATCTATGACAAATCCACAACCAACATCATACTGAATAAGGAAAAGCTGGAAGCACTCCCCTTGAAAACTGGCTCAAGATGAGGATGTCCTCTCTCACCACTCCTATTCAACATAGTGTTGGAAGTTCTGGCCAGAGCAACCAGGCAAGAGAATAAGATAAAGGGCATCCAAACAGGAAGAGAGGAAGTCAAACTATCCCTGTTTGCAGATGACATGCTTCTCTATCTAGAAAACCCTATAGTCTTGGCCCAAAAGCTCTTTAAGCTGATAAACAACTTCAGCAAAGTTTTAGGATACAAAGTCAATGTACAAAAATTAGTAGCATTCCTATACACCAAAAACAGCCATGCTGAGAGCCAAGTCAGGAATGCAATCCCATTCACAATTGCCACAAAAAGAATAAAATACCTAGGAATGCAGTGAACCAGGGAGGTGAAAGTTCTCTACAATGAGAATTATAAAAACACTGCTCAAAGAAATCAGAGATGGCACAAACAAATGGAAAAAACATTCCATACTCACGGATAGGAAGAATCAATATCATCAAAATGGCCATACTGCCTAAAGCAATGTACAGATTCAATGCTATTCCTATCCGACTACCAATGACATTCTTCACAGAACTGGAAAAAACTATTTTAAAATTCATATGGAACAACAACAAAAAAAAGAGTCCAAATAGTCAAAGCAAGCCTAAGCAAAAAGGACAAAACTGGAGGTATAATGTTACCTGACTTCAAACTATACTACAGGGCTGCAGTAACCAAAACAGCATGGTACTGGTACAAAAATAGACACACAGACCAATGGGACAGAATAGAGGGCCCAGAAATAGGGCCACACACCTACAACCATCTGATCTTCGACAAACCTGACCAAAAGAGGCAATGGGGAAAGGACTCCCTATTCAATAAATGGTGCTGGGATATCTGGCCAACCATAAGCAGAAGATTGAAACTGAACCCATTTCTTACACCATGTACGAAAATCAATGCAAGATGAATTAAAGACTTAAGTGTAAAAACCCAAACTATAAAAACTATGGAAGGTGACCTAGGCAATAGCATTCTGGATATAGGGACGGGTAGAGATTTCATGATGAAGATGCCAAAAGTGATTGCAACAGAAGAAAAATTGACAAATGAGATCTAATTAAACTAGAGAGCTTCTTCACAGCTAAAGAAACTATCAACAGAGTAGACATTCTGTAGGTTACAGAATGGGAGCAATTTTTGCAAGCTATCCATTTGATAATAGTCTAACAGAGCCAGAATCTATAAAAAAGTTAAACAAATTTACATGTCAAAACCAAACCACCCCATTAAGAAGTGGGCAAAGGATATGAACAAACACTTTTCAAAAGCAGACATACGTGCGTCCAACAAGCATATGAAAAAAAGTTCAATATCACTGATCATTAGAGAAATGCAAATGAAAACCATAATGATAGACCATCCTACACCAGTCAGAATGGCCATTATTAAATAGTCAAAAAATAACAGATGCTGGTGAGGTTGCAGAGAAAAAGGAACACACTTACACACTGTTGGTGGGGTGTAAATTAGTTCGACCCTTGTGGAAACTAATGTAGTGATTCCTCAAAGAGCTGAAAATGAACTACCATTTGATCCGGCAGTCCCATGACTGGATGTATATCCAAAGGAATATAAATCATTCTGCCATAAAGATACATGTAGGTGAATGTTCACTGCAGCGCTATGCACAATAGCAAAGACATGGGACCAACCTAAATGCCCATAAATGAGAGACTGGATAAAAAAATGGTACATATACATCACAGAATACTATGCAGCCATAAAAAGAATGAGATTATGTCTTTTGTGGGAACATGGATGGAGCCGAAGGCCATTATCCTTAGCAAACTAATGCAGGAACGGAAAACCAAATGCCACATTTTCTCACTTATAAGTGGCAGCTGAATGATGAGAACTCATGAACACAAAGAAGGGAACAACCGACGCTGGGGCCTACTTGAGGGTGGAGGGTGGGAGGAGGGAGAGGAGCAGAAAAGATAACTACTGGTTACTAGGCTTAGTACCTGGAGATGAAATAATCTGTATAAGAAACAGAAAACCAAACACCGCATGTTCTCACTCATAAGTGGGAGACGAACAATGAGAACACATGGACACAGGGAGGGGAACATCACACACTGGGGCCTGTCAGGGGGCAGGGGGCTAGGGGAGGAAGAGTATTAGGACAAATACCTAATGCACTCGGGGCTTGAAACCTAGATGACGGGTTGACAGGTGCAGCAAACCACCATGGCACATGTACACCTATGTAACCTATGTAACAAACCTGCACGTTCTGCACATGTATCCCAGAACTTAAAATAATGAAAAAAAGTGAGTCCAGATTCTGATCTTGGCTCATGTGTCCCCAGGTGCACTGCAAACAAAATCAGAAAATAAACTGCACATTTTAATCACAGGAAGACCCAAGGCTGGGAGGTACCAGTGCATCTCCATCCCTGGGACAGGAGGCCGGGAGGTAGCAGTGCATCTCCATCCCTGGGACAGGAGGCCGGGAGGTAGCAGTGCATCTCCATCCCTGGGACAGGAGGCCGGGAGGTACCAGTGCATCTCCATCCCTAGGACAGGAGGCTGGGAGGTACCAGTGCATCTCCATCCCTGGGACAGGAGGCCGGGAGGTACCAGTGCATCTCCATCTCTGGGACAGGAGGCCAGGGGGTGCCCGGACGTCTCCATCCCTGGGACAGGAGGCCGGGAGGTAGCAGTGCATCTCCATCCCTGGGACAGGAGGCCGGGAGGTAGCAGTGCATCTCCATCCCCTGGGACAGGAGGCCGGGAGGTACCAGTGCATCTCCATCCCTGGGACAGGAGGCCGGGAGGTACCAGTGCATCTCCATCCCTGGGACAGGAGGCCGGGAGGTACCAGTGCATCTCCATCCCTAGGACAGGAGGCTGGGAGGTACCAGTGCATCTCCATCCCTGGGACAGGAGGCCGGGAGGTACCAGTGCATCTCCATCTCTGGGACAGGAGGCCAGGGGGTGCCCGGACGTCTCCATCCTGGGACAGGAGGCCGGGAGGTACCAGTGCATCTCCATCCCTGGGACAGGAGGCCAGGAGGTGCCGGGACGTCTCCATCCCAGGACAGGAGACCGGGAGGTACCAGTGCATCTCCATCCCTAGGACAGGAGGCTGGGAGGTATCAGTGCATCTCCATCCCTGGGACAGGAGGCCGGGAGGTACCAGTGCGTCTCCATCCCTGGGACAGGAGGCCAGGAGGTGCCCGGACGTCTCCATCCCTGGGACAGGAGGCCAGGAGGTGCCTGGACGTCTCCATCCCTGGTGCCCGGACGTCTCCATCCCTGGGACAGGAGGCCAGGAGGTGCCTGGACGTCTCCATCCCTGGTGCCCGGACGTCTCCATCCCTGGGACAGGAGGCCGGGAAGCACCAGCACATCTCCCTCCTTGGACTGCACCATGGAAAACCAAGGCCGTCATGAGGGAGGTCTGGACTTACAGGGTGGTGGAATAGTGTGTGCTGGGGAGCCCTTTGTCTTTTCCCTGGGTGCCATATGGAGAATTATACATGCAGGCAGGAGGGGAAGGTGTTAGATACTCGTGGTGGGAGGTAAGTGTGAGACAGGCAGGGCAGGGCCTACTGCTGTGTATGGGCAGTGGGAAGAGTGTGGTTTAAATGATTTTCCATCGAACATGCTAATGGCAGCCTGTGACTGGGATGAGGTCCCAGTGGCAGATTAAGGTGGTAAATGCCCCCATACCCTTTATCAAAGTTAACTGCAAAAGGAAGCCAGAGTCATCTATACTATTGATCTGCATTTTATCTATTGCCTTTTAAAGTGAGAAAATCAGTGACTCATATTTACTTTACAAGGCAATGAAAGTGGAGCAGCTTCCTACACAGGCAGGTGAGGAGGCACCGTCTCTCCTGCTTATTGCAGGGCTGTCATGGGAAGAGCTGTGTCAGCTAATCCTCTGGGTGTTACGCTTTATTCTCAGTGTGGCTTTAGTGGGTCTAGAAATGGGGGTGTGGGAAACACTCACAGATTTAGCACTAAAGGGCACCCTCACCATGGAATCTGGAGCTAACCACCTGCAGACATGAAGCTGGGCTCAGCCCTGCAGGTTCTGTGCAGCTAACCATGTGCAGACATGAAGCCGGGCTCAGCCCCGCAGGTTCTGTGCAGCTAACCATGTGCAGACATGAAGCCGGGCTCAGCCCCGCAGGTTCTGTGCAGCTAACCATGTGCAGACATGAAGCCGGGCTCAGCCCCGCAGGTTCTCTGCAGCTAACCATGTGCAGACATGAAGCTGGGCTCAGCCCCGCAGGTTCTGTGCAGCTAACCATGTGCAGACATGAAGCTGGGCTCGGCCCTGCAGCGGCTGTGCAGTCAACCACATGCAGACATGAAGCTGGGCTCAGCACTGCAGGTTCCGTGCAGCCAATCACGTGCAGACATGAAGCTGGGCCCAGCCCCACAGGTTCTGTGCAGCTAACCATGTGCAGACATGAAGCTGGGCTCGGCCCTGCAGCGGCTGTGCAGTCAACCACATGCAGACATGAAGCTGGGCTCAGCACTGCAGGTTCCGTGCAGCTAACTATGTGCAGAGGTAAAGCTGGGCAGCAACATCTTATTCTCATAACTTCTTTACCACTATGAAAACCAAAACAAAGTTACTGGTGAAACATAACTTTAGATTTCCAGAAAGTCAATCCAGATCCAAGTAACAACCCGTATGTAATGGGGTAGACAATGGTCATGCTAAAACCAAGTTCCAGTGTTGAGTTCCGTCAGAAATTTGTTCCCTATCTGAATGTTATCATTTTGAGATAGAAGAATCATTTGAATCTTCATCATGACTATCATTATCTTTGGTTTTAACAACTTTTTCATTTTACTTAATGAGACATCAGATTGATGGGACAATCAATTCAGCAGTACACCCCAAATAGTACACGGGGAAAGTAAGATGGCCTTTGTAAGGAAATCCACCCTCCCTGTTTGCAGACCTGCCTGGCATAGGCAGCTTGTCAGTTGGTGGTCGGTTGGTGTGGGATCCGTGGCTCTGTGGCTGGACTCCTTTGTGCTGGTGGTGACTCTGTCCTCCCACTTTCTTTCCACATCACATCACACACACTTTGCTCTCAGGGTGCTGCACGAGGGCCCTAGCGTCTGCCCTGGAGGATGTGATTTTAAACCCACATGCAGGCGTCTGCCCTGAGAACATGTGGCAGTGTTCCTCTTTGAGCTGTCATCGCTATGAGCCAGAACATTGTTGTTTGTGGTTTTCAGATGATTATCAAAATGAAATACACACACACACACACACACACACACGCACACACCTCATGGAGCTCCTTGACTCCTGAGAATATGTCCTTAGCGTTCCTGACCTCACTGTGGGAAGGGCTGGGGCCAGGCCCAAGATTGCTGCCTTCCTAACACCTGCGGCTCCAGGAGATCCCCCCCACCACATGGCTTAACTCAGTGGGGGGCCACTGGATCCTCAAATCAACAGTACTCGATTCTAAGAGACACAGAGCTGGTTTAGAATAGAATAGAAGTCAGGATTTTGCTTGTGACAGAAAACCAAATCCAAAAAGCTCGAGTGAGAAAGAGTTTTCTGGGGCACACACTGAAAAAAGCCTAGGGATAGATGGCTTCAGGTATGGCTGGATCCAGGACTCAAATAAGGTTGTTGGAAGCAGCTTTCTTTTTCTGGCTCCTGGTTCTGCTCCTTTCTGTGGTCATTCTCAGGTCTCCTGTCCCCTCAGCCAACCTCCCCTTAGTCCAGACCCAGCAGAGAAAAGAGCTGCCATGTCCCCATGGGCTGGAGCCAGGCATCCTGACCCTGCTGTGTGCCCTGGGGGTGCTGCTGGGTACCCATCGTTCTCTCCTGGTGCACATGGCTGACAGTGGAGGAGAGGTGGACTCCCACTGACAACGGGGAGCTGGTTCTCGAAGAAGCGGTGCCCACACTGGGTGGCAGACACCCGTCTGGCATGGAGGGTGGATTTCGAAGCCAGCAGGCACTTTGTCCCTGTCACACCAACTCTCCGCTTGTTGGCTGTCAGCCTGGGGCCCCTAAGAATGACACTGTCTGTCCCCAGGAGGCCCCTGATAAAAATAGATTGATTGATTGATCAACTGAATGAATCCTGGCTCTGAATGCCGCATCAGCCTGTTTGATGGAAAGGCCATTTAACACCTAAGAGAAGCGAGCCACGTGCCAGGTCCCCAGCTCGGAAGACCGATGTTGAGCCACGTGCCAGGTCCCCAGCTCGGAAGACCGATGTTGGAGGGTCACTGCAGAGCGCCTGCTGTGGAGAAACAGGCTGGGTCCTTCCTGACTGTGCTGCGCGCTCCTCACCGCGTCTTTACGGGGAGTGCCGCCCTTCCTCCCATGGCTGCACCAGGCTGAGTGGCTGCAAAGGCTGAGCACTCAGACAGTGTGAACCCACAGCCCACAGCCCCTGCTGCTGGACCACAGATGTTTATCCCCAGAGGGAGGATGAGCTGTGATCCAGTTCAAACCATCCCATTACGAAGGAGAACAGCAGAGATGCTGGGGAGCAGAGGACTAGGAATTCCTTTTAGGATTCTGAGAAAGTGCTGAGAGCAACAAAACAAATCTTCTGCGCTTTGGGGTTTGCAAGCGGCACTGAAAGCTACACCGTTATTTTAAGTAAATGAAAGAAAAGTGTGTGGTCCAGTGCTGTTGATAAAGGCGGGTGGGGTTGTTCTAACATCCTCGGTGACATGTGCCCCGGCTTTTGAGAACTCCTGGCTCTGCCGGCTCTCAGACTTCATAAAACCCATGTGGTTGTGGCAGGCAGTCTGTCATAGCTGGTCTGTGCAGTGTGGTCCATGCCCGCCAGGCAGGCTTGAACTCCTCTTCCTCTGTGATCCGCTCTGGCAAAATAAACCAGCCAGGTCTGGGGTGGCACCTGCCCCGCACTGACCCTCAGGCCTGCCGTGGGCTGAGCACAGGGTAAGCAGGTGGATCCACGCTCTCTCTGCCCCTCTCGCTCCCTCTCCCTGCTCCATCACACTTCCCATTGAAGAGGAGGATGAGACGCTCAGTATTTTACTTCTCGCCGAGTTATCCCACACTCTTCACAGACACCACACGGAACGCCTGCACCACGTGTCAGCGTCTGTGCTTTCGCATTCATTTACCGTGGTTTCTATTTAGGCTGATTTTGTGTGTGCAGAGTGTTCGGGGGTGGAATTCATCTGAGAGTGAGTAGATATTTCTGGGGCTCCAGATGCACAGTCCTACATCGTTCCAGGAAAGTCTGTTGGTGAAGGCCCCGCCTGGTGCTGGGTGCAGGGGTTGGGGCTAGGCAGAGCTGACAGCTGGGAGGATTTGGGGGCTGAGGTTTAGGTGCAGGAGAAGGTGAGGGTGGGAAGCCCACATTGCCAAGAGGGAGGAAAAGGGACTTAGGGATGAAATATTGAGATGTTGGCTATTGTTCTCAGTCCACCCCCAAATTAAAAAAAAAAAAAGTCAAATACAGATGCGGTTTGCCTGATTTAAGGGACAGGGGAAGACGGGAGGCAGCTGGGTCAGCCCTGGATTTTGGTTCTGAGTCCACGCACGTGTCTCTGGCTGCCAGACACGCCCCTGCTTCATACAGGGCTGCTTATTAACTTAACAAGTTCCCTTCTGATTCAATCACCCCTTCGGTCTGGAGAACACCCGGATCCAAGGTCCCCCTGTTAAGACTGACTTTACCGGGACCCTGGGGCCTCAGCAAAGCTCTGTCCCCGGAACCTGCCCGCAGAATCGCACATCTGGTTCCTGCCTCAGTGCCCAGAGCGCCCAGACACCTGCTGCGGCTCCACAGGCTTCTTAGCACAGTGAGGGTTGGTCACTCCTGAAAGCGACGCTCCCGCCCCTTGGTTGCTGTCCTCAGCTGAGAACAGAGCACGGGAACCCCCAGTCACCTCGGTCTGTTTATTTTCTATTTTTCGCAGCGGCTGTGATATGTGTGTTGAAGGTGAGTCCTCCACAGCCTGGCCTCGGATGAGTCGAGCCGTCACCACCTGTTGGTTTGTCTCTTTTGTTGCTGGGCCGCGTGCCCCGTCCTTGGGTGTTCATTAAGCCGATGCGTGCCTGTGGTTAAGGTCAAAAGTTTTTAGCATGAAGGCGGCCAGGTGGAGGCTGCTTAGTTACAGCCACTCAGGGGCAACGCGGCCAGGCGCAGCTTCAGGACTGCTTTCCTTTAGACTGAAAGTGGGGTCTTAGATTTCCGATGGAGATCCGTCTGCAATGTGTTTCAGCTTCTTCTGATCTGAGGTCTGGAAACCCCCATGAATAAAAAACCTTGCTGGGAGCTGCCCACATCAGTGGGCCTGGCTTCTGCTGTCTGCCTTTGCTGGCTGGACGGGGCAGAGGAGAAGGGCCACTCGGGATTTCTCAGAGTCTCACTCCTGGGGCTTCAGAGCCGCAGCCTTAATTAGTAGGCGTTAAAGAGAGCCTGGGAAAGGCAGAGGCCAACACTACCTCCCACTCCTCACAGTGGTGGGGTCCACTCCACCCCCACTCACAACAGAGGGACCCACTCCACCCCCACTCACAGGAGAGGGACTCACTCCACCCCACTCACAGCAGAGGGACTCACTCCACCCCCACTCACAGGAGAGGGACTCACTCCACCTCCACTCACAACAGAGGGACTCACTCCACCCCACTCACAGCAGAGGGACTCACTCCACCTCCACTCACAGGAGAGGGACCCGCTCCACCTCCACTCACAAGAGAGGGACCCACTCCACCCCACTCACAGCAGAGGTACCCACTCCACCTCCACTCACAAGAGAGGGACTCACTCCACCCCCACTCACAGCAGAGGGGCCCACTCCACTCCACTCACAGGAGAGGGACCCACTCCAGCCCCACTCACAGGAGAGGGACCCACTCCACCCCACTCACAGGAGAGGGACTCACTCCACCTCCACTCACAACAGAGGGACCCACTCCACCCCACTCACAGCAGAGGGGCCCACTCCACCTCCACTCACAGGAGAGGGACTCACTCCACCCCCACTCACAGCAGAGGGACTCACTCCACCCCACTCACAGCAGAGGGACTCACTCCACCCCCACTCACAGCAGAGGGGCCCACTCCACCCCCACTCACAGCAGAGGGACTCACTCCACCCCCACTCACAGCAGAGGGGCCCACTCCACCCCCACTCACAGCAGAGGGGCCCACTCCACCCCACTCACAGCAGAGGGACCCACTCCACCCCACTCACAGGAGAGGGACCCACTCCACCTCCACTCACAGGAGAGGGACCCGCTCCACCTCCACTCACAGGAGAGGGACCCACTCCACCCCACTCACAGCAGAGGTACCCACTCCACCTCCACTCACAAGAGAGGGACTCACTCCACCCCCACTCACAGCAGAGGGGCCCACTCCACTCCACTCACAGGAGAGGGACCCACTCCAGCCCCACTCACAGGAGAGGGACCCACTCCACCCCACTCACAGGAGAGGGACCCACTCCACCTCCACTCACAAGAGAGGGACTTACTCCACCCCTACTCACAGGAGAGGGACCCACTCCACCCCACTCACAGGAGAGGGACTCACTCCACCCCACTCACAGGAGAGGGACCCACTCCACCCCACTCACAGCAGAGGGACTCACTCCACCCCCACTCACAGGAGAGGGGCCCACTCCACCCCACTCACAGGAGAGGGACTCACTCCACCTCCACTCACAGGAGAGGGACGCACTCCACCCCACTCACAGGAGAGGGACCCACTCCACTCCACTCACAGGAGAGGGACCCACTCCACCCCACTCACAGGAGAGGGACCCACTCCACCCCACTCACAGGAGAGGGACCCCCTCCACCCCACTCACAGGAGAGGGACCCACTCCACCCCACTCACAGGAGAGGGACTCACTCCACCTCCACTCACAGGAGAGCGACCCACTCCACCCCACTCACAGGAGAGGGACCCACTCCACTCCACTCACAGGAGAGGGACCCACTCCACTCCACTCACAGGAGAGGGACCCACTCCACCCCACTCACAGGAGAGGGGCCCACTCCCACCCCCACTCGCAGGAGAGGGACCCACTCCACCCCACTCACAGGAGAGGGACTCACTCCACCTCCACTCACAGGAGAGCGACCCACTCCACCCCACTCACAGGAGAGGGACCCACTCCACTCCACTCACAGGAGAGGGACTCACTCCACCCCACTCACAGCAGAGGGGCCCACTCCACCCCACTCACAGCAGAGGGACCCACTCCACCCCACTCACAGGAGAGGGACCCACTCCACTCCACTCACAGGAGAGGGACCCACTCCACCCCACTCACAGGAGAGGGACCCACTCCACTCCACTCACAGGAGAGGGACTCACTCCACCCCACTCACAGCAGAGGGGCCCACTCCACCCCACTCACAGCAGAGGGACCCACTCCACTCCACTCACAGGAGAGGGACCCACTCCACCCCCACTCACAGCAGAGGGAACCACTCCACCCCACTTACAGGAGAAAGGTCCTTGCTTCTGGAATTTCTTTTCCTGAGTTGGGAGGTCTGGGGCTGCCCTGTCTGGATCTTCCCAGCCCCTGAGCGTGGAGGGAGAATGGCTGGGTGTCCCGTTTGGGCTGAGTGCGAGGGAGAAACCTGGCCTCGCTGGCTGACGCCGACCAGCTGAATTAAGCACCGTGTTTCCCAAGTCTTTCACGTGGACAAAAAATCCGATTAAAATCTTCCTTACTGAATGTTTTCTTTTGAACACGTCTTGTCTCACAGAAAGATTAAAGGGTGAGTTTAGGACTTCCGCTTCCATCCAGGGTGGAGTAAAAGGAACCAATTTACCCTCACCCCAGAACCAAAACCAGCTGCAACACAAGAAAAAATAAGCCATCGTTTTTAATGTATTGGATATGAAGTAATGAAGGACACTGATCCCTGGGAGGCAGGAAACAGAGAGGGTGAGACCTGCCGATGCCACAGCTCAGGGAAGAGGTTCCAGGCTGTGGTGCAGGGCAGGGAGCCGAGGCAGAACCCGGGGCTTCCTGGGTTAAGGAGATGGAACTGGATCCCAAGGGCCCAAAGCTGGTGGAGTCCATGGGAGAAGCACCCTACAGGTGGGAGGGGCATGGAGGCCTGGGGAGAGGGCCTCGTCTTCAGCTGAATGTTGATCAGCACAAGTGTGTGAGGAAGCTGCCCCGGGAGGAGAGTCTCTCAGAAAGGATTAGAGCTCCCCCAGGACTGGACCTGGTCCCACTCCCACTGGTCTCGATCTCTTGACCTTGTGATCTGCCTGCCTCGGCCTCCCAAAGTGCTGAAATTATAGGCGTGAGCCACTGCGTCCGGCTTTTTTTTTTGGAGCCTCACTCTGTGGCCCAGGCTGGAGTGCAATGTCACGATCTTGGCTCACTGCAACCTCTGCCTCCCAGGTTCAAGCGATTCTCCTGCCTCGGCCTCCTGAGTAGGTGGGACTACAGCAGGCAGCCACCACATCTGGCTAATATTTGTATTTTTAGTAGAGACAGGATTTCACCATGTTGGCCAGGCTGGTCTTGAACTCCTGATCTCAGGTGATCCGCCTGCCTCGGCCTCCCAAAGTGCTGGGATTACAGGAGTGAGCCACTGTCCCCAGCCTTCTTTCTGTTTTTTTTTTTTTTTTTTTTTTTTTCTCTCTCTCCCTTTCTAACTTAAAAAGTAGCACCGACACCCTGAACTCAAGGTGCCAGCAGGATGGAGGGTGGCAAGGAGAATCAGGGTCCCCGAGGCATTGTCCTGCGTGTTTTCTGGGAAGTTGATTTTGCTTTTCTAGAAACCAAACAGGAAAAACACCACCATAGTTCTCCAGAACCTTCTTCCTGGGCCAACTTCCTAACTTTTTGGGCTTCTCCAGAAAAAATATTTTTACTGAACTAATTTCCCAGATTAATTTTTTTTCCTCCCATTACCTCAGAAGACTTTCCAGCAGATGAGTTGAATGAAAAATCATCCTTGGGGAAAAAAAATCCTTGAGAGTAGAGAGAACGGTCCAGGCCTTGCTGCACCACACTCTGACCGTGGAGTCAGACAAAGGGGTTTGAATCCACTTTGCATCTGGAGGGTCTGGGGGAGGCCCAGGGAAACCCTGCAGCCCCCAGTCGGCTCCACATCTGCAGGACGGACTGGACAGCAGTGATGTCTCGCAGCCTCGGGGACGGAATAAGACCGTGTGGGCAGAGGGCACGCACGGGGGATGGGGAGACATCACACCCGCGGAGACTTCTGTGGCCCCTCCCCATGACCATGGCCCCCCCAAATGGCATAAAGGTCTGATTTCACAGATGAGAAAAGTGGAAAGTCACTGATTCAGTGCGTGGAAGTCAAAGACACGGCCACGGATTGGAGCCGTGGTCTGAGAATAGGAAGCCGGCCCGTGGGTTGCACCAGGACACCTGCACTGTCATGTGACTGCTCCTCTCTCGGGGCTCCAATCCCAGGCCCAGGCCGCCGCACTCAGGTGGGCACTGGCCTGTGGTTGGTGAGGTGGAGCAGACACCACTGGCCCCTGGGGTTCTCGGGGACTGGAGAAGGCAGAGAAGGCCGGACGGATCGCAGTTGATGAGGTTAAGAAAATGCCTGTAGTCCTGAGGCTGAGCTGGAAGTCTCGGTACCAATGCAGGAAAGAAACAGTGGCTCACCAAGCAAGCTGAGTCCAGGCACCTTCTGTGAATTTGTTCCTCCCTGGGAGGAAGCAAAGCTCCCTGCAGACATGGCTGCTTCTAGCTTGGGGCCAGGGAAGGGACAAAGGGACCCTCCTAACATCGGTCAGGAGGCGTAGAGAACTCAGAGTAGGTGCCCACAACTGAAGCCCCTTGATGCCGCAACCCTGCGCCTCTGGGTGCTGAGAGCAGAAGCCCCTTGGCCCCTCAGGAGGGGGCCTCACTCATCCCCTGCTCAGTAGTGGGTGAGGGACAGTGTTTCCTTCTGGAAGCGGCCCAGCGAGTGCAGAGGGGACAGGCCCGGAATGGCAGTGCTCTGGAGCCCCTGTGGGAGTGGTCCTGGTGGAGATCCACCGCCGTGAGTACCCCAGAGAGGCCTCGGGCGCCAGGTGCCCTGGTGGACTGCACAGCCCCCCTTGAAAAGTCTCCCTGACACTAAGTTGACCCATGACCTGATAAAGCCTCCATCTCTAACCCCCAGTGCAGACCACTCTGGCTCTCACAAAGGCTGCGGCCACAGACCTCAGACAGCAGCTAGGCTGAGTGGGGAGTGGGCAGGTGGTGCCTGGCTGGTGGTGCCCCTCCCCTCCAGCCCCCTGACCCCTCAACTTAAATGTACAGTTGCAGGGACCTGCTTGGGAATTAGTATCCTGGGAGGGTTGTGGGCACGTTGCCTCTTCCCCTCCTGGACCCTTCCCCTTCCTGGAAACCTTGGCCTGGGGCGGGGTTTGGGGGTGGTGGTTTACGGGGCTTTCCAGAGCTCTCGGGACCCAGCCTTTATAGAGTTGACTTTCTCAGAGCCTTGTGAGGTGAGAGGTTCTGCACGGGGAGTAGAGCGCCCCACCCGGGAGTCCCCCGTCCTGCCTAGCTCCATGTGCAGGACGGCGCTGTGCGGCTCTAGGTGGAATGCACTGGGCTGGCCCTGCCGGCTATCTCAGCCCCGAGACCCACGAAGGCCCTGGCCGTGCTGTCCTCACATCAGCCCGGCCCTTTTCGTCCGGCGTGGAGAGTTCCAGCCTTTACGGTTGTCCAGGGCCGCGGAGGTAGCCAGGGCAGCATCCTGTTCCAGCACATCTCAGCCTCCCTGGGACAGGGGTCGCCGCTAACCTTGCGCCTTCCAACCAGGCAGCCTTCCCACGGGCCCATCCCTCCAGAAGGCCATGCCTTGGCTGGAACCAGCAGCTTTATTTAGCAAGGTCCCGGGTCCAGGCTGCCCTGTGACTCACAGGTAGCCGCCATGCCCGTAGGGGAACGGGATGACCCAGGATGCAGGCCCAGGAGCGGCTGCTACGCGGGAGGGGCTTCAGGATGACAAAACCCAGTGCCTTGGCCTCAGCAGGTGGACAGAACTGACCACAGTAAGGGTTTCAGAAGCAGACATCAGACTCAGCTGGTCCTCCTCCACCCGGAGGAGCACAGGCCACTCTTCCTCTGAGCTTTGCCCAGCTCATGCCCAGCCCCAAGAATGCCCAGCCCCCTCTAATCCTCCCTGGTCAGGGACGCCTGCTCCCTTGTTGGGAAAGCTTCACAGCCTCTGAGTGGCCAACACTTGGCCTCTGTGTCTGCCCCAGAACAGGAGGATGTGGAACGGGGTGTGGCTAGGCATCTGAGCAGGGCTTTAATTAGCTGATGTCAGCTGAACTCCAGTGCCTGGTTTAACGGCAGAAACAAATCTTTTGGTTGAAGTTCTTTCAAAAGGAGAGAGAGAAATTCATTCTGAAGCTACTCTGCAGACCAAACACACCAAGGGAACATTCTAGAGAGAAAACAACTCATTAAAACATTCCCAAAGCTAGTTTTGAAACCAAAGACAGGTATTTTGAAAAAATGTATTCATTTTACTTTTGAGTTTATGATGACAAATGTTACACACAAGCAGAGAGAGTGAGATAAAGACAGTCATAAAATGCTGTTTATTTTAGGCATTTAAATTCCTTTCTGCTCAAAGGAACAGCGTGAACGGAATGCAGAGCAGACGCTGATCGAGCTGGATTCCTTTTCTCACTGAATGCTCTTTTGGTTCAATGAGATTCTGTGAGTGCATCTCCGAGTAGGGGCTGAGGGCACAGCTCTCCTGGCTCCTCTGCTCGGTTACATCTACACAGTGAATACGCCCCAGGTCCCAGCCTGGGATCCACAGAATCTTGATATTTTCCACTTCTGGAAAATAAACTTCTGTTTTCTCCAGTTCAGCTGAGCTGAACATCTACAATGTCTGGCTTTACAGGTTTTGATGCTGAAAATATTTTTTATTTTTTATTTTTTTTTTGAGACAGAGTCTCACTCTGTTGCCAGGCTGGAGTACAATGGTGCCATCTTGACTCACTGCAACCTCTGCCTCCCGGGTTCAAGCTATTCTCCTGCCTCAGCTTCCTGAGTAGCTGGTACTACAGGCGTGTGCCACCATGCCCAGGTAATTTTTGTATTTTTAGTAGAGACGGGGTTTCACCATGTTGGCCAGGATGGTCTCGATCTCATGACGTCATGATCTGCCCACCTCGGCCTCCCAAAGTGCTGGGATTACAGGTGTGAGCCACCATACCTGGCCGAAAATATCTTTTACTTATTCGAAAGAGATTCAACAAAAGGCTCTTCAGACCTCAATCAGAACTGAGTCTGTCCAAACGTCAAGGAGCCCGGGTGTGCAGAACCTGCGGCACCTGCCTATCTCTCCTGTAAGGATTAGAACAGCAGCAAATGCAGAGCTGGTCGAAGTTTCCATCATGGTGGGGTACCTGCTGGCTCTGCCTTCTGCATCCTGGTCTGGAGCATAGGAAGGCCGCCCTGGGCCCATGAAGCCCCTCTGGTTCCTGCTTCAGACTGTGAAGTTGGCGGGGGGATGGGGGGACCAGGGTGGTCTGGTGCTCCAGTTTCCCCCAAAACCAGTGTCCTCAGGTTTTCACCCCCATGCAGGAGGTGCTGGCCTCAGACATAGAGAGAAGTGAGGCCACAGGTCACCCTGTGGGCAGGGAAGCTGGCCTCCACCCGGGCTCCAGATTTGTGGTGTCTGAGAAACTTGTGCCAGTGTGGAGTGGCCTGAGCTTTGCTCAAGGGTCTCATGGTGGGAGATGGATTTGGGCAGGAAGGTCCAGGCTGTACCAGGCTCCTTCTTCTGAACTGGGGCCCAAGACTACAGGGCAGGAGAGGGTGGTTGGGGGAAAAAATCTTTGCCCAGAGCTCCTCACCAGGTTTGACTCTCCAAAAACATTAAGGGACCACAAGATGTTGGTGTTACTGGGTGAGTAAAGGGGTGAGGTCTCTGAGCTGTAGAAAGACCCCTACTCTGTGTTTTTTGCACAAATCAAACCCTTAGATTCAGTATGGTGATTTGGTAACACCACCTGCACCTTCACCGACTATAGGACCCAGCCAGTGGTGTAATTTTGACTAATGAGCTGCGAGGTGGTCTTCTTGTGGGCTTTGGACAGGATTTTGTTATTCTTAAAAGTAAGACCATGGGCAAACAATGAACAGTTGGAAAATGAAATTAAACAAATTCTACTTACAATGTCAGCAAGAACCATGATATATATATGTTATATATATTTAACATGGTGTTAAGACCTGTACACTGCAAGCCACTCTGCACTGTAGAGAGAAATTAGAGATAACATCAAAACCTGAAGAGAGACAGGGATGCTCAGTATGCATGAGTCATCAGTTCTCCCCAAATGAAACCATAGATTTAATGCAATCCAAGTTGAAATCCAGCAGGCTTTTTCTGTAGAAACTGGCGAGTTGGTTTCATGACTCACTATAAAACAACAGTAATGACACCATGGCACTGCTGTAAGGATAAACACATTGATCAAAGCAACAGCAGAGTCCCAAAATAGACCCACATGTGTGGGATCAATAGGTTTTTGTTAAAGGTGCCAAGGTGCCTCAGCAGAGTGAAGAAAAGTTGCTGGAATAATCATGAGTGTCCACATGGGGAAAAAAAATGAACCTTGATCCCTACCTCACACTATACATAAACTTAACCCCAAAAAGACTAAAACTGCAAAACTTTAGACGAAAATGTCAAAGAAAATCTGTGTAACTTTTGGGCAGGTTGGGGGGGCCGACTTTTTCTGAAATGGGCAGAGTGAATATCCTGGATTTGGTGGGTTGCAGGTCTGTGGCAATGACTGAACTCAATGGCTGTGGCCTGAAGGTGGTCCACACAATGAGCATGGCACTGCGCCAATAAAACTTTATTTACAAACACTGGTATCCGGGCCATGGGCCATAGTTTGCCAGCCCCTGAAGTAGGCAAATATTGCTTAGACAGGACGCAAAAGGCATTCATGAAAAACAACGAGATAAAATTGACATCAAAATCAACAAATTTTACTCTTTGAAAAGCTTGTTTCAAAATGAAAAGACAAACCACAGACTGGGAGAACATATTTGTAAAGCACGCATCCAACACAAGACTCGTATGTGGAATCTACAAGGATTCTTAATACTCAGTAATAAGACAAGCGACATAATAGACAGGGGCAGAAGACCGGAGTGGACCCTTTGAAAAGGGCCTCTTCTGTGAAGAGGCCTGGGCGCCAGAGCGGAGGGATGGGGCGCAGCTGCCTCCCAGGGACAGGGTTCAGAGCCTCCGATGGCCTGTGAGGGAGGCGGACATGCCTGACCCTAAACAGAAGCAGAGGGAAGGGGCCGCAGGGCCGGTGGGGAGCAAAAGGCAGCGCAGGGCCCGTGGCCCAGCCCCCACCTGATGGCCCCCACACGCCCCAGGGCCCCGCGCACGCCCCGCCCCGCAGCTCGTGTTGTTTCCAGACGCGCCCTCGTGTGCACGGGCAGGGCCTCCTCCCCAGGCTCAGCGGGCGTGCAGGTTGGTCGTGTGTCCGCTGGAGGCCGCTTTGCCGCGGGGCCCTCAGGGAAGGCCTCCAGCCACCTGCGCTCACCGGGATGGGCTCCGGAGGCGACGGCCGCGTGATGGTCACGACGGGGCTGGCTGGCGGGCAGGGGGTGGGGGGCTCCGTAGCCCCGTGGCTTGTCTGTGCGCTCCTTCCCCTGCCTGTGATCTCTGACTCCTCCCGCCTCTCCCGCAGCCCTCGGAGGGGAGGTCCTCCACGGCGGGACGCTGGGCCCGCGTAGGGCTGCGGAGGACGCGGTGGGGACGGAGTGGCTGCTGTGGCTGTGCCTGCCCCGTGGGTGCACGATGGGCCGGGAGACGAAAACTCACTTGCACTTGCCGTGACAACAGGCGGCAGACAGTAGGGAGACCTTGAGTCTTTGGCAAAGACCTTGTTTTCCTCGGTGTTTCCCCTCCTCACCAGTTCACAATCCCCCAGTGCCCTGGAAGCCACAGTGGAGACGCCTTTTATCCACTCACCCGCTGCACCTGGAAGCTGAGTGCTCCCTTCCACGGGCCGGAGTGGGAGAAGAGGGTAGGAATGATTCCCTTGGGGGATAAGAATCCTGGACTCAGGATTAAGGGTGAAACTGAATTGGGACACACACATTCTGTATGGTATGTGCAATGTGTAATATTGTACACGCATATGTGGGTATATGTGATGACGGACGATTCGGCCTCCCCGAGACACAGCCAAGGCCTGGAGCTCTCTCTCATGTTCTCAGGGAGCCCAGGGTGCCTGGGGGTTGTGCAGGGTGTGTAGGCATTGGTCAGCTCTACCTGGGGTCCATGAGCTCATGCTCCCCGAGATCTTAGGATGCTTTGGAAGCGCTCTCCACTGGCCGGCCTTGCGGTTGTCATCCTGACATGCTAGCCCTGCCCTGAACGCCCCCGGGGACTCTGCACCGTGGCAGTTCACGTCAGCCACGTGCTCATCCCCACCCGCCAACCCCCACACAGCCCTGGGTCTCCCGCCTTGTCTGTCTTACAGTAGTAAGTGGTACAATATTGATGCCAACAGGGGAGCATGGAACCAAGGCCAGCAAGCTCCTGTTTACACCATGAGCATTAAGCTAATGGTGTTGCCTGTGTTTCAGGGCTACACTGATTTTTAAAAATGTTTTTATAGAGACACAGTCTTGCTGTGTTGCCCGGGCTGGTCATGAACTCCTGGGCTCAAGCAGTTCTCCCGCCTCAGCCTCTGAAGGCACTGGGATGAAAGCTGTGAGCGCCCATGCGGTCCTACACTAAATTTTCTAAAGCAAAAAACCAAAACCAAATCAGAACTCAATACGTGTGTCATCTGCTTGGTGTGTCCACACTGCTGGAGGTGTCTGAACTTCTAAATAATCCACTGGGTCCAAGAACAAACCACAAAGAAAGGTAGAATACAGCGATGGGAATAAAAATGAAAACACAACATTAAAATGTAGAAGATGAAGATAGCTGTGCTTAGAGAGAATTTTCTGGCATTACATTGCAAAAGGAGAACGATCAAAATCAGTGATGCAGTTCTGAACTTAGGAAGCTGAGAAGTAGGGTGAATTTATCTAGGATTGAGTAGAAGGGAGGAAATAAAGTTAATTCACTGGTTAGATTTAGAAAACAGGAAAACAGTGAAACCAGAAAATAGGCAAACAGTAAGAAAGGTAATGAACCCAAATGTAGGTTGTTTGAAAAAAAGCCAATACAATTTGATAAACCTATAGTAGGTAAGATGAAAACAGAGGAGATATTACTGATACTGCGAATGACAGAGGGATGTCACTTCAAATCCTAGAGACAGTTAAAAGGGTCTTAGGGAACAATTTTACCATAGTCATTCAACAGAATCTTTGTAAGTCTTTAACATCTTTGGAAGACACAAATTATTAAAACTTAAGAAAAAATAGAACATCCTAATAGCCTTATAATTCTTAAAAGAATTGAATTTGTAACTTAAGAACTTCCCTAGAAGAAGTCCAGGCCCAGATGGCATCACTGGTGAATTCATCAACCATGATGGAAGAAATTATATCAATCCCACCTAAACTCTTTCAGAAAATAGAGGTGCATGGAACACTTCCCAACCAAATATGAGGCCTGTGTTGCCCTTGTTGGGGCTCAGAAAATGATACCTCAAAATAAGGATCCAAAGAAGCAGCCCTAAGGTCTATTCGAGCTCCAAAATCTCTTGACCCCTTGCCTCTTCCAAGCATAGGAGAAGGCCACTCTCCCAAGGCTCTCGTCTACCAAGAAACCAGACCCCCAAAGAGAAACAAAATTGCTTTCCATTCCTTCCCTGAAATTCCATGAACCAGAGAAGATAAAAATTCACATCACATAGGAGGATTCTGAACGTCAGACACCACATCTAGAGCCCAGGTGAACTTCCTAGAGCTCTCGTGAACTTTCTAGAGCCCAGGTGAACTTCCTAGAGCCCACACGAATTTCCTGGAGACCAGAGACCAGGTGAACTTCCTAGAGCTCAGGTGAACTTCCTGGAGACCAGGTGAACTACCTAGAGCCTGGGTGAACTACCTGGAGCATGGGTGAACTTCCTAGAGCCCATGTGAACTTCCTGGCCCCCATGTGAACTTCCTGGAGCTCACGTGAACTTCCTGGAGCCCGGGTGAACTTCCTGGAGCCCAGGTGAACTTCCTGGAGCCTGGATGAACTTCCTAGGGCAGAAGTGAACTTCCTAGAGCCCAGGCAAACTTTCTAGAGCCCAGGCGAACTTCCTAGAACCCAGGTGAACTTCTTACAGCCCAAGTGAACTTCCTGGAACCTGAATGAGCTTCCTGGAGCAAGGGTGAACCTCCCAGAGCTCTCATGAACTTCATAGAGCCTCCGTTTACTTTCTAAAGCCCAGGTGAACTTCCTGTAACCTGGGTGAACTTCCTGGAGACTAGGTGGACTTCCTAGAGCCAGGTGAACTTCCCGTAACCCGAGTGGACTTTCTAGAGCTAAGGTGAACTTTCTGGAGCCCAAGTGAACTTCCTAGGTCCTGGGTGAACTTCCTGGAGCCCAGGTGAACTTTATGGAACCTAGATGAATTTCCTGGAGTGTGGGTAAACTTCCTAGAGTCCACGTGAACTTCCTAGAGCCTGAGCGAATGTCCCAGAGCCTGGGCGAATTTCCTGCACCCAAGGTGAACTTCCTGGAGCCAAGGTGAACTTCCTGGAGCCAAGGTGAACTTTCTAGAGCCCAGGTGAACTTCCAAGGTGAACTTCCTGGAGCTGAGGTGAACTTCCTGGAGCCGAGGTGAACTTCCTAGAGCCCACGTGAATTTCCTGGAGTCCATATGAACTTCCTGGAGCCCAGGTGAACCTCTGGAGCCCGGGTGAACTTCCTGGAGCCCAGGTGAACTTCCTAGGGCCCACGTGAACTTCCTGGAGCCTGGGTGAACTTCCTGGAGCCCAGGTGAACTTCCTGGCACCGAGTGAACTGCCAACGTTGTCCCAAGCCATTGTTTGTTCTCAGGTTTCATTCAATTACCAGAGAATCTTTGATAACGCTGCCTCCAGGGTCCATTCACTCCCTCCTGAAAATCATTTCCTCTCACACCCCCATCTCCCCTCCCCTGTGAAGAAGGATGTGGACCTCACTGGGTTATTGGGTAATTATTCTCCTGTGATTCTCCCATGCTGTTAATGTTAAGATAAATTTCTATGCTTTTCCTCCTATTAATCCACCTTTTGTCAGTGTATTTTCTGTGAACTTTCCGAGGGTGAAGGTGGAAGTTTTCCCTCTTTGCTTCGGCATCCTGGTACAAAAACTAAAGCCATCGCACAGAAAAGAAAACGAAACACCAGGGAGTCTATGAACGTAGATGCGAAGTCCATAGCAAAACATTAGCACCTCCAATCCAGCAGAGGGCAGTCCACCCTGACTTAATGCAGATCATCTCAGGAATGCAGGGTTGGTTTCACATCTGAAACTCAATCCATGTAATTCACAGTATTAAAAAGAATGAGGGAAAGTATTCCAACAAGACACAGTATGATTACTTCAATATACACAATACAAGCATTTGATACAGTCCAGCAGCCACTCGTGAAACAAGAGGAAACAAAGCACACAGCAAACAGAAAAAGAAGGCACGTTCCTCAACTTGGTAAAGGGCGTTCATGGAAAACCTGCAGCTTTCATCATCCACAGCCTCAACCTCCAGATGTGCTTCCCCATGCCTGGGACAAGGCCAGGACCTCTGAGTTGAGTTACATTAGACTTAGGTTGCACTGGAGAGTCCCATGGGCAGCAAGGCAAGAAAATAACTCAGGCATCCATGTTGGAAAAGAAGAGGAACCACTTTCTTCTGTAGGTGCCATGATCAAGTTTATGGAAATTTTAAGTTTCAAGTTTAAGGGAAATTTTAAAGTTATTAGAACATTAGTTCTGATACTAAATTACTAATTATTGAGTTGACTTCAGGACTGCAAAACAGAATGTCAATATTCAAAACCCAAATTTCTCTGAACAAATTTTTCTACACCAGCACTGAACAGCTGGATATCACTTACAATGGCTTCAAGCAATATAAAATATGTAGGGAAAGCATTGAATAAATACGTGCAAGACCCATGCACTGAAAGCTACAAAACACTGCTGGGATAATTCAAAGGAGATTCAAAGATGTGGCGAGACGGGAGACTCAGGGGTCATGAGTTATGGTCGCCGGTTCCTTGCTCTGGACCTATTATATCCGCTGTATTATTGCGGTGCCCACACCTATTTTATGCATGCAAAGCAAGGACAAAATTAGGATGACCCTATCCATACTGCAACAAAACAAAGTACAGCTGGAGGTGGAACGAGGTTTTATGCAGAGCCCATTGTGTGAGATGTCTGCTGCTTGGTATCACTTGGTATTTTATAAGACTTCACATTGGTTCAACTGGCTCCAGGTTTCTTAGCCCATGATTCCTTGCTGGGCTCCAGCGGTTTTTCGGCCTGTTTTAGAGAAGTGCCTTGGCTGCAGTGGATTTGAGCATTTTTGTAGGAATTGGAGTGAAAGTGCAGCCACTTGCATTTCTGAATGGTCACATGGAGCCCAAGGTAGAGGCAATTTTACCACTGGTGCAGAATGATCATTAAGACCACATCCCTTGAGGGACACCCCACTTCCTCCAACGTTCCAAGTTCCCTCCTACACTTTGTGCACGTGAGAGCTGCCTGGGCCTGGCCGGGCTTAGGGGTGGGGTGGTGGGATGGGCTGTCATGGGCATGGTGCCTGGCCCCTCCCCTGAGCCTGCAGCTTCCACGTCTGCCTGCTCTGCTCACTCCCTGCTACCTCCAGGCTGTCATCTGTTGTTTGAGGTTGGGGTTCCTTGTTTTCTGGGTTGTCAGGGAGGGTGTCAGTCCATTGGGCCAGGAGCAGACCAGCTGCACAGGATGGCGGCCTGTCACAACGTCAGGGACTGGCCTGGCTTTGGAAGCGTGGCTGACAGCCGGCGGGGCTGTGTTTGCAGGACGTGGAGGCTGGGGTGTGGGGAGCCCCGCACAAGGCATGTTCCAGTTGCTCCGGTGGGATGTGACGTGGTTACACCAGGGGAGTGGGAGGAGGTGGGTGCGGCGGGGAGGGGGTAGAACAAGAGAAGTCACTTTGGAGGGAGAGAAGGGCTTCGTGGCTCAGGCGTCTGAAAGGTCAGGAAGAGCCATGTAGAGTAAGAGGGACAAAGAGGAGAGAGTCTGTCTCAGTCCATGGGACCCCTGATGGAGAACGGAATTGCACCATGGCTGCCTGGGCAGGGACCAGCATCATGGTTCTGTCTCATGTCTGGACCCCTGTGTCCTCATGCTGCCTGCAGTGGGTGGATTGCAAACACTCCTTTGCCTAGGCGCTGTGTGAAAAGTCCAGTGGAAATCTTGATTCAGCAGAAGTGCCTTCACAACGGGCCCATAAGTCCTCCTGGAAATCTTTACCATACGTAAACCCAGACATGGCACCACAGGCAATGGCCCGATCAGGCCTCAGAGGAGTGCTTGCAGCTGTGGTTCCGGCTTCAGGAATTCCTAAAATTTACAGTGGCATTTCAGGCCTTGTGCTGTTGGGCCGCTGGATTATTTTATTTGTTAAAGAATGTATTTCTGTGTGCTAGCTCTGGCTTAATTTCTTGTTATTTTGGAAAGCTGGACATCTTAATTTTCCTTTAATTGCATTGGCACTGTGAGTGGATGGGATAAACTATTAGCAGCGGTGGCGGGTCGTGGCTGTCTGGCTGTCGTCCCTGCTGTGTGTGCTGTTGGGGCACCGCATTACTGCTCTGGGTCCTCTGTGTAATGCATCAGGTTCCTGTGGGTGCCGTAACCAGTGACTCTTACTCAGCCACAGCAGCTCACATTCATCGCCCACGGCTCTGTGGGCCAGGAGTCAGGGGCTGCACTGGGTCCCCTGCTAAGGGTCTCACAAGGACAAAATCGAGGCGTTGACTGGGCTGGGCTTTATCTGGGGTCTCTGAGAAGGGAACCTGCTTCCAGGGCCATCCAGGGAGTGTGCAGAGTCCAGTCCTTGTAGTGCAGGACAGGGGTCCCCCTTCCTCGCCACTCTCAGCCTCTCAGCCCCGTGAGGCCGTCTGCACTCCCCATCATGTCCCCTTCCCCACCCGACGTCTTCAAATCATCAGGAGTGGCTTGAGACCTTCTATCGCTTCAAACCCTCTGCAGTCCCTTTCTGCAGACTCTCTTCCGTGTCTGCTTGGAGAAGCTTCCCTGCATTCCAGGGTTCATGTCATTGCCCTCTGCCTGCTGGATAGTCCCAGATACTCCCCCTGTTTTAAGGTCAGTAACCTTATTTGCATCTGTAAAGCCCATTTTGCCATGGGACAGCGTTTGCTCACAGGTTGTGGGGACTGGAGTGTGGGCGTTTTGGGGGGCATTTATCCCAGGGCAACGGGCAGCCCTGATATCAGAACCGGAGAGAGGCAGCAGCTGCCCTGAGGCCCAGGAGTTAAGAGGGGGATTGGGCTCCCAGCGTGGCAGAGCTCAGAGGAGAGCACTCCCCGGTAGGCACGCAGGCCCAGAGGGCAGGGGAGTGTGACTCGGAGGTCTTGAGCCCCAAGGCCAGGCTCCAGCGGTGACATGAGACCTGGCAGAAGCTGGAGCCGGTCGGGTGCTGGAATGGAGGGTGGCTTTCCTCTCTCCCACCTTCCAGGTCTCTGCCAGTGCTGCTGTTTGGCAGAACCTTCTGGAACTTCCCTGCTGGTGGTGATCTGGGAAAGGTTTGCAGATCTCAGTTCCAGAATCCCAGAGCAGAATATGGAAGCGGGGACTCCGTGGGAATATTCAAGCCACATGCCCTCCGAGAAACCCTCAGACTGGGAGATTCTGGGACTGTAGATAGTATTTATTCTGTAGACAGCATTTTTATCACTGAGAATACTTGACAACATTCTGCACATGGCGAGTGAGGAGGGGTGGCTCAGGGTGCACCCAGGGTGTGTGTTTGGCACTGGGTCTTTGCATCCTGCAGCTGGGGCCTGACTTGGTCCTGCAGGCGGTCGGGAGTTGCTGCCACCCCGAGGTCGCTTCCCAGAGGGCGGAAGGCTGTGGAGAAGTGTGGACGAAACCCAGTTTCTCCATTTAGATGCCGTTGTGTAAACTGTGCTTGCATATCAGGGGATATGTAGATTCCAATGAGTTTATCAAAAGCAGGACATACATTCTGAGGTGCAGAGCAGATGGCGTTCTACTGAAATAGGCAGGGGAGTTGATGCCAAGCCATGCCCAGGTCGTACTGACAGGTGGCATGGGTGAGATGGCTCCCGGGAGCTCCGTGGAGACTGCAGGGTGGGCGAGGGACACAGGTAATGAGGGGCCTTCGAAGAGGCCATTGCACACAGTCTCACAGTCTAGGCTTTGTCCCTACCCCACGTGGAGTGCATTTTCCAGGACGTGTGGAACAGAAAAATCCATACGATGTTTGCCTTGAGAACAGCTTATTCTTATTTATATTTTTATTTATAGAATAGCTATTTTTCTACAAAAACATGATTTTATTTTATCATGGAATCACAATGTTATTTATAAGGGATAACTTCATGGGGAGCCGTGGATAGAGGCCTGCAGCTGGTGGTGTTCATCATATAACTGATTGATGGGAATTTGCGTAGAAAGTCCGAACATTGTTTCGAAAGTGAGCCAAGGCAAGCTGTGTAGACAAGATAGTTTTGTTGTGTTCTTGGGGGAATATCCAGCGTTCATCAATGGCCCTGGAGCACCTGGCAGAGACTGTCAGCCCTGAGTGGCCAGCAGAGACTGTACCGCAGCCACGGGGAAAGGAGCCATTAGACTCAGCATCTTCCGTTCCCACTTGGTAATCTGCCCGGTCCTGGCAGGAAATAGGTTAACCATGGCCAGGGAAGGACCAAGGCCGCCCCGATGGGCATCACCCCACCTGCCTGGAGGCAGTCGCCACCCGCAGCTCTGCCCCCACCCTCCTGGTACGGTTTGATGTGTCCTCTCCAAGTCTCCTGTGGAAACATGGCCTCCAATGTGGAGGTGGGCCATGGAGCAGATCCCTCATGAATAGCTTGGCACCGTCCTTGCCATGGGAGCTCATGCGCAATGTGGTGGTTTAAAGAGCCTGCTACCTGCCCCTGCTTGCTCCCGCTCTCGCCCTGTGACGCGCAGGCTCCCTTCACCTTCCACCACCAGAGGAAGCTTCCTGAGGCCTCACCAGGAGCCACTGCTGGCGTCAGGTTTCCTGCATAGTCTGCAGCACGGTGACCAGTTAAACCTCCTTTCTTTACACTTCACCCAGCCTGGGGTGTTCTTTCATAGCAATGTGAAAATGGACTGGCACAGGCCTTCTGGGTGCCGCCTGACAAACCCAAGCCAAGCCCCAGCCGGAGCCCGCGGTGGGAGTGGGCCGGGCAGGTGGGGCTTGGGGCAGAGGGTGCAGGGCGGGAGTGTGTCCAGGTGGAACCAAGTTTCCAGCGCCACCCAGGGGTTGCCGTGGCACCAGTGGGCGTCTGTGGCTTTCCGATGGTCCCTACGTAGGGACCAGGCACAACAGCTCTCAGATGCACCACGAGGCCTGATGGGATTTGCACAGGTGCGGGGACACTGTGGCCAAAATGGCTTCAGATGATCTTTTTCAGGAAAATATTGTCTCAGCAGTTTGCAGCACCCGTGGACCATGGTCACCCCTGACCCGTTTTACAGACCTCACTGACTGTGAGGGGATGAGTGTGATCTGAACTAGGAAGTGTGGGTGAAATGAGCATGCACGCGTGTGTGTGCGTGTGCGTGTGGGTGTGCGTGTCTGTGCATGTGTGTGTGTGAGTGTGCATTGTGTGTGTGTGCATGTAAGTGTGCATGTGTGTGTGCGCTTTGTGTGTGCGTGTGAGTGTGCCTGTGGGTGTGTGTGCGTGAGTGTGCATGTGTGTGAGTGTGCATTGTGTGTGCGTGCATGTAAGTGTGCATGTGTTTGTGTGTGTGTGCGTGTGAGTGTGCCTGTGGGTGTGTGTGCGTGTGTGTGCATGTGAGTGTGCTTGAGTGTGTGGCCATGGCCGTGGAGGGAAGTTCATGCCAGTGAGCTGGGCTGTCCCGAGACGCCTTTAATGTCAGGACGCACGGGGTCTGTAGCTCACCCGTTACCCACTCCACATGGGCTTTGCTGAGATAGGCAGCTAACTTCACTTTTTTTTTTTAAATAACAACAACAACAAAAACAGTGTCTCACAATGTACCTTTATTATGCAAAATCAAAACTCACCCACAGTACTAAGGGAGTTTAAGGCTTTCTAAGGAGATGGGAAAGGACAAACCCGCGGGACAGACAAAAAGACAAAAGGAAAATGGAAGCGTGTGTGGGAAGCAGAAGGGCAGCCCCCGGAAGGGAGCACCGAGTGCGGTGCGCCCAGACCCCCGTGCGCCCAGACCCCCATGTCCCTAAACCCCAGGGTGCACAAACCCCAGTGCCTAAACCCCAGAGCGTCTAAACCCCCGTGTCCCTGAACCCCGGACTTAGCTGTTCTTTAAGCTTCCCTATTTCAACAAACTTCCAAACAATTTTAGTGGAGTTTTATATTTACAGGATGACGGAGAAGAAGGCAGAGTCCCGTGGACCCCACGCCCACGTCCCCGTACTGGTGCCTGTGTCGTAACTGACCAGCCCACACTGATCACTGATCCGTCATCATCGACAGGACAATATTTCATTCCGCTTTCTTGGTTTTCTCCGTCTTTCTGTGCCAGCCCCGCCTCTGGGACTACATGTGGCGTTTAGTCACCCGACCCCTGGGGCTGCCCTTGGCTGGACGTTTCTCAGGCTTTCCTTGTTTCTGACGACCTTGAGGGTTTTGAAGGGCTCTGTTAGGAACTCCGCGGAACGCCCCTCTTGGGGTTTGGGTTTTCTCGTGCACCGACAGGACCATCCCTGAGCCCGAGCTGGATCACGTGCTGGGCTCTCCTCGCCCGGCGGTAAATCTGTCCAGAGCTTCTTTCTGTCCCTGTGGACTTGCGGATGCTTCCGTTACACCTCGGGTTACCGCCCAGCGCTGCTCTGTTTTCCCGTTCAAATGGTTCCAGCGTTGGCCTCGGGAGCGCTTTTCACGAGCCCCGTGTCCTCGCGGCGAGCCCCGTCGTTGTGGTGTGTGTTTGTGCATCTCCTCGCTTTCTGACACTACAGGTACTTCCAGTGTCTCCAGCTCCGATCCGTCGGTCGCCCCATGGATCGTTCTGGCCCCGCCCTTTGCCCCTGCAGCCCCACCCCCCACCTCAGTGAAAAACCCACGCCCCCACCTGCCGTCCATTCACGTCGCCGCCCAGATGCAGCGTCCACGGGTAGAGGTTTCAGAATTTCACACGGTGTTTCCGTTTACTGTTTGCACGTGTGTGTGACGCGGAGGCGATGGGAAGCATTCTGTTTATCTGTGGCCTGGGGTGAGGCTCCCCGTGCAGGGCCATCTGCCCGTGGGCCTGCCCAGACCTGGGCTTACCGTCCTGGAACGGAGAAAGGAATCATGAGCAGTGGTTCCGGGAGGCTGGGAGGGGCGAGGCCGGGGAATGGGGCTGGGGCAGGGGAGGAGGTCACGTGCTGTCTTCATAGGCTTTGGTATTTGAGGCACGTGGCTTGTTACTATTTGAGGATAAAATTTGAAAACCGTAGCACGAAGGACTTAGGTTAGACATCGGAAAGCACTTCCTGGCAGTGGCTACGGGGCAGCTTTCTGAGCTTTTCCTAAGCCACCCTGTCACTGTGAGGGGGAATTTCCTCAACCTGCCCTCCAGCGACAGCCTCCACCTCATGGCCAACCCCCGAGGGCGGCTTCCGGGGCTTGCCCTGCTGTGGATGAGGCCAGCTTTGCTCCCCACTCTCTCTGGACTGCGTGGGGAGTGACTCCTGGACTGTCTGCAGCCTCCTGGACCCTGGCTCCGAGTCAGATGAGGGTTCTCATCTGGTTCTTGCAGAGTCTCCTGCTGAGCCTGGTCTTCTGTCCACACCTGGGTGGTGGAGGGCGCCCCAGGAGCCTCTTTCTCCCCCTGCATGGGAGGCCGGGTCTGCTCAGCCAGCGCCCTCACCTGCGGTCGGTGAGCTGTGCACGGGGAAGCAGAGCCTGGCGGCCACGTCGGCCTCCTGTGAGAGGGTCGAGGGCTCCAGCCCCGAATGGGACTTGAGCAGTGCTTCGGCGACGTGTCTGTGTGTGTTCATGTGTGTGTCTGTGTGGTGTGTATGTCTGTGTCTATATGTGATTGTGTGTCTACGTGTGATCATGTGTGATTGTGTCTGTGTGATGTGTGGGTCTGTGTGTGATAATGTGTAATCGTGTGTGTCTCTGTGTGTGTCTGTGTGTGATGTGTAATCATGTGTGTCTCTGTGTGTGATTGTGTCTGTGTGTGATGTGTAATCATGTGTGTCTCTGTGTGTGTGTGTGATTGTGTCCGTGTGTGATCATGTGTCTGTGCATAATGATGTGTGTGTCTTGGTGTGTGATGGTATGTTTGATTGTGCATGTGTCTGTGTGTGATTCTGTGTGTGTGATGGTGTCTGCACATGTGATTGTGTCTGTGTGTGTGATGTGTGACCGTGTCTGTGTGGCTGCACGTGTATGTGTCTATGTGTGTATGTGTGATGGTGTGTCTGGTGTGATGGTGTGTGATTGTGTGTGCGTGATGGTGTGTGAGTGACTGCATGGGTGTGATGGTGTGTGTCTGTGTGTGATTGTGTGTGATGGGGTGGATGTGTGATTTTGTGTGATGGTGTGTCATTGTATGTCTGTGTGACTGTACGTGTGTGTGAGGTGGGTGAGCAGGGCTGCGGGGCACAGGGCAGAGGAGAAAGGTTGCATGTGGGGGTTGATCCCTGGCTGGAGGAGGCTGGAGAAGCCCTGGTGGGCAGGGACGCGGTGGCCTCTCCGGACCCCTTTGCTGCAGCATCACAGAAGGAGACGCAGTCTCTGTCCAGCTTGTGGGCACGGAGCTCCCACTCTGGATCTTCTCACTCTTCGATGCTAAGGGGGCGGCTCCCGGAGGGTGGGCTGGTTGCCAGTAGAACCGGTGCGGGTCAGCCCGGCGCACCCAACCCCACCCCACCCGAGAGGGAGAGGCCCGGATGGGGTCAGTCCCCAGAGGCCTGTGGCCTAATCGGTCATGTCTGGAACCCCATAAAAAACCCCAAATGAGGGTCCAGGGGCCTGCATGGCAGTGACCATGGTGGTTCCCGGAGGCCCCCCAACCTCTCTTTTGCCTGGCGTGTGCCTCTCCCAGGCGGGTGACAGTGAGGCGCCTCCACGTCCTGGGAGCTGTTCTGCTGAATCTGGAAGCCGGGGGCCAGGGGTGCTCCATGTACCGTGGGCGTTGGAAGTGGGGGCGTCTTGTGGGCTCAATGCCTGTGGAGAGTGGGTGAGCCCTCCCTGGGCCGGGTGGGAGTTGAGGACTTACTGGTGTGAGAAGAAACCTGTACAGCCGCGGTCAGGGGGCCGTGGGGAGAGCAGCACCGGGGACCCCACCTCACAAGGGGGACGGAGGCAGAGGGAGCCAGGGGAGGCAGGAGCCCTGGCTTGGGGTGTGCTTTGGGTGAGGTCCTCTCATCTCTTATGTGCCCCCTCATCCTCGCTGGCCCTAACTCCAGTTCCCAAATTGCTCTGAGGGAGGACTAAAGTTCCAGAAAGGCTGTGTGAGCCAGCCACCAGTGCCAGCACGAAGCTGCGGGGACCACAGCACCCCTTGTCCTGGGAGGTGCCTGCTCCCCCACAGCCTGTCCCCCCGAGAGGAGCCAGGCTCCCCCCATCTCCCATGCCCTTAGAGGAGCCACGCTCGCCCCAACCCCCATCCTTCCTGGAAGGAGCCGTGCTCCTCCTATCCCCCGGAATCCTCCTTAAGAGAGGCCATGATCCTCGGTCCTCCTGTCCTCCCTGAAAAGGGCTGTGCTTCCCCTGTCTCCATCTTTCCTGACCACAGGTGCTCCACCTGGCCTGTGCTGGAGGCTGGGAGGGTGGGCCTAAAGGGGGAGTCTGTGTGAGGGAAGCGTGTCCCTGTGTGTGTGTGCATGAATATGTGCACACATGCGGCTGTGTGGGTGTGT
Organism: Homo sapiens; assembly: GCF_000001405.40. NCBI lineage: Eukaryota > Metazoa > Chordata > Mammalia > Primates > Hominidae > Homo > Homo sapiens. The sequence continues at coordinate 241,950,160 of NC_000002.12, forward strand.
TTCTCTGTTTCTGTGTGCATGGGTCCGTGCATGAGCACAGGTGTGCATGTGTGTGTCTGTGTGCATGGGTCCGTGTGCGAGCACAGGTGTGCATGCGTGTGTCTGTGTGCATGGGTCCGTGTGTGAGCACAGGTGTGCATGGGTCCATGTGTGAGCACAGGTGTGCATGTGTGTGTGCACACGTGTCTGTGTGCGCATGCTGTCTCAGGGCTTGTCTGTGCGTACAAGTGTCTTTCTGTGTTTCATGGTTGTGTGTGAACACACGTGTGTGTCTGCATATATGCCTGTGTTTTCCCGTGTCTGTGTGTGCGTGTGTTTGGGGTGGGTAAGGCTCCATTGTTTAGGACGTGTGTGACCTGCCTCGCCATCTCCCCTGCCATCCTCTGGGTCATTCTTGCACAACAGTGACCTGCTGTTTGGAGCCGAATGGGCACAGTGAATAATGCGTTTCATTTATTTTCACAAACCTGTGGTTGCAAAGCCAGCGTGAGACGCAGGTGAGGCCGTCACACCCCTCGTCCTGGCGGAATCCACGCCTCCTTGGGCCCCTGCTGCCAGGACCCCACACCTCTTTAGAGTAAATAAACCTTGGCGTAGGGGCAGTTTACGGAAACGAGAGAATTGTGTAACCATCGACCCTGTGGACAGGTTTGACTCTTGGGTTTGAAGAACCACGGTGACGTCTTCCTGATGCCGCTGCCTCCTCTTGTCAGTGAAGGGAGTGGGACTCGCCGGAGAAAGAAGCGAAGGCTCCAGCCCCGGCTGGATGAACCCTGCAGCTGGTCCTCACCGTCTCGGGAGGCAGCTCCGGCTTCTGTCCACTAGGTGGAGCGCTTGCTGTTTGCGATGAAATCGTGGAGCCTTGAAAATTCCCAGGCTGGCGAAAGGCTAAGGGGCATTGGGGGTCAGCAGGCGGGGCCCGTGCTGGTTGGAGCTGCTGGGGCTGAGATGGAATGGCGATGCCATTGGGGTATTCCCTGTGGGAATGCAGCTGCCGTCCGCAAGCCCCCGCGACCTTTCTCCAGGCAGAATGTGGAGCCCCGAGTGGGGTTAGGGCCGTGTGCTGCAGGGCGGGGCCTCGCCTGGTCGCGTGGCAGCCTCGAGGTTTGTTGCAGGTGATGGGGTGAGGAGCAGCTGGGCCCCACTAGCTCTTGGCCGCATTGTCCCTCCTTTCACCCCCAGAAGTTACCCCTGCACTGTAAACCCCATGGGGCATTGAGCCTCCTATTTTCTTCTCCTGCTTCACAAGTTTAGAGTGTTTGCTTAAATGCAATGCTTAAAGCCGCCCAGATGTTTGAGAAGATAAGTTCAGTGAGAAACAGGAGGCTTCACCTCAAAGCATTTAAGGCTGCTGTGAGAAATTATCCCCATCCTTAAAAGCCTCCAGATGTTTGAAACTCCTGTTTTGTGTAAAATAACAGCAACAAATAAGTAAAAACAAAAACCTCCATACCGACTGCATTCCTTTCAAGTGTTTAACTGTTTAACTTCAAAGTCAGAAGTGCCCTAAACTCAAAAACGGCACCAACAACTACTTGAGTGGGACTCTTTTGTTTGCAGTCATCAGGAACTCAATTCAAGCTGATAAAAGCCAGAAAAAGAATGTCATTGAAGGGGCAGGGGTTGTTGATGTATGCAATTACTAACTGCAAAGGGGCATTCAGGAATGGGTGGATCTAGGGGCTTCAGTGGTCTCTATCTCTTACCCATGCCTTCCTCTGAAATGAGTCCCCCAGATTTCTCCTCCTGCCAGCTCCTGGCAGCCACGGTCATTTCTTTGCAGCCTCAAGTCTACTCTGAGATTTCCTCTTCCCAGCAGTTCAAACAGGAGCCTCTGATTGAGACGCTGGCACTGGCTGGGGCCTTGTGCCCACCTCTGAGCCCATCACTGCAGTGGGGCATTGGGTGCTCTCATCGGCCAGGCCTGGGTCACGGGACCATCTTGGAGGGCAGGGTGGGGCAGCCCACGGAGCCCAGGCTGCGTGTCTCCGGAAGAGAATCGAGGTGGGACTCGGGAGGGAAGGGTGCTGGGCAGGGAAGGTAGGGAGTGCTCAGGAGCGCTTCAGCGGAAGGACCTGGAAATGGCTCTGGCTGTCTGTGGTCAGTTTCCTGCTCCTTGCACATCCAGAGAAGGAAAGGACTTTTTTTCTTGAGATGGAGTTTCACTCTTGTTGTCCAGGTGGGGGTGCAATGGTGAGATCTCGGCTCACTGCAACCTCCGCCCCCTGGGTGTGGGTGATTCTCCTGTCTCAGTCTCTGTGGTAGCTGGGATTACAGGCAGATGCCACGATGCCCAGCTAATTTTTGTATTTTTAGTAGAGACAGGGTTTCACCATGTTGGTCAGGTTGGCTTCCAACTCCTGACCTCAGGTGATCTGCCTGCCTCAGCCTCCCAAAGTGCTGGGATTACAGGCGTGAGCCACTGCGTCCAGCCAGGAAAGGACTTTTTTAAGCTTTGGATTACAAGAATGGGTGATGATCTCTCTCGGCTTGCCTGGCATCATTTTGAGACAGGGTTGTCTGTTAAACCTTTTTAAATACAAATAAGATGCATATTAACGTTTAAGGAAATCTAATGTTTTCCACGATATGACTTTGAGAACCTTAAGCTCTTGCGTGTATGTTTAGCGGGGACGGGACCGTGCCCTTTGTGGAAGCCCAAGCCTCACTGTGATGACATCTGGAGGTGGGCCTTTGGGAGGTGATTTGGGTTAGATGGGGTCATGAGGGTGGGGCCACATGAGGGGATTCGTGCCATCCTAGGAAGAGGAGGAGACCAGAGCTCGCTCTCCACCGCCCTGGCCAGGAAGCCGCCCTAGCAAGAACCCGTCCCGGCCGGCCCGACCTCAGACCCACAGCCGCCAGATTGTGAGCAATGGAGGTCTGTGTGCGCCCCCTCTGTGGTGGTGGTTACAGCAGCCCCTCAGACGGAGAGTGAAGAGTGTTTAGCTGGTTCTCCGGGAAGCAGCGCCTGAGATACAGGCTCAGGGCTGCCGGCTCAGTCGGGAGTGAGGCTCAGGGGAAAGGGGTGGGGGAAGAGCAAGGTGGGTGCGGGGGGCAGGCGAGGGAGAAGGGGGGAGAGGGAGGGGAAGGGGAGGGGGGAGGAGAGGGAGAAGGGAGGAACCGAGGGGACGGGGGGCTCAGCGCACGGGGGCATCTTCCAAATGGCCACATAAATGAGTGCAATTCCGGGTCCACCCGAAGGTGCGGGGGGAGGTTCCTCTCCCGGTTCCACCTCACACGGGATGCTGTTTCCCCGCACGCGGCTGCTCCTGGAGGGTGAGAAGGGGTTGCAGTGGTTCCGCTCAGGGCCAGGTGGGGCAGGAGGCCGGACCCCTGTCTTGGTGGACGCTCGGCCGCAGCCCTCTGTTGTGGCCTCAGCAGCGACTCCAACCGAATCTGTGGCCAGAGGCTGTGGGGAGTGGAAGCTGGAGGACCCAGGCTCGAGGGCGTCTGACCCAGGGAGCCCGCAGCAGGCAGGTCACCCCGACTTGTGGCCCCGTGATGCTGCAGGGACCCCAGCTGTGGGAAAAGCCACGCTACTGTCCCCCAGAGCAGAGGACCAAGTGCTCAGCTGCACAGCCCGGCCGGGGGTGCTCGGCCGCCGTGTCTGCAAAGGCCTGGAGCAGATGTACCCAGGCCCCAGGGAGGAGCCGGAGGTGCCCAGGCTGTGGGGAGGAGCCGGAGGTGCCCAGGCCGGGGGGAGGAGCCAGATGTGCCCAGGCCGGGGCTGTCCTGAGGTCTCCGCTGGCCCGTCGCTGTCCTCTCTCTCCTGTGCCGGGGTGGCTGCCCTGCAGGCTCCAGTGAATATAATTTTCTCTTGGCTTAGCTGCATCCTGCAGTTTTGATGTGTCTTTTCTTCATCACCATTTATTCAACACATATCCAAATTCTGCTATGATTTCTTTTGGCCACTGGATTATTTAGAAGCATATTCTTTAATTTCCAGGAAGTTTAGCATTTTTTAGTATTTTTTTTCACTTCTAAGTTTACTGAGGTCAGAAAATATGCTCTGAATTTTAAATTTAGATCCTTTGAAATTATTTGAGGCTTTCCCTATGTCCCAACATATGGAAATTTTGGTGAATGTTATGTGTACACTTAAGAAGAAGAGGAAGCAAGCCATTTTGGATACAAGGTCTGAGGCAGAACAATTGGGCCGCTCTAGTTGATTATGTTGCTCAGGTCTTCCTTATCCTGACTAATTTTATGTTATCCCAGTTACCGAGAAAGGCACGTGACAATTCCCCTATGCTTGTGGATTTTTCTCTTTGTATTTGGCTCTCATTACTCTTAGTAGGGTGCTCCAAGGTGGGATTTACATGTATCCCCCTTGGGATTTGCTGATCTTCATGAATCTGTGGATTAAGGTCTTCCAACAGTTTTCAAAGATTCCCACCCATTATCGTTTCAAATATTTCGTCTGTCCCATTAACTCTGATCTCTCTCTGGGATTATGCATATCTCAGACCTATTGACTATGTCTCATCTGTTATTTTTTTCCTTTCTGGATTTTCTATTTATTTTTTCCCATTCCTTTCATTTGAGTATTTTCTATTACTTCTGTTGAGGTAGTTTATAATGACTTGCATTTATGTTTACAAATTCTATCTTCTGCTGTGTTCAATTTTTATTAAACCCACCAATTTCATTCTTAATTTCAGATATCATACTTTTCAATTCAAGAACGTCTGTGTTATTATTTTAACGTTTCCATTTCTTTGTCGGAATCCCTCATTTTCCCATCTCTTGTGACTGAGCTCATTCATCACAGCTGTCTTTAAGGTCCTTCTCTGGCAACACCATTTTGGATCATCCGTGGGTCCCTTTCTGCTCTTTCTTTCCCTCTTTGTTATCAGTCACATGGTCTTTATTCTTGACACACTCTGGTCATGTGTACCGAATGCTGAAGCTGGTGAATTATCATAACAGCAGTGCCCTGGTGGTTCCAAGCCATGTTGTCTTTAAGCATAAAGTGCTCACCGTTTCCTCTTCTGAGGAATGGATTGAGGCCTGATCATTCTCGGTGGAGGATGGAGCCTGGTGAGAGTGAACTGCACTTTCTGTTGCACTGAGGCTCACCCAAGCTTGTCTTGCCCCTCGGGGTGGCTTCCCAGGGCTCCCAATCCAGAGCCTGGTGGCTCCCTGTCTCCCCAGTACTGGAACAAGCAGGACAGAGAGGCAGGTGCTCAAGGGAGGGAGACATGGGTGTTCAACGGGGAGAGACATGGGGGTGTGGAGGAGAGAGGTGTGAGTGTGAGATGTGGTCATGCACAGGAGGAGGCTGCCCTGCTGCAGGACAGGCATCCACCTCCTCTTGATCCTCCCCTTTCCAGGGAAGAATGGGATCGACATGTCCTCTTTCTAGGGATAGGAGGGGGTGGAAATCTTTTTGACGCTGCAGGAAGCTTAGAGTGGCCATCCCTTTGTTCGCCTGGGGTGAGGGTTTTTGCGGAAAGGAGACATCAAGTGTCTTGGTGTCCGATTGATTGGACACGCTATTGGCCTGTTATTTACAGTACTTCTTTACATCTACCCCTTAGGATCATTTTTCTCCTCCCCATGGGTACGTGTCCTCAACCTTGGCAAAATAAACTTTCTAAAGTAACTGAGACAGGTCTCACAGCCTCAGGAGGCCCTGATAACATGCTGAAGGCAGTCGGAGCACAGTTTGGTTTTATACATCGTAGACACGAGACATCAGTCAGCATATGTAAGATGAACATTGGTTTGATCTGGAAAGACGGGAAGACTGGAAGCAGGGAGGGGGCTTCCAGGTCATAGGTAGATAAGAGACAAATGGTTGCATTATTTGGAGTTTCTGATGAGCCTCTCCAAAGGAGGCAGTCAGATATGCATTTATCTCAGTGAGCAGAGGGGAGACTTTGAAGAGAATGGCAGGCAGATTGGCCCTAAGCAGTTCCCAGCTAGAATTTTCCCTTTAGCTTAGGAATTTGGGGGCCCAAGGTTTGTTTTCCTTTCACACCTGTTAGGCATTTGGGCTGTTTCTACCTTTCGTCGGCTGTGAATAATGCTGCCATGAACATATGTGTAACTTCTGCCATGAACATATGTGTACCTGCTGCCATGAACATATGTGTACCTGCTGCCATGAACATACGTGTATCTGCTGCCATGAACATATGTGTACCTGCTGCCATGAACATACGTGCACCTTCTGCTGTGAACATACATGTATCTGCCACCATGAACATATGTGTACCTGCTGCCATGAACATACGTGTATCTGCTGCCATGAACATGTGTACCTGCTGCCATGAACATGTGTACACACTTTGAGGCATGAGGAAGAACAGTGAGCAAACTGCTGAACCGTCTGCCTTCAGGGGCCACACATGACAAGCCTGACCCTAGACACCACCAGCAGTGCACACGTGAGGATGATGGGCAGACATGGCAGGGTCAGGGCGAGAGTGGCAGTGGAGGGCAGGGAGAGTGGCAGGGAAGCCTGTGAGGGGCAGATGTGGAGAAGGAAGGCAGGGGTCTGCAGCTCTTGGGGGGTGCCTAGGGGCACTCGATGTGAGGGGCAGCTAGGACGGGAGGTGGAGAGTGTCGAGGGAGCTGGCCCAGGCAGTGGATGTCATCAAAGACCCCCAGGAGCACAGGTAGGGCTCACCCAGGGCTGGCTGGGCAAGGGCCTGGCCACATTGTTTGTGTTGGACAGTGACTTGAAGGCAGCTGGGCTGGGGAGCTTCACAGTGGAACAGACAGCCCTGGCGTACCCTGGTGGAGGCTGTGGCTCTGGGGAGCGGGGGCGGCCTACGGGCTTGGTAATGGAGCACATGTGGCTTTCCCAGCTTGGTCTTGAGTTGAAAGGCGATGAGGAGTCCAACTCAGGAAGCCACAGTCATTGACCAAGTCCTGGCTGTCTGGGATACGGTAATGTGGCCCACAGCTTAGCGTCACTGCACTCCAGCCTGGGCGACAGGGTGAGATCCTGCATGTGAGTCTGTTCTTGCATTGCTATAAAGAAATACTGAGGCTGGGTAATTCATAAAGGAAAGAGATTTAATTGGCTCATGGTTCTGCAGGCTGTACAGGAAGCATAGTGCCAGCCTTTGCTTCTGGGGAGGCCTCAGGGAACTTCCAGTCATGGTGGAAGGCAGTGGGGAGGCAGGATTACGTGGTGAGAGCCGGAGGGTGGGTGGGAGCAGACTCTTAAACAACCGAAGCAGTGGGGAGGCAGGATTACATGGTGAGAGCCGGAAGGTGGAGGGAGCAGACTCTTAAACAACCGAAGCAGTGGGGAGGCAGGATTACGTGGTGAGAGCCAGAAGGTGGAGGGAGCAGACTCTTAAACAACCAGCTCTCCCGAGAACCAACCGAGCAGGAACTCACTCATCGCCCAGGCCGTGGTGCTAAGCCATTCACGAGGGATCTGCCCCCATGATCCAACACTTCCCACCAGGCCTCACCTCCAGCACTGGGGAGCACATTTCAACGTGAGATGTGGAGGGCACTCATCTAAACCGTATCACTCCGTCTCTAAAAAACAACAGGAGTTTATTCTCGCTTTTGGAGACCAGAAATCTGAGATCAAAATGTTGGTGGCCTCACTCCCTTCCCAGGCTTGAGGAGAGAAGCCTTCCTGCCTCTCTTAGCTCCTGGTGTCCCGAGGTGTCCCTGGGCCTGTGTTTTTGTGCCTGCATTGCTCCCATCTCTGCCTCTGTTCATGTGCCCTCTCCACTTTCCTCTCTCTTCTCCTGTTCTGTCTGTGCCAATATCCCTCTTCCTTTCTCTTATAAGGACACCAGTCAGTAGATTTAGGGTCCACCAGGGCAACCCAGTGTGATCTCATCTCAACATCCTTCACTTAATTACATCTGCAATGACCTGATTTCCAAATAAGGTCACATTCACAAGTACTGAGGTGTATTAGCGCGTTCTCATGGTGCTATGAAGAAATACCCAAGACTGGGTAACTTATAAGGAAAAGAGGTTTAATTGACTCACAGTTCTGCATGGCTGGAGAGGCCTCAGGAAACTTACAATCATGGCAGAAGAGGAAGCAAGCATGTCCTTCTTCATATGGCGGCAAGAAGGAGAAGTGCCCAGCAAAAGGAGGAAAAGCCCCTTATAAAATCATCAGATCCATTAGGCATGGTGGCTCAGGCCTGTAATCCCAGCACTTTGTGAGGCTGAGGTGGGCAGATCACAAGGTCAGGAGTTTGAGACCAGCCTGGCCAACAAGGTGACACCCTGTCTCTACTAAGAGTACAAAAATTAGCCAGGCATGGTGGCGTGCACCTGTAATCCCAGCTACTTGGGAGGCTGAGGCAGAAGAGTCACTTGAACCCAGGAGGTGGAGGTTGCAGTGAGCCGAGATTGTGCCACTGCACTCCAGCCTGGGTGACAGAGCGAGACTCCGTCTCAAAAAAACAAAAACAAAACAAAAAAGACCCATCAGATCTCATGAGAACTCATTCACTATCATGAGAACAGCATGGGGGAACCACCCCATGATTCAATCACTTCTCATGACACACGAGGATTATGGGAACTACAGTTCAAGATGAGATTTGGGTGGGGACCTAGCTAAGCCATATAGGGTTAGGACTTAGACATATTTTTGGAAGACATAATTCAACTCACTACTCCAGTCTTCCCTAACTCGGCTATATATCAGACCCTCTTGGGGATCTTATAAAGGTTACATGTTATTATAATTTCTGTTCCAGAATCCCAGTAGGTTGCTCGGTGCCTGGTTCTGACGCTATCCCTCAGAGCCTGTGGAAGTTGCTGATGCCAGGATGCAGTTGCTCTCCTAAAGCAGAGTGGGAGATCCTGAGGAAGGGAGCCTCCTGCTTGTGCGTCTGCGGTAAGAACGGCTGCACAGACGCACGGGAGATATGAGGAAGGGAGCCTCCTGCTTGTGCGTCTGTGGTAAGAGCGGCTGCACAGACGCTCTGAAAGTCCTTATGCCTCTGTGTTGTTCCAAATAAACTCACTTATCCTGAGAGCCGCTCCCTTTGCTGCTCAGGATGGCACAATCTGGTGCCAGAAATAGGACCAGAAGGAAGATGGCCTTCAGAAGGAAGTGACAATTCTTGGAACTGCTGTGTAGTGCCCGCCTGAGGCCTCTGAGCTCTTCCTTTCTGCGGCCCACCTCTTCTGCCACGTGCATCTTCTCCCAGGCTGAGAGCCCTCCTTCCGGCAGAAGCTTGACTTCGCTCGGGATCTGCCTTGGACCAGGCCACCTTAATATAGGACCTTGCGTCCGTCCTGGGACCCTGTGAGGCCGGGTTGTCCTTTCTGGTCCTGGGGAGTGCTCTGGTTTGTTTGTTTCTGTGCGTCCATAAGTGATTAAGTGATTTGGCTTTTTTTACTTCTGCTCTCCCTGCTTGTTTCAAAACATCTTTAAAGAGCAAATATCACATACAGCGGTTATATGAATTTCTTTTTGCTCTCAAAAGTGCAGTAGGAGACAGAATGGGATTCTCAAAGTGTAAGGCACGCCCGGCTTTCGGGGGCTCAGCTGGTCGTACATTCAAACATTGTGGCCCTTTGTGCACATTTTAAGCCCATGGACAGATGACACCAAGGGTGATTTAGAATTCCAGTGGCCATTTGAGAATCATTCCAACTCCCCAGACTGGTTTCCTAGAACTATATTAGAAAATTGCAGCTATTGGGTTAAACAGTCTGAATGAGGCGCGTATTTTTAGTTGCCATCTTGAGGCTTCAAAGTGCATTCAGGACTTTAAAAAGGCCTCGTTGCAAAATACTGTCTCCACACCAGCCAAGGCACCTCCTTCCCAGAGCCCTTCCTTCCCCTTCCCACAGCACATCCTCCTCCTCCTTCTCTGGCTGACCTCCCCACCCCCTTTATTCAGAGCTCCCCAGCTTTTCTCCACAAACACCAATTCATCTTTTAACACATGGAACCTCTAGGGAAGTTCTAGATGAAGGAGATAAAGTAATTAAATATGCTATTCTGGCATATTGACAATTTAGTTAGAATCACTTGAAAAACAGCAGGCTTGCTTCTTTTTCAAAGCTACCCATGCTGATTGCAGACATAAAAAAATGTTTTCTCCCCACTATTCCTTAATGGGCTCTACCCTGAAGTTAGCAATCTAATCAAGAAACAAGCAAAGTTGAAAAGACTGTCTATCAAACTAAACACTTTCTGGCATTTAGCTGGCTATTTTGAAACTGTTTTGTAAAAACTCACGTCTATAAAGGAAAACAGCTTTTGGCTTCCAGAGGCAAAAACTATGAGAATAAATGAGTGAAGTAAGATGTAATTAGGATTCCCCTGCTGCCATCTCTGTGCTGGTAAGAGTTGTGTCCAGTTAAGAAAATTAATATCCTTCTTTAGATGGAAGGAAAAATAGAGCCCTTCCTCTGCTACTTCTTCATTGCTTTTAGCAGAAAAGAATATTTGTGTTAAAGAAGCATCATCTGGAATGGTCCTTCCTGACTCCTTCAATGGCCAGTTTTGATTAAGAAGGAATTAAAGCATAATTGTAGGTGAATGTAAATGACTTTAAAGTTCATCAACTTTTCAATGATAGTTGTTTTATAAACTGTGTCTACTTAAAATGAAGTCCAAACATATTTTGGGGGAAACTTGAAGCCTTAACGTGAACTTATAGATATTCATAAAATGAGTCATTTTCAAATAAGATAAAACCCACTGCTACAACTATAATTAAAACAAAACCAAAAAACACACTGATTTCAAAGCTGCCTGGAGGTTTTTTATTCTCACCAGCCCTAGCTGAAATGTAAACATCCAAGAAATTAACTTCTACACCCATCGGAGACCATAAATAGGGGGGAAGGAAGCAAGCAAGCAAGGAAGGAAGGAAGGAAGGAAGGAAAGGCAGCCTTCTTATCTTCAAGGATGAGAAGCTGAAGCAGACAGAACATTGTACAGACCTTGTTAGATAACTCGTATGTTTTAAGCCCCCTGGAATGATTTAGTGAATTGATAACGGCCTCTCTGGGGTCTTCATTTCCATACGGGGGCTCCCATGCTATGTAAAACCTGTATGATGCTTCTCTCCTGCTAGTCTATCTAGCGTCCAACTGGGACGCTAAAGGCTGGGATATCCCACTTTGTCCTCTCCCCGGAACCTGCAGGTGGGATTCCAGGACACCTGACACAGGGCAGAGGCAGGAATTCTTCCCAAAGTCAGCTCTCTCACGCCACTACCTGGAATGCCTGGTTGAGAAGGTAAAAGGTTTTCTTGTCCCTTTTTAAATTTGGATCGAAAGGAGAACATTGTAAGAAGTGGTTCTTTAAATGGTGACTCTTGTGAATTTGGTGCTGGGTGCCCGTTGCTTTTTGGCCACAGCTTCCCAGAAATAGCCGCTGTTTTCTTTGTCTCTGCCTTTTGTGGGGTTTGCCCTAAGGCCTGTTTTCTGTCTTGAGAACTTGGTCATAACCAGTGAGGATGCTGTCTCCGGTCTCTGCCCACTGGGAGATCCGAGTTGCTAGGCATGCTTCTGATGGCGGTCACCGGCCAGGACCGAAACATGAAGTGTCTCTGTTCGACCACATCTGCTCTCAGGAACTTACCTTAACCGCCTCACCATGGTTACCTTGTTACCAGTGAGCATCTTTACTTCCTTAGCCTATCTTCAAGAGAAATTTTGGATCCTGAAGGGGGCTACATCCTTTGCATCCTTTCTGGGGACCTCTTGCATCCATGGTTAAGCCATACAGGGCTTACTAGTTTTGAATCACAGCGGAAGTAGGTTTACTTTTGGTTTGGAAGTTGGTTAATATTTGGAGCATTATAGGAACTTTTTGTTTGTTTGATCTTCTGTCCTAAGCTAAAATGGAACTAGAAGGGAGGAAAGAAAGACTTCAATACCACCGGGAATGTTTACTGTTGTCCTGGTTAAAAGCTGATAATAAGATATTTGAAAAGGGACTTTCTTTAGAGCTCCCTGATGAGAAGTCAGGCTAACTGGAAGCTGATGCTCAGGCTATAACTCGTGGTGGCTCTGTGTTTTCTCTGCCAGACTCTGCTTCTCCCCCTGGGAACTTCTCAGCCAGCCGAGCCATCCTTTCCCAGCACTGCTGACTGTGTGCTGTGCACATTTTTTGATTGGCGTGATTCTTGACTGTTTACAAATGGAGCAAATAAAAGATCTTTAAGGTCTTTCCTACTTAGTAAGAGGCATTGTTTAAATTGACTTAGAAATAAATGAGCATACCTACAACTGTAAAAAAAAAAAATAGGAACTAACCCAAATGTTTTTAAAGTTCACTTGACCTGGGGTAAACTTTGGTGAATAAAGGTGAGTTTAGATTTGCCGGTTTGATAAAAGCAGGTGTCTTCAGAGTCCTCAGCGTTAAAGATGATGCAGACACGCAACTTTCATCTCTGCTAAATGTTTAATTGTAAAGCATGAGTCTGACCTAAAAACAAGTGTGCCCGCAGAAGTGAGGCGGCACGCCCGTTACTCCTCACGCAGGAAGCGCAGCAATGAAACAAAACGCCGTGCGTTTAACGCTTCGGTTTCTTGATTTTGAGATGACCGCCTGACAGTCACATGCTGTAAAAATGGTTAATAGGAAAACACCTCAAGATGATGGATGCTTAATATCTCAGGAAGTTTCTCAGGAGTAACACAGACAAGTTAAAATACTAAAACATTAATCGCTGAACATAAGTGTAAGCTTATTCCTGGCTTCGAAAGTTCTGTGGAAAGATAAAATTTGTTTGGGTCTATTAGAAAACATTGTGTCTTGTTCTACATTGAGAAATTGTTCTATGAGGAAGCACGTTTCTGAAAAATTATAAAATATGTATTCATAAAATGTTATCATATAACAGTTCAAAATTGCTTACTTCCTAGGTTCCACTAAAAATTAAGGGCACTAAGATTTAAAAATTCTAATTAATGTGTGTAACTCTATATACAAAGTATGAAAAATAATGATACAATTTTTGGTATTTTTGGTAAAAAAATTACAAAAGACATGAGGGTTTTTTTTAGAAGAAGAATAATTTTGTCTAATTTGGAGGTTATTTAAAGGTTGCTTGAAAATGCAAATTTTGAAAGGAAATAGAAACAAGGCAGAAAGGAACCAGTAAATGGGACAAAAAATAAGCAAAGAAAGTTATATCTTTGGTAGGGAAAGTTGAAAAGAAAAAGAGAATAAAACTTTTTTTTATATGAGAAAATCTTGTGTGGCCAAAATTATAAGGGAAAAAAGAGTAAATTTTTATCCTAAGTTAGAATGATTGGTTGTTCCAGTATAAAAAAGAGGAAGTATAGAACGAAACTGAAGGTTTGAACAAATTCTAGAAGGTTTGAGAAAATTGCAAAAGGTTTATGGAAGATGAATTTTATGAAATACATTTTGTATGTGATCAAGTTGACTAAAAATAGAAGGAAATAATTTATAAGTCTTTCTAAAATAGAACATTAAGATCTAGGCTGGGCGTGGTGGCTCATGCCTGTAATCCCAGCACTTTGGGAGGCTGAAGAGGGCAGATCACTTGAGGTCAGGAGTTCAAGACCAGCCTGGCCAACATGGTGAAACTCCTTCTCTACTAAACATACAAAAATTAGCTGGGTGTAGTGGCGCATGCCTGTAGTCCCAGCTACTAGGGAGGCTGAGGCAGGAGAATCGCTTGAACCTGGGAGGCGGAGGTTGCAGTGAGCTGAGATTGCGCCACTGCACTCAAGCCTGGGCAACAGAGTGAGACTCTGTCTCAAAAAAAAAAAAAAGAAGAAGAAAAAAGATCTAAAGTTTGCCGACATGAAACTAGAATTTGGTCCTCTCTGTTAATACGACAAGATTTTCTTGTAGTATTGATCTACCCCTGATTAAAAAATAATCAGGGTGTTCCTTGCCTTTTTGGTAACTGTCGCAGGTGAGTGGTGACCCTCTGGGGCTGGTGGTGTGGTGAGAAGAATTTACCAAGACAGTTGCAGATAAAGAAAAGCAGATTTATTGAAGAAAGCATGAAAATACATTGCGAGAGTGCAATGGGCAAGTTAGCAGAGAGGAGCTGACTGCAAGGAGGCGAAGGCTTGGTGAGGGTTTTATAAGACAGTCTCTGTGCTGTGAGCTGAAGAGGGCTTTGACAGTGCTGATAACGCCAAGGTTGCCGTGAGCTAACTTGTAATTTTCCCATCAGTCAAGGATCTGGTGATAGCTGGAAGACTGAGTTATTTGTGCAGGAGGGTTATGTGTTCTGGACCATGAGAAAGGCAGACTTAAGGCTTATGTGCCTTCTCTTTTTGCTTCCTTCAGTCCCGCCAGCCCCACTCCCCCTCCGTAATGAGGCCTCCACAGTAACTGGCCTAGAAAAATTTATCAAGATAATGTCGTGTACTTTGCGCTGTCTTTATTAGGTTTTTGATTGCTTGGAAAAATTCTTCCTTTAAAGAGGTAGGGTTTTTTTTTTTTTTGTCTGTGTAACTTTATTTGCTTTTAAAGTATTTTAATTATCACTATAGTTAAATGGATGACTATTATTTCACAGTGACCTATTATCCTGTTTTAATTAAGTGTTTTAAACCTTTGACATTTTTGACAAGCTTTCCCAAGATCAAATTCTAAATTAAATCTTTTTATTCTTACCTTGTAAAAGAGATATATTAATTAAGTTTATTTGACATGCTAAATTATTAAATATGTGGGAAGCATTGTAAACAAGAAATGATGTTTAACCTTTTTTTTTTTTTTTTTTTTTTTCTGAGACGGAGTCTGGCTCTGTCACCCAGGCTGGAGTGCAGTGGCGCGATCTTGGCTCAGGGCAAGCTCCACCTCCCGGGTTCACGCCATTCTCCTGCCTCAGCCTCTCGAGTAGCTGGGACTACAGGTGCCCACCACCACACCCAGCTAATTTTTTTGTATTTTTAGTAGAGACGGGGTTTCACCTTGTTAGCCAGGATGGTCTCGATCTCCTGACCCCATGATCGGCTTGCCTCGGCCTCCCAAAGTGCTGGGATTACAGGAGTGAGCCACTGCGCCCGGCCTTAACCATTCTTTAAGTTATATTTGTATGGATACAGTATTAGTGTATTCCAAAATTTGTATAAAATTCTTAAATATCTGATATATCTTGGTATAATGTTATCAGTAGTAGTTCTAATTATTGTGTTAAAATGTTCTATGCTATGGAAATAACCAAAGTTCCTTGTCAATTTCTCATTATAATGAACTCTCATCAGACTTTTAACCATGACCCGTCTATGTTTTTGTCATCCATGTAAAGATCCAAATCCAAATTATTGTTTTGATGTTTCTCTAAAAGCTTTTGCAATCAACTACAGTCCAAATTGCTTCTAATGAAATGACTTTGGCAGTCCTCTTGAACTCTGATTGCTGATACCTTTAAGATCATACCGTTGGAGAAAGTAGATATTTTTGGGACTCTGTTGAAGAAACTGATGGGTTCATAAATCTGCTAACCTAGATCAAGCAGAATGAGAATTAATTACATGGGACTGAATGAATTGACGAAAAGGAATGATGGGTTTTTACAGTTTTAATTTAAAATATTTTTGGTTCTCTATTTTAATGTTTTGTTTTCCAGGTTTAAGGAAAATAGTTTTCTTAAGCTATCTATAATTTACACCAATTTGGTAAAGTATAACTTTGTGAACAAAAATTGAAACATAGGCTTCTTTCCCTACCTTATCTCTCCAAAATTTGTGAACTATTTGTGAGTATGATTATGTTTTTGGCAATACAGTCATTTGTGTAAGTTCAATAAGAGCCTGTTCTCTTCACAGCAGCATACAATGGAAAATATTGGTTATATTACCAGGTTTTGACTGGAATGCCAGGCTTAACGTTGCTCAGAAGTTGCTTCTATGAGGACGTCTCCCAGCAGCTGTCAGTGTTTCCAATGAGTCATCGCCAGCCCCTGCAATGAGCCTCTCAGGCTGGTAAGTTTTGTTTCAGAACCGCTTCCTCAAGCTTCTTTTGCCTTTAAAAGCTTCCTCTTGCCCCAGCCTCCCAGGGAATGCCTGTGGTCTGTCATGGCTCACACATCCTGGTTGATAATCCACTGCTGTTCTCCACGGAATGCCTTCATTTTGAGAGCTGCTCGCTGCCTGTTGTGGTTTCAGTTGACGGCCCACCGCTGTGTGCAGAGTTCACCAGCCGCTGTGGTGTGCAGTGCAGCAGCTGACCTGCCTGCCTTGTGGTTTTCTAATCCCATTGAGGGGACGTCTTAGGTGTTCTCACCAAGAATGCACAGCAACAGTGCTGGGTGGGCCACATCCTCCCTCACGTTTGGTGCCACCAGTTTTATAGATTTTGGCTACTGTGGGTGTGTGTGGTGGTTTTTGTTGGTGTTTACGACGCATCTTCCTGGTGCTCGAGTCTGTCGAGCACTTTTTCTTGTGTTTATTTGCCATCATTTGGCGAAGTGTTCAAATCCTTTGACCGTTGTTTCACCAAGTTGTTTTATTATGAAATTTTAGGGGTTACTTATTCTGGATCTCAGCACTTGGATAAATATTTGAGAATATTTTTTGCAGTAAGTGACATCGTTTTATGTGGATGAACAGAAGATTTTAATTTTGATAAAGTCTAATGGATATATGTGATGTTAGTGTAATTTGAATGCATACATATGTATATTTAATGCATTCTTTTATGATGATTGTGCACTTCATATGAAATGCGGCAACCTTGCCTTGCCATCCCGGAGGCCTCTGCTTCTCTGATCTGTGGGTGTCACAGGCACTTCACTTACTCACACCTTATGGCACGGTTTCTTTTGCTCTAAGCCTGCACGTGTGTTTTAAAGGTAATTTCTTCCGTTAGAGAAGTCGCGTAGGCTCACCCTGCTATTTGCCATTTCTGGAGCTCTTTATCTCCTTCTTCATATCTGCATTTCCCTCTGGAATCATTTCCATTCAGCCTGAAGAACTCTTCTGCCTGGGACTCCACCTTCTTTTCTAGCAGCTGGGCTCATTGGGAGCTCTGTCCTCTGGTGGCTCTGGCCAGGGGACGCTGGGTTTTCTCTTAGGGTTTCAGTTGGCCCGTGTGGTGCCAATGTCAACGTGTCTGTAGGCCAGAGCCAGCAATGAGCACCCCCTCGGTCTGGCCCTGAGCTCCAAGGCCCCACTCCCACGGGATCTTGCTGCCAGGACCCCACTCTCTGCATCTTGTCCAGAGTGTCGAGGAGGGCAGGGTCCAGCGGGATCTCTCGGCCCTCCCAGGGCTGAGTCTGTGCTCTGACCTTTCCTGGGAGGCACTCAGGGCCAACAGAGCAACAAGGGGCCTTTCCCTGTGGCTCCCTCCCCTCTGGAGAAAATGGGTCAGACCTGGGTTTCTCCATAGTCACTGTCCCTAAAATGAAGCCGGGCTGCCAGAGGCGGTTGCATCTCCCGGCACCAAGACCCCAGAGTCCCTGTGAGAAAGAGGACCAACGACGATGGAAGCCTTTCTCTAATGTGCGCACAGCCAGGCCGCTCCTCTGAAGGCGCTGAGCCGCCTCTAATCACAGCGCCACACTGGCCACAGGTCGCTGGGTATAGGATGAACCCAGCTGTGAATAGGATGCATTTCCTGGGAGGTTTCTGTGAAGTTACTGAACTGCCAAAAGGTAAGCAGTTTTAATTGATTTGTGAGTCTTCAATTAAGCACAGCAGAATGCTAATTAAATATTCTCTGTTCTTTAAATAGAGAATGCTTTAAATAATTCAGCACAATCTTTGCATAAATCACACCATTCAGCTGAGGTGCCTGTCAGCAGTCAAGTGATTGAGAGCACAAACTGTCCCAAAGACACAGCCCCCTTCCCCCTGGAGACGCGCACAGCCTGCAGAAGAGATGTCACCTGATGCAGCGTTGTGGTTTAAAAACTCATTATGGGAAGCATGAGGCTGGACCCAGGGGACCCTGGAGGTGATGCAGGGGCTTTGGCAGCCTGGAAGCTGTTGGAGGAGGGGCCCTTGGTGGAAGTGGGGACAGTTTGAGCCTCCGGCCTCCAATTCCCTCCCGCTGGCTTCTGGGCCGCACCTCCAGGAATCCAGCTAGACCCGCAGGGCTCTGACTCCAGACTTTATTAAATGTTTCCTCTAACGGTTCTGGCCATTCTGCTGGGCCATTAAAGGCTACCCCAGGGCCTCAGATATGAGCGTGGTGTCTGTATGTGGTCCTTTCATGGAGGGCAGGAAGCATCATAATTACTTTTTTTTTTAACGGTTTTCAATTTGTGTTGACAAAGAGCCTTAGTGAATCTGTTGGAAGAAGAGTGACTTCAAAATGAACCTGACTCCCTGTATGTTAGGAGTCCATATTCTCTGATACAGTTAACGTTTTCCTTCCAACCTCTTCACTGTTCAAGCAAAGTGGTATTTTAGCTATTCACTGTTTGACACTTTAATAGGAGTTTTGATGAGCAATTTCAGGATGTGGAATTGCTACACTGCACCAGGTTCCTGCAGGAGCAGCAGCCTCAGCCTGTGGATGGGACGTGAGATCTTGGTGTTTCTCCTGGAGGAAACGCTGTGCTGCTGTGTTGATGACGGGGCGTGTGTGGGGTTGATGATGGGTGATGGAGTGTGGGGTTGGTGACAGGTGACGGAGTGTGGGGTTGACGACGGGTGATGGAGTGTGGGGATGATGATGGGTGATGGAGTGTGGGGATGATGACGGGTGATGGAGTGTGGGGATGATGATGGGTGATGGAGTGTGGGGATGATGATGGGTGATGGAGTGTGGGGATGATGACGGGTGATGGAGTGTGGGGATGATGATGGGTGATGGAGTGTGGGGATGGTGATGGAGTGTGGGGATGGTGATGGAGTGTGGGGATGATGATGGGTGATGGAGTGTGGGGATGATGATGGAGTGTGGGGATGATGACGGGTGATGGAGTGTGGGGATGATGATGGGTGATGGAGTGTGGGGATGGTGATGGAGTGTGGGGATGGTGATGGAGTGTGGGGATGATGATGGGTGATGGAGTGTGGGGATGATGATGGAGTGTGGGGATGATGACGGGTGATGGAGTGTGGGGTTGACGACGGGGCGTGGGGTTGATGATGGAGTGTGGGGATGATGATGGGTATGGAGTGTGGGGATGATGATGGGTATGGAGTGTGGGGTTGATGACGGGTGATAGAGGAGTGTGGGGATGTGATGGGTGATGGAGTGTGGGGATGATGATGGAATGTGGGATTGATGACGGATGATGGAGTGTGGGGATGATGATGGGTGATGGAGTGTGGGGATGATGATGGAGTGTGGGGTTGATGATGGGTGATGGAGTGTGGGGTTGATGATGGGTGATGGAGTGTGGGGATGATGTTGGGTGATGAAGTGCGGGGATGATGATGGAGTGTGGTGATGATGACAGGTGACGGAGTCTGGGGTTGATGACGGGGCGTGGGGTTGATGATGGAGTGTGGGGATGATGATGGGTATGGAGTGTGGGGATGATGATGGATATGGAGTGTGGGGTTGATGACGGGTGATACAGTGTGGGGATGTGATGGGTGATGGAGTGTGGGGATGATGATGGGTATGGAGTGTGGGATTGATGACGGGTGATGGAGTGTGGGGATGATGATGGGTAATGAAGTGTGGGGATGATGATGGAGTGTGGTGATGATGACAGGTGACGGAGTGTGGGGTTGATGACGGGGCGTGGGGTTGATGATGGAGTGTGGGGATGATGACGGGTGACCGAGTGTGGGGTTGATGACGGGGCGTGGGGTTGATGATGGGGTGTGGGGATGATGACGGGGCATGGGGTTGATGACGGGGCGTGGGGCTGTTGATGGGGTTTGGGGTTGATGACGGGGTGTGTGGTTGATGACGGGGTATGGGGTTGATGATGGGGCGTAGGGTTGATGATGGGGTGTGGGGTTGATGATGGGGCATGGGGTTGATGACGGGGCCTGGGGTTGATGACGGGGTGTGGGGTTGATGACGTGGTGTGGGGTTGATGACGGAGTATGGGGTTGATGATGGGGTGTGGAGTTGATGACGGGGTGTGGGGTTGATGACGGGGCATGTGTGGGGTCGATGATGGGGTGTGGGGTTGATGATGGGGTGTGGGGTTGATGAAGGGGCGTGGGGTTTATGACGGAGCTTGGGGCTGATGATGGGGTGTGGGGCTGATGATGGGGTGTGGGGCTGATGATGGGGCATGGGGTTTATGATGGGGTGTGGGATTAATGACGGAGTGTGGCGTTGATGATGAGGCGTGGGGTTTATGACAGAGCGTGGGGTCAATGACAGGGTGTGGGGTTGATGACGGGGTGTGGGGTTGATGACGGGGCATGGGGTTTATGACAGCTTGTGTCAGACGAAGCCACATCAACTCATTCTGAGCACCCCTTTCCTCAAAACATAAGGATGAGCATGACCAAAATCTCAAGACATTTTTCCTAAGTCCTTAAGACGGATGAACTTCTACAGGTAAGTAGGTAGATTAATAAACAGAGGTAAGGAATGTTGGCATGAAGAAGCTCCCTAGGCTGCTGTGTGGCTGAAGCTCTGACTGGTCATGCTGGTTAAGGATGCGTCTGAGCAAGATCGGTCGCTGACAGGTAGGTGTGTAGAAAATAACCTATATGTGGTGGTCCATTTTCAGTTCTAAGTGCCTTCATATAGGTTTAAGCAGGCTATGTGGAAATAGAGAAATAAAGAAGCAGAAATGTACTGAGTCACCACCCTGCCCTCCTTCCTGCTTTCCCTTTCACCCAGCGGCCACGTGCCTATCAGTAGGAGCCCCCTCAACTACCCTCTCCTCACCCCACCAAAGAATTTAGTTTAGGCTAGCTTGCAACATAAATAATTATACCCTTTCTTATCAGCTACGTGCAGCCACCAGGGCCATAGTCAAATGTTTGAAGAGTCCTGAGACAGTTGCAATGCATGGTGGGCTGCAATAAAATGCAGCAGAAAGATCCTAAAGAACAGACTTGAAATCTTAATCCAACGACCAATAGGTGATGTCCAGGAAGATCGTAACCCCATTTACTCAGTCAATGAGGAACTGGGGGAGGGACCTGCGCACTAGGGGATAAATTGCTTGTTGAAACTCTGCTGGGGGTGGCTGCATGCCAGCCAGACACCCAGTCTTGCAAGACTGTCATTGAAAATCTCCGTTTTGCTGTTCTCCGGGTCTCTGCGTCCAGTCTTTGTGTTTGGACGGGTGAGTTTGTTTCTCACAGGTGCGACTCTGTCTCTATTTGCATCAGGTTCAGTTTCTTCCTGGTTGACCTTGTGGGTGTGAATGTTGTCACAGACCTGCCGGGCCATCTTTCTGCAAGAAGATAAAGGAAGACCAGGAGTGCCTGCCGAACTCCTATGGAGGAAGTCTAGGAGAGGAAGGGGTAGGACCAAGGGCACTGCTGTGGGCTGAAGGTTTGCGTCCCCCCAAATCCTTACGTTGAAATCCTAAACCCCAGTGGGATGGTGTTTGGAGATGGGACCTTTGGGACGTGATTAGGTCATGGGGTGGAGCCCCATGAGGGGATTAGTGCCCTTGTAAGAAGAAACACCAGAACCAGCCTCTTCTCTCTCTACTCACCACCCTTCCTCTCTGCTAAGGACAGGGAGGAAGATGGTGTCTGCAAACCAGGAAGCAGCCTTGCCAGACACAGGATTGGCCACAACCTTGACCCCAGACTTCCAGCCTCCAGAACTGTGAGAAATAAATGTCCATATTGACTAGGGGCACAGGGCATGGGGGAACTGGTTCCAGACCTGCCTCCTGGGAAGTTGGGAGGGGGCATTTCAACCTGTTAATTTCTCAAATTATGTAGTCATTCAAAAAGAAATAGAAACACTTCATTAACTTTGTGATTGCCAAATTATTGATCAATTCTCATAGAAAGTTATAACATTTCCCCTTTTGGTACATTTCTGTTAAAAAGAAGGTTGTCTTTCCAGCCTTATGTTTTGTAGTTTAATTTGCTCACATTCATTATAATCCATTATTTAATACATTTTTCTTCCATTTGATCATATTACTTGCTGATAGGAAGGACTGAGTTCATTTTCAGCGTGTCTGGCTTTTCCATTTCTGTGGCCTGGGAAGGTGGGTGGCTACATCATCATCCATGGTCTCTGAAATATCCTGTGTTACCAAGGCCTGCTTGTTCCACCAAACTGCTCCATAGGCAGTTGTGACACCCAGAAAGATGCTGATATGGTTTGGCTGTGTCCCCACCCAAATCTCATCTTGAATTGTAGTTCCCATAATCCCCAGGTGTCTGGGAGGGGCCCAGTGGGAGGTAATTGAGACATGGGGGCGGGTTTTCCCATGCTGTTCTTGTGATAGTGAATAAGTCCCAAGAGATTCTGATGGTTTTATAAACAGGAATTTCCCTGCACAGGCTCTCTTGCCTGCCACCATGTAAGACCTGCCTCTGCTCCTCCTTCACCTTCCGCCATGATTGTGAGGCCACCCCAGCCATGTGGAACTGTGAGTCCATTAAACCTCTTTTTCTTTATAAATTACTCAGTCTCAGGTATTTCTTCATAGCATTATGAAAATGGACTAATACAGATGCAGCTAGCATGAGGGAACTGTCCTTGCCAACTTGGAGTTGTTCTCAGAAACTGCAGTAACTCAATACTGGGAACAGAAATGCACTACCCTGAGGTCAGGGATTTTAGGATACAGTCCCGAAGCTTCTGTTGCCTTCAATGCCTTCACTGACATGGGATTTAGGGATTCAGAGTCCTGAAGCTTCTGTTGCCCGGGTAAGCCCTCAGTGCCTTCACTGACGTGCACAGAGCTGCTCTTTCTGTGAATGGATGCTATCCCAACCAGGAGGCCTGGAAACTGCGGCTTTGCGATTTTGAATTTATGGAAGGAGTCCTTGGTGACCCTCACAATCTGGAGGCCGAGAGTCCAAGGTCAAGCAGCTGGTTCCTCTGGAGGCTCCATGGAAGAAGCCCTTCCATGCTGGTTTTCTTCCTCTGGTGTTCCTGGCAACCCTTGGTGTTCCTTGCCTGGTGAATGAATCACCCACCTTTGCCTCCATCTGTCCATGGTGTTATCCCTGTGTCTCTGCCCAAATCTCTCTCTCCTTATGAGGACACCGAATGGATGAGCTCATTTCAACTTGATCACATGTGCAAAGACCCTATTTCCAAATGAGGTCACATTTTCAGGTGTGAGGGTTAGAACTTCAACTATCTTTTTGGGGGACACAGCACCATCCACAGCCGTGAGGACATTGGACAAAGCCCAACTTGGACCTGACTCGGGTCAGGGGGGAGGGGCACAGGGAGATTTGCCTTTTTCCTGTTTTGCCATTTTCCACGTAACTCGTATTTGCTACTTTAGAGGAACCATTTATGGAAAACTACAGGATAAAGGATAAACAAATGGTGGAGGAAAGGAAATCTGTTAGCAATCAGAGAGATTGTTAATTTCCTTGATGAGGAGCCAATTGGTTGAAGGGTGCCTGTAATTTACAACTTCAGTCTTGGGAAAAATGTGCACAGTTATTTTTTGGTCTCCATGAAGGAAACGTTTAGACGGGCACTCATGGGGCTGATTACCGATTCAGAGGAACATGCAGGGGGCATCCACCCTCCAGGCGTGGGAAGAGAGAAGCACATGCTTCCGGGAGGCCAAGGCTGAGCCGGGCTTAGGAGTGTCCTCTCCAGGTACTAAGTTAATTTTATGGGAGCTGAAGCCTCGCTGCTTCTCGGAGCCTGGGGAGTTGGGAGCACTGGCCCTGGGCTCTGTGTGGCCTGGAACTGCGACTGCAGCTTGGAATTCTTGGGCTCAGCTATGGCGGCCTGTGCCCTTCTCCAGGCATGGTTTGGGCCGTGTCCCTGGAACAGCAGCTGAGGTCCTGGTGCCAGCCCCATCACAGACGGCAGGGGACCTGAGATAGACATGGCCCCCTCTGCCCAGGCCCCCTTGCTGGAAAGGCAGAGGCACATCTTACCTCCGGGGACCCCACTCTCACCTCGGAGGATGTTTTAGGCCATGCTGTGTGTTGCCATCTTTGGGAAGAACTAGTTTAACGAAGGAGTCATGAATTTGGCGAGGGGCCGCCTCTGCTGACGGTGTTTCCTGAGTCCCTGCCCTTCACTGGGGCACGAGGGCACATGTGCCTCCGTTGCGCACCTGGGTGGGTGGGGCTGGCCGTGACCAGCGGTTCCAGGTGACGCTGCCCTGGGAGAGCTCCTTGGCAGGGCTCTGGGGTGAGCTGGGCAGGGACCCGGGAGGTCAGAGGCCCCTGGGTCTTGGCCAAGCAGCTGGAGAGCTGGTGCTGGGAGTGTGTGCTGAGGGGTAGCACGGGCCGAAGGGCTCCTTCCCACTGGCTCTGTTGGCTCAGCCTCGAATTGTCTGCAGGGACGCCTGCTGGCCACACATCACCATGAGGATGCACTTGACTGAATCTGGAAGAATCCCAGGGCTGTGGAAGATTTTGGAAGATAAAATGCCCCCAAGGAAGCATTAATTAATAAATGAATAAATATGCCCAGGCTTAAACGAATTTCCTGCAACAGCTATTCACTGGGCAGGCCCTGGTAGGGTCCTTGCCTTCCCCACACCTGTTTGAAGTGTAGGTCCTTCTCAGAATAGGCAGAAGGAGCAGGTGGCACTGATGAGATGGAGCAGTCGTCACCCACATTCCCACACCTTACCAGGATGAGGATCTCCAAACTGGGGCAGAGCTGGGCTCCATGAGTGAGCATTGCGTTGAGAAACCACCCTGTGTAAGTACAAAGAGGCTTGTCCCACAGCTCCTGGTCACCAAAAGCTGTCAGCAACTCTCACTGGACCTTGGGTCTTGGGCACGTCCCTCCAGCCTCAGTGCCCCGGGAAGGAATTCACAGAGAGCGGCTTCAACCTCCCAGGGCCATGTAGAGGCCAAACCAGAGCGACTGTGGGTAGAGCGCCTTGCCCAACCTCGGCCCGGCTACAAGGGCATCGCAGGCCAGACCCTTCACTTGGCTCTCCCCATGTGCCCACGTCCTCCGGGAGCTCCGGCTGTCACAGCTGAAGGTAGAAATCTTCTTACGGTCCCCCACACTGTGTCTGCACAAAGTGAGACGCTGACTTCCCAACTCACCCACCTGCTGCGCTGGGTCAAGCTGATAAGAGCAGCCCCTGAAGCCACAGAAAAATCCTAGGCATGCCAGGAAAGTGCGAAGCCCCCGGGGGCCCTGGGATGTGAGCTCTGCGCGTGGAGGTGTGTTGGCTTGGGGTGATCTTTCCAATGGACTTCAGAGCCTCCAGGAGACCAGAGAACAGAGCTCTGGGACGGGGGGCACAGGCGCGATGTGGGGTCAGCTTGTCTCCCCGAGGAGACTCCACAGTCCAGAGCTCTGGCACAGGGGGGCACAGGCGCGGTGTGGGGTCAGCTTGTCTCCCCGAGGAGACTCCACAGTCCAGAGCTCTGGACAGGTGGGCACAGGCACAGTGTGGGGTCACTTGCCCCCCTCACCCTGGGAGACTTCACAGTCCAGGCAGAACTCACCGGAAGGAAACAAACTCAGGTCTGCCAGGGCACATTTTGCACTTGCCATGAGTGTGGTGGTTCTGTTAACATTCCCAGTAAATCCACTGTCCCATCAGGACACAGGAAGGGAGGTTCCTGGGGCAGGGGCCTTGCCAGGGGCATGTGACTTCTGGTGGAGCTCTGGGCCCCGCAGGTCTGGACATGGCTGTATTCTTCATTAGTGCCATCTCTGGGCCATGTTTCTTTAAAGACGTGACGAAGAGTCTCTTTATTTTTATTAATTGAATCATTAATTAGTTTTTGCATAGGGAAGTTGCCAGGTTTTAGTTCTTTTAGAGAATTCTCAGCTTCCCAAATAGGTATTAATGATCAAAGCTCATTTTCAGTCATTGGAGGGGGGGCAAAAGGAGATGTAATTGCTAATTATTTGGAATCATCTGAACTGCAATCACTCGAATGGCAGACGATTTACGCAACAGCCTGGAACCCTGAAGCTTGTTTGGAATTCTTCCAGGTCAAGAGGCTGGGAGGTGCCCTCTGCCTTTCAAGATCAGAGAGTAGCTGATCCCCCTCCTGCCGTCATTTATGGACTGAATAACCACAGAGAGTGTGAGGCCGGCGGAAACTTGGCAGTGCCTGTTTGTCATTGTCAGTTTCAAATACTTTTTAATTTTGAATAGTTGTAGATTTTCAGAAGGGTTATGAAGATTGTGCAGGCAGTTTCTGCAAGCTGCTGCTAATTTCCCTCAGCTTCCACGTCTTCGCTGCCATGGTCCACCTGCAGCAGCCAAGAAAGCCGCGTTGCATCGCCACGAGCTAAACTCCAGCCTTCGGATTTCAGAGCTTCCATCCATGTCCTCTCTCTGCTGTGACCCCACCTGGGGTGCCACGTCGTGTCTGATCCTCCTGTGTCCTCGGCTTCTCTGGTCTGTGACATTTCTGTCTCTCCTTTGCCATGACCCTGGCAGTGTGGAGGAGACTGTTGGGCACCCTGTGGATGCCCCTCAGTCTGGGTTCATCTGTCCTTTTCCTCATGGTTAGCCTGAGGTGGTGGGCTTCCGCAAATAATACCAAGGAGGTGAAATGTTCTTCCCCTCACGGCCTCTCAGGGGCATAGAACATCCTCTTGACTTCACAGGTGGCGTTAACCCGATCGCTTGTGTGAAAATAACGCATCGGGAGGCACTAGGCTGAGGGCTTCAGTACCTCAGAAGCAAACCCAGTTCCTGCACACAGAAACCCCATTCAGGGTAAGGGGTCCTGTCCTAGGAAAGAAAATTCAAGTTTAAACAGAAACTGCCAGCTAACCTCAAAGCAGAGGCCGTGTGACTGCTGTTTCACTTCAATCCATCCTTTTTCTGTTCTTCCTTCCAAGAACACTGATGAAGGTTTTCCTTGTGCTCCTTGGTAGAGCCCAAACTGCTGTAGTTCAGTGCTGCCCAGCTCATGGATTCCTGTCTCCTCAAATAACTCTTTACACTTTCACGTGCCTACGTTTATCTTCTAACACTTGGATCAGGTGGCGTCCGCCAGGTGTCTTCGCTGTAAAGTCACTGTCTTCCCTTCCACCGCTCCACTCTTTGGGATGAGTCACGAAGCCTGTGCTACCTTCAGGGGAGGGCTGGGGAAGAGTTAAACTCCATCTCCTGGAGGGGCTGCTACATATGATCATATGATGTTATTTGGAGTAAGAAAGATTTGCCTCTTCTCCACATTTACTTGTTTATTCAATTATTTATACCAGTATGGGCTCATGATATTTACTGTATATTTTTTATTATAATTCAATCATCCAATATATTATTTCTTTTGTTGTTCAAATTTTTCCATCTTTGGCCATTGGCAGCCCTTTCACGTTGGCATCTGTGTCCATTGGACAATCCCCCATCCTTTTGTTTTTTTGAAAATTTCCTTACTTTTTGATATCATGAGATACTCCAGGCTCATCTTGTCTTCTCTCTGATCCACCCTAGAATCAGCCGTGGTTCCCCTCATTGGAGAATGATATTTAGAAACAGAAACCTGGGTGCTGGGTGTGCTCAGTGGGACGAGGGTGTCACTGCCTCCAGCCCTGTCAGTGAAGAGAGCTGCGTAATGTGCGTGCAGATAATACCCTATGTGTGAACACATACTTCAGATTATCTCTGGATCTGTCCATCCTTATATCGATGCAAAGCTAAACATGAGTTCACACTGATGTCTCTGATTCTCATCTAGTACCACAGGGTTCAGTCTAAACTTCCTCTTATTTACAAATAACCTTCCCCTCCAACACAAGAAGCCTGCCTCCCATGGTTTGCCATCCGTTGACTTATCTGTTCAATCCCAGTGTATGTGAATTGTTAACTTGTACCCCTGTGGGAAATTTACCAACAAAGGAATGATATTAATGTCCTTTTGTCTTTAGCTTTACAATTTCCACTCAAAACATCATATTCTGAAGTTACTCAGGTCAGCTTCCTGTTTCTTTAAGTTCGCCCTCATTACTGTCCGCGCTTTGTGATGTGCAGTCATGTGTTACCACCCCAGTGCCAGAAAGAAGAGCTCCTCGTGTGTCCGCCGATGGCCAAGCACTCCTCTCCCCAGCCCCTGGCAACTGCTAGTCCAAGCTTGTCCAACCCACAGCCCGTGGGCTGCATGCGGCCCAGGATGGCTTTGAATGTGGCCCAACACAAATTCGTAAACTTTCTTAACACCTTATGAGATTTATACATGGACTTTTTTTGCTCAAGAGCTATTGTTAGTGTTAGTATATTTTATGTGTGGCCCAAGGCACAATTCTTCTTCCAGTGTGGCCCAGGGAAGCCAAAAGATTGGACACCCCGGCCCTAGTCTGTTCATTCCTATAGTTTTAATTTTTCCAAAGTATCATATGAATGGAATCATGTGATATGTAGCCCATGAATCATGTATATGGGTTTTTCACTTAGTAGAGCACATTTAAGATTCATCATTGTTGCTATGTGAATCAATAGCTGGTTCCTTTTATCTCTCCGCAGCTCCTACTGCACTGAGAAGCACGTGTTCTCCATTTCCCTGGGGGAGACCATTGTATTGGGCAGTTTGGAACAAAACACCATGGACTGGGAGGCTTACACAACAGAAATTTATTTCTTGCTGTTCTAGAGGCTGGGAAGCTCAAGGTGCTGGCTGCATATTCATTCTGAGGCCTCTTCTGATGTGCAGGCAGCTGCCTTCTGACTTGTGCTCACATTGGAGAGAGGGAGTCAGCTTTGGTGTCTCTTCTTGTAAGGACACTAACCCCATTCACTAGGGCCCCACCCTCATGACCTAATCACCCCCAAAGGTCCTGTCTCCAGACATATCACATGGGGCAGAGCTTCAATGTACCAATTCTGGGGGGTCACAAACCCTCCGTCCATAGCAGACATCTTGGTTGCTCCCAGTTTTTAGAGATTAAGAATAAAACAACTGTAAATATTTACATGCAGGTTTTTGTGTGAACAAGTTTTCATGCCAGCTGGGTAAATAGCTAGGGCTGTGATGGCCAGATCCTGTGGTAAGATTCTGTTCCACATTCTAAGAAACTGCCCAACTGTCTTCCACAGTGGCTGTGCCATTTTGCAGTTCTGACAGCAATTCTGTAGCTCCACAACCTCATCAGCACTGGGTGGTGGTGCTTGAATTTTGCATTTTAGCCATTCTAATTGGTGTGGGTAGTAGTTCTCATTTGGGGTTCAATTTGCTTTTTCCTTTTTTTTTTTTTTTTTTTGGCAGGCTGGACATCTCCTAGAGGGCAATAGATTCTGGTTTTGTTTTTTTTTTTAGACAGAGTCTCATGCTGTCACCCAGGCTGGAGTACAATGGCATGATCTCTGCTCACTGCAACTTCTGCCTCCCAGGCTCAAGCAATTCTCCTGCCTCAGCCTCCCAAATAGCTGGGGTTACAGATGCTCGCCACCATGCCTGGCTAATTTTTGTATTTTTAGTAGGGATGGAGTTTCACCATGCCAGCCAGGCTGGTTTTGAGCTCCTGAACTCAAATGATCCACCCGCCTTAGCCTCCCAAAGTGCTGGGATTACAGGCGTGAGCCACCGCACCTGGCTGAGGGCAATCGATTCTGAATAAATAGGTTGTGAATTGGAGATTTGCATTAACCCTGCCCAGGGCCGGGCTGTGTTTGCTGTAGCTGTGTGTGTGTATAACTTCAGATCCCTCTGTGACCTCCTTTTGTCTCCCTTTGTGGTTTTGGGCTTTCCTTTGCTGTTCCTCGGACAGCCTGTGTCTCTCAGGTCTCTTAGCTGTAATCCAGTTATCCCAGAGCTTGTCAGTTAGAGGGGAGGGAAGGGTTGGGGAGGGGCAGTTCCCTGGTCTCTGTCTTTGGACTTCATGGGGCCTGTGCCCCCATCCTGCCATGGCCTTCACAAGGGTTTCTGTCCTCGCTCCAGAGTGAGGTGCCACCCATCCCCCATCCCCCACCCATCCCCTCCCCATCCCCCACCCCTCCCCTCCCCACCCCATCCCCCATCCCCCATCCCTTCCTCATCCCCTCCCCATCCCCCCATCCCCCACCCATCCCCTCCCCATCCCCCACTCCCAGCCTCGGCAGGGATGCCTCTGTTCCTTGTCTGTGTCCTGGAGTCCAGCATGAAGACCTTTGCTTGTGAATACCCTTCCCTGGGACCAGGACCCTTGGGGAAATGCTTGATCCCACATCTGGAGTAGGAGAAGCACAGGTTGACCTTGGGAGCTGTTGCCCTGTATTGCAGCTGCTGTGTGCATGGGGCATGTAGGCCATGCATGGGTGTGGTGCTTCCATCCAGCTCAAAGTGCGTTGTCTGCTCTTAAGTGTTCTTGGCAACACGTGATCCCCAGTTCAAGGCTGGTGTGTATTAAGTTCTCATTTCTTTGGAGAGACAAAAAAGATGGAAAGCGGCATTGCTTGCTGAGCCCAGGGAATACAAAGGAAAGGCAGGCCGAGGGGGAAACCAGTGTCAACAGTGGAGGTGGCTCTCTGATAACCTCGTGGAGCTGGAGTTTGGAGTGCAAGTACTCAGACGTCCAGAAACCCTCTTTCTCTGTAACTCAGCTATCCATGGACGAAACCAAAGGAATGGCCTACATTTGCAACCCACTCTTGATTTCTCCCTTTTGCAATGCCAGGGAGCTGTGTTGGTCAGCGAAATATCGCATCCTGGGTGGCTTAAACAACAGAAGTGTATTTTCTCAGCACTCTGAAGGGAAGAAGACTGAGATCCGGGTCTCGGCAGGGCTGGGCTCTGTGGAGGCCACTCTCCGTGGCTTGCAGATGGAGCTTCTTTGCTGTGTCCTCACAGCATCGTCCCTCTGTGGGTGTCTGTGTCCTCATCTCCTCTTATATAGGACACCAGGCAGGTTGGATTAGAGCCCACACTGGTCACCTCATTTTAACTTTATCACCCTTTTTAAAAGGTCCTATGTCCCAAAACAGTCACATTCTTTGGGGCTTGGGGTTAGAGCTTCAACACATGAATTCGGGAGGAGCACGACTCTGCCTGTAACACCAGCAATGGATTCGGGCCTGTGGACTTCAGCAGCGCTGCCCTTTGTGTGGAAGTGACGGAGTCAGCCTGCCCCATAGGTTCCTGGGTGTGAGCTTCGGCCGCACACAAAAGGTCTATTTGGCGACTCTGGCCACGCTCTTAGGACAAAGGACATGGATTGACAAGTGGCGGGCACGGACGGAGGTGCAGATGATGTCCACGGACACGACAAGTCCATGAGGCCTGGGAGGGCCCCGGCCACCCTGGCCTCACGTTCCCTGAGTCTCTCCTGTAAGCCCAGCTTCCCACCCTTCAGGGTGTAGATGCCCATGTTAAAATCCAGATTCCAGCCCGGGAGGCCTGAGGTGGGCCTGAGACTCTGCATTTCCAGCAAACACCCAAGTGACGTGCCAGCATCCCTGTTCTCATGCCATCTCTGTGTGCGAAACCCTAACTCACTCGTGGCCGGTGCTCCTACCTCCTTGTCACTCTGCAGAGAATGCAGTGACGTCAAGTTCAATTGAAGGCTCGTGGCCAACATGCTCACGTGGACACCCACAAAGGGGCCACCCAGACTGTGGTATTTTATTGAGGAGCGACTAATATAGCTCCCTGGCGTTATAAATGGGAGAAATCAAGAGTGAGTTGCAAATACAGGCCATTCTTTTGGTTTTGTCCACAGATAGCTGAGTTACAGAGTAACTGTGTAGTCTGTGTGGTGCAGGGGGTGGCAGAGGGGAAGGGGCAGGTGAGGCTTGGCATGAGGGGCTTCTCATTGCAGGCGTCCGAGGGAGTTCAGTGGAGGAGTAAGACCCAGGGAGAGCCCAGCTGGGCTGAGGCTTGTTTTCTGCACATGGGTTGCTCCACCGTGAATAGTTAATGAACTAAGTGTCATTTTCACTAAATCTTTCCTTTGCACCAAACTCACTACCATTCTTCATGGAGTCTTTCTGGGGCTTCTGTTTGCAATGACTCATCTGGGGAGAGGACGGAAGGACAGTCAGTGTCCAGCTTGGTTGGTAGATGGGTAGGTCAGATGGAGATGAGAAAGACCTTTTCCCCTCATCACTCTCACGCAGTTAATCCAGAGCCCCTTAGAGAGGTTTACAACTGGAGCTGCTATTTAAAGGCCTAGATGAGAATGTAATAGTAATAATGATCCTCATTTTTATTCTCAGCTGACAGAGCAAGGGAATGTGTGTGAATGCTAATCCATGCACATACATGTCTATAAATATTCTGCATGGAACCATCTGTGTCTATGTCAAGCTAAACTGGGGTTCATACCAGGGTCTCCAACCATAGCCCATCCCCACTGGGGTCCTTCCAGCTCACTCGGCTTCTGGATGTACGACTCCCACAGGTGGAGGAAGGCCCCCAGAGAAGTCTGCTGAAAATTGTTATTCATGAATGGAGGTTGGACTTCTTCAGATACACTTCCCGAGTCTGTTAACATGGTGATGTGACGTTTGCCCTTCATGTTACTCATAGGGACTATTCTGTTAGCTACCAATTCTGCTGCTTTAAATAAAAACACCATTAAAAAACAAAAAGAAACAAATTGTAATAAAATATT
Organism: Homo sapiens; assembly: GCF_000001405.40. Taxonomy (NCBI): domain Eukaryota; kingdom Metazoa; phylum Chordata; class Mammalia; order Primates; family Hominidae; genus Homo; species Homo sapiens. The sequence continues at coordinate 241,982,624 of NC_000002.12, forward strand.
TGCATACATATAAAATCTGAAAGACATATATCAAAATATAAAGGTCCTTCCTTTACAAATCAATAAATATACCTTTTTAAAAAAACAGACAAGACAGACATTAGACAAAAGGTGATACAAGAATGACCAATAAGCAAATTGAAAGCACTCAGTATCCTCGGCCATCAGGAAATGCACATTCATCATAATGGGATGCTGTGTGACGCACGTTGAAATAACTGGATGTGAAGATCCTGGCCCCACCCTGTGCCGGGAGGGTCTGGAACATCTGGAATATTCACGTCGCCGGCGGGGAGGAGGTGCACAGGCACAGGCACTTTGACCATAGCATGGCAGGTCCCCCACAACTATATGTACACCTGCCCTGTGCCCAGCAAAATGTAAATGTCTTCCACAAATAGTCCTGGACAGGGTCTCTCAAAGGGGCTTTAACTGTAACAGCCCACACCTGGAATTGTCCACAGTCCTGGGCGGGGTCACTCATAGTAACAGCCCACACCTGGAATTGTCCACAGTCCTGGGCGGGGTCGCTCACAGTAACAGCCCACACCTGGAATTGTCCACAGTCCTGGGCGGGGTCACTCACAGTAACAGGCCACACCTGGAATTGTCCAGCATTCCTCAACAGGAAACAGTTAAAGAAAGTGTGTCTAACCACACATGGAAGGCCACTGGGCAATGAAAATGCATGAACTTCTGGCGTCCACAATCTAGTGGATGAATCTCAAAAGATACTTCGAGCAAAAACACCGGACAGAAGCGTCCGTGCCAGCCCCGCAGGCTGCCTGTGTGCCAGGCTATCCCGTGCCATCTGATCCGGGAGAAGCAGGACTTTCTTGCACAGGTACTCAGCGCTGTGGCTGTGGGAGGAGCCGGGAGGGCCCTGGCGTGGGTGGGCTTGGGGAAACTGTAGGAGCTGGAAATATTTCATATCTTATTTGGGGTGTTGTTTACAGGGGAACTTGACAAACTCATCTAATGGTACAATCGAGACATCTGTGTAAATAAAGTGTCAAAAATCATCCTGCTGACATCCATGCTCCCCGCCCCACGGCACTTCCCGGCCCTCAGCCCTCCCGTGCGGCTCCTGCCCCCTGGCCAGGGCATCTCCCAGACCAGCGCTAGGCAGCAGGCACTGTCCTAACCCCAGAGCCTGTGGGCCTGGGGCATCAGTGAGGAGGAGGCTGAGGACTGATGGTTTGCAGGTTGCTCCGGGAGACCAGAAACCTGGTGAGGAGAGGCATTAGGAGGTGAGGTAGGAGGCGTTACGAAGGCCCCCGAAAGCTGCCTGTTTGTTTGGTTTTAGTGGGGAGATAGTTTTCCAGTACAGAATTTCTACCAGAGTGCCCCATACATAAAACATAACAATGACATGAGATGCTTTGGGGCAGCCTTGGGGTGGATGGGACCTGTGTCCCCCTCTGCAGTCCTCACAGGCGCCCCACGTGTGGGTCTCACGCTGAGATGCACCGAGCCAGCTGGAAAATGCCGGGTCAGGGGGCTGCTCAGGGGCGGCTTCTCTTTAGGTAAAGTCAGTGAATCCCGATGGCCAAGTGCGAGGCATCGGGGAGATCGCAGAAAGGGTCGAGGGACTCAGGCCCAAGCCTGGGGTGACAAAATCTTATAAGTGGAATCATAGAGTATGTAAGATGGCGTGTGTGTGTGTGTGTGTGTGAGAGAGAGAGAGACAGAGAGGAGAGAGGGGGTCTTGGTAACCTTTAGGTCACATTTGGCAGTTTAAACATAAACCTGCTTCCAAATTAACTGGCTTTGGAGACGTCTGTGACTCGTGGGCACACCCTGCCCCTGAGTGGAGAATCTCACCATCAGCTTCTCCGGCTGTTGACGCACTGATCGGCACCCACTGACACTGAAAGGATGCCGATTTGTTTCTGAACCGTGAAATGTTGATCTGATTCTGTGTCATGACATTCTGCTGACTTGCTTCTGAATCACGAAGCTTTGCTGGTTTGTTTCGGAATCATGAAGCTTTCTGATTGCCTTGCATGGAGACGTTTTAGCCCTCACGGTATGATCTGTGTGCACTGGCTGTGCCCTCCAACCTGTCCCCCCATGAGAAGGATGCCTCTGTTGTGAGGAGTCCCCTCCCTTCTCCTAAACTTTTCCAGAAAGTCTTCCACCTAGTAGCCGACCCCAGAACATGCTCAGTTCTGTGGGCGTCTTCCCAAGTGGATCCCCATGTTCAGCTTCCAATAAAACTTTATCCAGTCACTTCTGCCTGCACAGCCTTAGTTTCCATCAGAAGTCTACACGTGTGTATGTGTATAGACACACACACACACACGTGCACACGTGCACACACATGCACGTTTTGTGTCTGGCTATTTTCACTTACAATTTTTTTTTTTGTCAGCCTAACAGGTGAATCTGATTTTGATTCTTTAGATGCTGCCTAAGGAAGTTGAAGAAAAAAATTCCTTTTTTTGTAGTAGCTGGATCTGTATCCAAAATTTAACGTATTGTAGCTCTCCTGCTGTGCCAGGCTCAGTTTGTTTTAAAGATTTCCCAGAGGGGACGACTCAGAAAGAGGCTCTGAGGGTGTGGCATCCTCTGCACACTTTGGGTGCCACCAGCTGACGTGTGACTGTGACTTCACGGGTGGTGCCCCGGCCTCATATGCTTCGTGGTTCTCTGTCTCACTCCTGCTCACGGGCGATGCCCTGGCCTCACGTGCCTCGTGGTTCTCTGTCTCACTCCTGCTCACGGGCGGTGCCCCGGCCTCACGTGCCCCGTGGTTCTCTGTCTCTCTCCTGCTCACAGGAAGTGCCCCGGCCTCACGTGCCCCGTGGTTCTCTGTCTCGCTCCTGCTCATGGGCAGTGCCCCGGCCTCACGTGCCCCGTGGTTCTCTGTCTCTCTCCTGCTCACAGGAAGTGCCCCGGCCTCACGTGCCCCGTGGTTCTCTGTCTCTCTCCTGCTCATGGGCAGTGCCCCGGCCTCACGTGCCCCGTGGTTCTCTGTCTCTCTCCTGCTCACAGGCGGTGCCCTGGCCTCACGTGCCCCGTGGTGCTCTGTCTCGCTCCTGCTCATGGGCAGTGCCCCGGCCTCACGTGCCCCGTGGTTCTCTGTCTCTCTCCTGCTCACGGGCGATGCCCTGGCCTCACGTGCCCCGTGGTTCTCTGTCTCTCTGCTGCTCATGGGCAGTGCCCCGGCCTCACGTGCCCCGTGGTTCTCTGTCTCTCTCCTGCTCACAGGCGGTGCCCTGGCCTCACGTGGCCCGTGGTGCTCTGTCTCGCTCCTGCTCACCTGCCGGGCTTTCGTCTCTGCCCAGGGATGAAACCATCATGTGGCTTAATTGATATTTTGTGAAAGCTGCAAATTATGTGTGCAGTCCTGTCAATAATTCCTATTGGCTGACTTTCTCTCTTCTCCAATATTCTACAACCATATGTACAGTCAAAGCTGTCCACCTTTTACATTCATGATTGATGCTCCATAAATATGCTGGCTAGATAAAGCCGCAGCTGTTAGGCAAAGGAAAGAAAGACACATTTATCTGAGACCCAAGGCAGCTGTCAAGCAGTGGGAATGGCCCTGAAGGCCATAAAGAACCCAGAATGACTGACCGGGATCCGGGTGGACAGGAGCGGGGGGGTGGACTCTGACCCCACCCACCCCCACACCTCCTATCCTTGCACTGTTCCGGGGATGAAGTGGATTTTGGGAGCTGGGCATGGGGCACAAACTCTCTCTAACAGCTGTGGTGGAACCAGGGCTCACTGCAAACCCCCTTTCCTGTTGGGACGCCTCATGGGCTGGACCCCATGAGGGCTCTTCAGAAAGGTGAGAACACGCAGTAAGACCTTTCTCCAAAGTTACCAAAGATGACAGCAACCCACGGTTAGCACAATTTTATAAAGACTGAAAACTTGCTGAGCCTGTGTAGTTAATAAGTGGAGACACAAGGCAAAATCCAATGATAAGCAAGTGAAGATCCATCGTTATGCGATGAACAGTATTTCCATGAAGTTCTGCTTAGTGAGAATAGAGATCACATGCTCCCTTCCATTTTTCAAACATTATTTCTTGTTCTTGCGGTCTGGAAGAAAATGACTGAAAGATTACTTTGTTTCTCTTTGATTCACTTTAAAAGATGTGGGAAAGGGAACGCGAGCTGCCCAGCTGCCCGGGAGACCAGGTTACCTTCCTTTACCCCGGAAGGCAGCCTGCCCTGCTACAGCATTGCCTCATGCTCCGATCACCACACACATCAATGGCAGGAGGAGAGGGTCAGGATAACTCGGGACGGACTCCTCCCAGGAGCTCCCTGGGCGAAGGCGGTCCCATCGGGGAAGCGGGATTCCCTCCTCCAGTAGGGAAGAAGCACCCTCAGCAAGGAGACTGCCGAGGCGTGGGGACGCTCTGCTCTGCGTTTGTGGAAACCAGGCACTCGCCTGGCACAGGGTCTCGCACCCCGGTCTCGGTGCAGCCTTGTGTGGTTCTGGTGCTTGGGAGGGCGTGTTCCCCACGTGCCTACTGAGGAGCCGCTCCCTGGCTCAGGGCTCCTCCTCCACCCAACACCAGCATCTCCACATGGTCAGGTGCGGTTTTAAAAGCCGCGTTCTCAAGATATTCTTCACGTATCATGACATGTGCACAGGCAGAGTGCCAATCAAGTCCTTTCAGAGTACTCGGAGATCCAGTCACTGCGTTGGGTGTACTCGGAGATCCAGTTGCTGTGTTGGGTGTACTCGGAGATCCGGTCGATGGCGTTGGGTGTACTCGGAGATCCAGTCGGTGGCGTTGGGTGTACTCGGAGATCCAGTCGGTGGTGTTGGGTGTACTCAGAGATCCAGTTGATGGCATTCATTGTACTCGGAGATCCAGTCGATGGCGTTGGGTGTACTTGGAGATCCAGTCGGTGGCGTTGGGTGTACTTGGAGATCCGGATTGATGCTGAATATAGGGGGTCAGGAAGATGCAGTTCCTGACCGCTGGGTGTGGTCCCCGGAACAGCCAGGCTGCGCTGGGTGCTGAGGCCACTGCTGTCAATGAGGAGAGACCTGCTTTTGCAGGTGGATCAGAGAGTTCTGAACTCCTCTGTCATTTCATTAGGAAACAGGTTTTCAGGCCCTGGGCTGCAGCTCCTGGTGCTGAGAACTTTCCAGAAGGTTGGTGGCTCCTGTTCTACGCCTTGTCAGGGAAGATGTGGGTTCGCCCCAGGTGCTCCAGAAAGGTCGTGTTCTCTATGGAATGAAGACGGGTGGGCATAAGCGTGGGTCCGGGGCCACCCTCTGTCGTCCGCCGGCGTGTTTCTCATCCAGCCACGTCTCGGAAGGTCTGTGACTGCTGAAAACATTCTGTGCATGAACGTTGGGGAAGGAAACCCACCCAGAGGAGGGGCAGGCGCCACCCCAGGCGTCAGAGCACCAAGCCGCAGAGAACGGAGGCAGCAGGTGCCCGGGACACACCGGGGAGACCGCAGGAGCAGCCCGTGTCTTCTGTGGCTCAGTCCCGCGAGAAACTGGAGGCCAGCGCTTCACAGCTCCCATTTGCAGAGACCAGCTCCCGTGAATGAAGCAAACAACCTGATGTTTGCATTTGCAAGAGGAACTATGATTGTGCCAGGGATGGGGTCTTCAGGTTGTGCATGAGAGTCTGGGGTCCATGCGTGGAGAGGGAGTGGTGTCAGAGGGTCAGAGCCCATGGGCGGTTCTGGGACATGGAAGCTGGTGTCGAGTCAGTCGGGGACGTGGCCTCCCCAGCACAGCCAGGGTGAGTGTCCTCTCTCTCTAAGGCGAGGCAGGAGGGGCCTCTTGTTTCTCAGCCCCCGCAGCTCTGGCCACCCCAGGCTTATGGCACACGGTAATGGATATTTCTGAATGTCTCTTTGGCCAAATGAGTCTGGAAAATGATGTGCTAAGGTGCTCTTGGGATTGTTTTCATGGATCCCAGGTTCGTCGTGTGTATAATGTGGCAATCTGCACCGTAAACCCCGAGCTGCGCAGCCTGGCGCGGCGTGCGTCCGTAACGCATTTAACCACCATTTATTGTTGTTATTATCATTTTTATTATTGTCATTATTTGGGTAATAGTAAAGAAGTGTGCTTTATGTGGCTTTTCGTCATTTTTTAAGCCAAGTTGGCGGTTTTTTGTTTTATGCATGTTTCTCTTATTTTTAATTTCTTGAAATGTTCCTCCCTGGGTCCTCGAGGCAGATGATAAAATACATGTTATGCGTTTTTCACATTTCCAAAGAAAGAGTAGGGAAGTCCTGGAAAGATTTGCTAAATGTAGGAGCCAAGGATTTCAGAAAAAGCAATTTCTGTTTTTGCAGAAAGAAATCAGGCATTTCAAGTGAGTTACTATTTATTTAAGTTAATCATTTATTAAGCTATTTTCATATGGTGCCAATGTAATCACTGGACATACATGTTAAGTCTAGGAAAAAACTATCATTTTTATTAATTTAACTAATTAATTATCAGAAATGCTGAATTGTGGCCAAGGTATGTGGCATTAACTCATCAGAATCCCTAAATTTAGGACCAGATGGGGCTGGCGGCAGGACACTGACACTCCCGGGGCGTGGGACCAAGGGCCACAAAAGAGCAGGTCCCCTGAAACCCTGAGAGCTCAGCGGAGGCTGGGCCTTTGTTGAGAAACTGGTTCCCTTCACAGAAGAGCAGCCCTGGACACACCCTTTCCTCTCCACAGGCTCCGCTGCACCCACCTGGTGAACCTGACACCAGCTGGCGCAGAGGGAGGTGAGACCTATGTCCGACTCAGCTCTGCTGCAGTGGAGAAAGTGCCATACCTTGTGACCTAGTTCACCATTTCTCACCTCTGAATTTGTCTAAACTTCCTTCTCCATCTATTCATCTGTCCTTCTCTCCACTCACCTCTCTCTAAACTACCCATCCATCCATCCATCCATCCATCCACCCACCATCCATTCATCCATCCATCCATCATCCACCATCCACCATCCATCCATCCACCATCCATCCATCCATCCATCCATCCATCCATCCATGCATCCATCCATCCATCCACCATCCATCCATCCATCCATCCATCCATCCATCCATGCATCCATCCATCCATCCATCCATCATCCACCATCCACCATCCATCCATCAATCATCCACCATCCACCATCCATCCATCCACCATCCATTATCCATCCATCCATCCACCATCCATTCATCCATCCATCCATCATCCACCATCCACCATCCATCCATCCATCCATCCACCATCCATCCACCCACCATCCATTCATCCATCCATCCATCATCCATGCATCCATCCACCATCCATCCACCATCCATGCATCCATGCATCCATCCATCCATCCATCCACCATCCACCATCCATCCATCCACCATCCATCCATTATCCATCCATCCACCATCCACCATCCATCCATCATCCATCCATCCATCCATCCATGCATCCATCCATCCATCCATCATCCATCCATCCACCCATCCATCCATCATCCACCCATCCATCCATCATCCACCATCCATGCATCCATCCACCATCCATGCATCCATCCACCATCCATGCATCCATCCATCCATCCACCATCCACCATCCATCCACCATCCATGCATCCATCCACCATCCATGCATCCATCCACCACCATCCATCCACCATCCATGCATCCATCCACCATCCATCCCCATCCATCCACCATCCATCCACCATCCATCCATCCATCCATCCATCCATCCATCCACCATCCACCCACCATCCATCCATCCATCCACCATCCATCCATCCATCCATCCATCCACCATCCATCCACCATCCATCTATCCACCATCCATCCATCCACCATCCATCCATCCATGATCCATCCACCATCCATCCACCCATCCATCCATCCATCCATCCACCATCCATCCACCACCATCCACCATCCATCCATCCATCCATCCACCACCATCCACCATCCATCCATCCATCCATCCACCATCCATCCATCCATCCATCCATCCATCCACCATCCATCCATCCACCCATCCATCCATCCATCCATCCATGCATCTGTCACTCTGTTCTTCTACCCACCCATTTAGCCACCCACCTCTGTCCATCTGTCATCCCTGTCCAGCTATTTATACACATCAAGACGTAATCTGGCACTGCTGGGCAAGGTTAGTAAATAAACTCTGAAATGTTTTCCACAGAGGCAACCTTGGCACTCAAGTGACCAGAGTCGCCCTGTATTAGCTTCAGATGCTGTAACAAAATCCCCTAGACTGTGGCTTATCTGACAGGAATTCATCCCTCAGAGTCCGGAGGCTGGAAGGGCCAGGGCTGGCAGGTGCCACGTTTGGTCTCTCTCTGTGGCTTGAGGATGGCCCCCTTCTCCGTGTGTCCTCACATGGCAGGGAGAGAGACAGCTCCGGCCTCTTTCTCATCCTATAATCACCCCACAGAGGCTCCACTCCTAATCCCATCACGTTGGGGTTAGGGCTTCAACACGTGGGTTTTGAGGGGACACATTCCGTTCCCCCTGTATTCAGCATCAATCAGGGGAAGGAAGATGAAGTATGAAATCGCCAAGCTGTAAAACCCTAAAAGGGAAAGTAAACGCTCCTCTGCCAGTGGCTTTGGGCTTTAGTTTGACGTTTTGAAATTCAGACCTAAACCAGGTCTTTGACATTTGATACGGTTTGGATCGTATCCCTGCCCACGTCCCACGTGGACGTGGAATCTCCAGCGTTGAAGGCGGGGCCTGGTGGGAGGTGATTGGATCACGGCCGGCGTTCCCACAAATGGCTTCGCACCGTCGCCTCCGTGACGCCCTCGTGACACTGAGTGAGCAAGTTATTGTGAGACCTGGTCGTTTGAAACTGAGTTGGGGCCCAGCTCAGCGGGCACGACCCTGCTCTGGGCCACGCTTACGCGCTTGTTCCTAACGCAGCCCGTCTCTCCCTCCCGAAGAGCCTGCTTCCCTCACCTTCGCCAGGACTGAAGGTTCCCTGAACTCCCCAGAGGCCGAGCAGAAGCACGAGGCTTCCTGTACAGCCTGCAGAACCGTGAGCCAATTAAACCTCTTTCCTTGATAAATGACCCCTCTCAGGCATTTCTTTATAGCAGGGTGAGAACAAATGAATACACCATTCTAAGTATTAATATAATAACTTGTCCGCTGGTCTCACAAAACCTACCCTTGCTGTATATTAACTTTGTGATAATGCGTATTAATTTATAAGTGCATTTTAAATTCTTTGGCAATTTTTATTTTTATAAATTAGATATGTCCTTAGTTCTTTTTACATTTGATGAAAACATTGAGTCTTCCAATGAGTGTCATAACAAAATAGGTTTTTTAAACTTTGTATACAAATGTTATATACAATATTATAGAGAGATATTTTATAGAATGTGCCCAATGTTGAGAAGTTAAAATATTTTTATTTTGCATTGGGTAGAAAAAAAGGAAATGGGATAGATGCAACCTCTATTAAAAGACATTTCTCTTCCACTTGCAACCGTGATGTGTAACCAGCAGCGCAGGGGTCACGACCTTCCTTCACACATGCAAAGGGTAAGGAAGACCCCGGCCAGCAAGACACTTCTTGAGTGGGGGATTTTTAACATTGCGCTGAAATGGAAATGCCAGCTCTGTAGAAGGCATCATATTTTTAATTTTTAATGTAATGTAATTTATTTTAAAGACAGGATCTTGCTCTGTCACCCAGGCTGGAGTGTAGTGGCACGGTCAGTCACGGCGCACTGCAGCCTGGACCTCCTGGCCTTAGGGTTCCTCCTACCTCAGCCTCCTGAGTAGCTGGGACTCCAAGCACATGCCACCATGCCTGGCATATCATTAAAAAAACCTACACTTTCTTTTATCTGTTTTAAATAATATTTTAATTATGCATTAGATATTTTAGTGTTTTTGTGCGTGGAAGTGGCTTTTGAACATGTACTAGGAATTGCCTAATGGTTTCAAAATGCACATTTTTAAAAGCATCTTTGCTCTTTATCTAAGAAATGCTGGATATCATTTTACAAGGTTAATTATTTGATATATTTGGATTATTATAATAAGTGTTTTAGTTATCCTATGTATACTGAAAACACATTGCTGTAGTATCACGTAGCTGTGTAACAATTACTTAAATGATTTGTGTTGTCCATTTGTATTTGAACTTTTCTGGATGGAAATGTTTATACTCGGCTTACCTGAGATGGAAAACACTTCTGTCTGGGGTTTGAAGAGGGCAGGGTGTTTGGCGCTAGTGACGTTTGCACCCGGGATTCTGGGTCTCCCCAGGACCCGTGGGCGGATTCAGCCTCTCCCAGCCTCCGCCCCTGCTGCCCCAGCTGGGACCAGTTCCCAACTCAAGGCTTAGTCCCAAGCCTGGTTAGCAGAAGGTCAGCTTATTCCCTTGAGTCCCCTAGTGTCAAATGAGAGGCCCTTCCTCCTCTCATCACGGAGATCGAGATTGCGCTCCCTGTACTCGACGGCCAGCCACTGCATGAACCACTGACGGAGCAGCTCAGATGACAGACACCCCCGTCCCCAGCTCCTAAGGTGGCTCAGACCACAGACACCCCGTCCCCAGCTCCTAAGGTGGCTCAGACCACAGACACCCCGTCCCCAGCTCCCGAGGGGGCTGAGATGACAGACACCCCCATCTCCCAGCTCCTGAGGCTGGACATCCAAGGCCAAGACACCCAAGGGCTTGTTCCTTCCAAGGCTGCGAGGGAGGCCTGTGCTTGGCCGTCTTCCCCCGTGTCCTCACCTTGTCTTTCCCTTGTGCGTGTCTTTATGCCCAAATTTCCCCTTTCCATGAAGACCCCATTTGCACTGGATCAGGGTGCACCCTAATGAACTCACTGTAATTTGAACTCTGTGAAGACCCCATCTTCAAACAGTCACAGTCTGAGGTCCAGGAGGTTCAGTCTCCAGCATGTCTTTTTGGAGGGGCCCAGCTCAGCCGGCACGACCCTGCTCTGGGCCACGCTTATGGCGTCTGTCCCTTACGCGGCACCACAGCCACCGCACCGCGACGCCACGCACTGACACATCCCCCTGGGGGCTGGGACTCTGCTGGACATTTCCCAAGTTATCCAATTGGTTTCTGAGTCTCTCAAGGATTCTTGAGAACAATGAATATCTCCTTTCAGGACAGAACTCCTGGCAGCTTCTGCTGGGTCCACTCCTTCACCTGGAGCCGACCCTGCCTGCTGGGCTCTTGGCCACTGGCAGTTGCAGAAGGAGATGGGGTGGGGAGGGGCCCACCATTCTCCTCACATTCTGATTCTTGCTGAGGTGGTGACTAAGGCTTCACTCGGTACCTCTGCGATAGGGGAGAAGGTCACACTCAACTCTGAATAGAGCAAAGGCGGCTGACTTGTGCCGATGAGCACAGTTGGGGGACAGAAAATGACCAGGAGGAGATGTCGAGGCACAGGTTTCTTGTTGAGGGCAGGGCAGCGGGATCAGACAGGAAGAGTGAGGATGGGGAATTTGGTCAGACACCAGGAGTGGAGTGTTCTGGATGAATGGATGTCACAGGATTCTTGCTAAGGCTGGGCAGGCCCAGCAAGCTCAGGGTGGACACAGAAGGTCAAGGTCCAGGCGTGTCGGAGAGGCTCAGAGGAGCCCGAAGGAAGGAAGGCTGGTCCAGGAGGGACCTTTGCCACCACTGAGGTCCTCTGACGCCACCTCATCTGCTCGACCTGACAACATTTCCCCCCGGGGAGGCGGTGGTGCAAGTGTGGAAGTGTCTCCTGGACTGACCGCCCGCCCTCATCATTGGATTCCATCTGCAGGTGCTGAAGGTGCCCTGCACAATGGGAAACGGTTGGAATTGGAACTTTAACCAGAGTGATAACCGTGAGAGTTACCTTGCAAAGTGCCTCCGCCTGTTCCTTTTATTTCAGAGTCGGCTGCTCCCACACTCTGTGTCCAAGACTCTCGGACGTGAGGCTGAGAGCGGGAGTGGCAGAGCCTTCTTTAGCTTCACCTGCAGCTGCCGGCCACGTGCTCTGACACCTCTGAGGCCTACATCTCCAGATCGCACCTTCCATGGGTCCTTGCTTTGTATTTTCCCGCAACTGGACTCATGCCTCCTTTCTCATTCTGCAAACCTGCCAAGGCCATGCAGGCACTCTGGCTCTCAAAACCAGCTGGGATGCCAGGACTGAGGCTCACTCTGAACCACCTGCGTGCCCAGGGCTGGGCAAAGACCTGGTGCAGCCAAACCTCAGAGGAGGAAAGGCAACGTTGTGAGCAAATTAGAAAGGGGTCGGGGGAGAAATTCATACACACATACACATATACATGCATACACACATGTATACACACACATGCACACGCACACACACATACATATATACACACATACATGCATACACACATACACACATACACATATACACACATGCACATGCACATACACACATACACGTATACACACATGTATACACACATACACACATGTACACAATACATACACATACACACAGGCACATTGGTATATACAAGTATACATAGAGCTGATCTCAGTTTACACAAAGCAGTCTTTTCAAATGTTTGCCTTAGAATAAACAATCTTTCTCTAGTATTTTTAAAAAATAAAACCAAAGACACTGACAAGTCTGATGCAAAGAACGAAGCTGCTGCTGATCCGCCTGCTTCTACATGGGCAAGATTGACTCTGGGTAAAAACAAGAGAAAGCAGGGAAAAGTTGAAAATAGGGACAGAGCCAGCCTACAGACACTACCTTCCTATCCTTCCCTTCTCCCCTGCCTGCCTGAGGAGCAAAAAGCCTCGTCTAAGGGAGGCTGGACAGAATCTAAACAGATAAGCCAGCAGTGAAACCGCTTCCCGGGGCACGCACAGCAGGTGCAGTTGCTAGGTCAGCATCCCCTCCTCCCGGCCCACAGCTTTACTGGAGGAGAGCAGCAGGACAAAGCCAGGCTTACCTGGGCCACGCGGGGCCTAAGTTCTGCTGTGTGGGAAGGGTGGGTGCTGGAGAGGAGTCCCTGTGTGCAGGGCATGGGTCTCACCTTGGCTTCTGTCAAAGCTCAGCCTGCACGGCGTTCCCAGGATGCAGCTGGTGATCGCATCCGTCCTAGGAGGACACAGTAACTGGTATCCAGGGCACTCCTAATGTGGCGTCTGATGCCTGGGGGTCTCTATGGTAATCTCGGCTCACTGCAACCTCTGCCTCCCGGGTTCAAGCGATTCTCCTGCCTCAGCCTCCCGAGTGGCTGGGATTACAGGCATGCTCCACCATATCCAGCTAATTTTTCTAGTTTTAGCAGAGACGGGGTTTCACCATGTTGGCCAGGCTGGTCTTGAACTCCTGACCTCAAGTGATCCACCCACCCTGGCCTCCCACAGTGCTGGGATTGCAGGTGTGAGCCACTGCGCCCAGCCCACCAGCCTCCTTCTCAATGTGCTTTGTAAAACTTGCTCACAAGCATTTTTTGAATCTTGTCTAACAATTGACACACTGGTCATAAGCAGAATTTGCTTCTCAGAGGAATTCACACTGTATTTCTTGACAATATTCTTTTGCGGGACCCCCAGGGTTCCCATGGCACAGCTGCGGTGGACACTGTGAGACCTCCGTTGTCCTGGGGAGTGGGTGGTGGCCTTCGTCGCAGGCAGGGCTGGTCAGAGGCGACGCCTGTCCTGGCCTGCTTGTCACAGCCAGGTAGGCACCAGGCCAGAAGCTGCAGAGCCCAGGCAGTATTGCTCACCTGTCCAGCGCGCTGTCCGTATTTATGGGAAGTTTTCATACACGCATGCAATGTGTGATGTTCAAATCAGGGTCGCTGGGATGCCCACCGCTTCAGACATGATTTCTTTGTGTTGGGAACATGACTTTCTCTTCCAGCTCTCTGAAATACACAATAAGTTACTGTGAACTCTACTCACCCTACCATGCTCCTGAAGGCTGCAACGTATTCCTTCTATCTCACCATACGTTTGCACCCATTCACCTGCTCCTGAAGGTTGGAACATATTCCTTCCATCTCACCATACGTTTGCATCCGTTCACCTGCTCCTGAAGGCTGGAACGTATTATTCCTTCCATCTCACTGTACACTTGCGCCTGTTCACTGACCGCTCAGCTTTTTCCTGCTTCTGCCTGTGAGTTTGGAAGCGACAGAGGATACGCTGTTTATGCGTTGGAGCTAACACTAGAATTGCTAATTATTTTTATCATTACATTTTACTTTATTTTGTAACTTACTAGCTAAACTCATTGCTGTGTTAATTTTGTGGTTGCTTTGGGTTTCTGATACACATGGTTAACATACCACAGTCTTCCTCCGAGCAACGCTGTGCCATTTCACGGCAGTGAAAGGCCCGGGAAGGATCCCCTGCCATTGTCTGCCCGCAGCCACAGTGCTATTACCAACGTACGTTTTATTCTATGCGTACTATAAACCCAACGATGCGCTGATACTAAACTTGTTTTAGGAGGTCAAGTATGTTTTAAGTAGATGAAAATAATGAGAAGTATTTTCTGCGAAGCGTGCAGGAGCCATTTCCCATATTCTCTTCCCTTGCTGGAGGGCCAGCTCCTTACCCGGCGCCCTTGACTTCATTCGGTGGATGTCCCCGTAAGTGCGTGCCGCCAACACTGGCCATGGATGTCGTCATCTTTTCTGCTTGTGAAAATGTCTTCGTAGCACCCTCATTTTGGAAAGATAAACCTGCTGAAAAAATGTTCCAATTTGACCGTGTATTCTCTCGTTAGTTAAGACCTCCCACTCTGCCCGTTTGCTGGGTTTCTTGGCTGTTTCTCTCTGCAGTGTGCCCTTTTGCTGGGTCTGCGAAGCAGGAGATTTTGCCATTTCATTAGAATGTTCCCTGACGTGCTTTTCTTCATGTTTCCTGTGCTTGGGGTTGCTGGAGCTTCCTGGATCTGTGTTGATAGTTTTTATGAAATTTTGATGTTTTGGCCAGTTTTTTCCTACACATTTTCTTATTTTTCCCCAAATCCACTCTCCTTTGTGGACATCAACTTTGAGTATATGAGGCTTTGTGAAGCTTGCCACAGCTCACAGGTCCTCTGTCTCCGTTTGAGGGGTCTCTGTGGCCGTCTTCAAGTGAACCGATTTCTTCTTTTGCAATGTTCACTCACCCTCCACCCCACCAGATTTGTTGTGTTTTTATTTCTGACACTGATGTTGTTATCTTCAAACTTTGATTTTGGCCTTTCTGATTTTCCCTGGCTCTATTTAATGCGTCCTCTCTTCCCTCTTCCTTCCTGAACATCCGGAACACGATCCATATGGCTGTTTTAAAGTCTGTATCTTCTATTTCTATTGTCTGTTCTGTTTCTGGGTCAGTTTCCATAGATTGATTGATTCTCCTCTTCTTGGAGTCTATCGACCAGGGGCTCGGGGTGGGTGGCTGTCCAGACACCCTGTGCTCCTCTCCAGAAGGAAGTCTTATGAGACCACTGCTCTCCCAGAGGGCAGAGGAAGCTGCTCAGCTCTCACAGCATCCACAGGACCCCCCAAAACCCCTGCCCAATCCTGGGTCTGAGTCCCTCCTCTGAATACACAAGGCCTGAAGACACAGCGTTCAGAGGAAGGAGCTCAGACCTCCCCGATCAAATGGTATCTTCTTTGAAAGAATATGGCGCCACATTTGGGGTTGTCAACTGCGGCCAGGTCAGTACGTCTTCACTTTGATCAATTGCGGCCAGATCAATACGTCTGCACTCTGATTCCCACGTGTCTATGCCTCCCTGCTCCTCAATGCAGGGCCCTGGATGAAAGGAGTGAGTGCTGAGTTTTGTCTAAATCCAATCCTTGCAAGAGTCACTGAAAGTAGCATTATAAATTGTTTGCAAGAGGCCTTTGACACTGAAAACTTGGCCATGTGACTGTTGTCCAAAAATCCTGCTTTCACATCTATGAGTTGCTTATTTCTAAACTTTTTTGGTGAGAATAAAGTTATCTAATACTCAATGACTCAATGCTGTGTCATTTTTCTTTTATGGCACTTTGCATCAATCAGAGGAAATTTCCTCAGTTTTATTTAACAAGCACTCAGCTTTCATCAAAAATCGCAGCTCTTGAATCACGCTCAACACCCAAACTTAAACTTTACAAATGCGTTAAAAATTATGTAGTATCCTCCATGTGACTGTATCCATAACTGCCTTGAAACTCTTGCACAAAATAATATTATGAGTACTTTTTTTTCAATCAATGAGAATGCTTTCAGATCATTAAATCATATATGAAACGAACAGGCAGAAAGGTGTTAAGAAAGCAAAAGGAACCCTCTTTCTCCAATCTGTCCTGAATATTACAAACAATATTACAAATGATAGCATGTATAAATCTACACTCAGCCATCAGAAATAACGGCTGGTGCACACTCACCACCCGAGTCCTGTTCCTGAGGCTGTGCTGCCTCCTCCTGAGTGACGGGCAGTGCACACTCAGCTCTCAGGGCTTTCTTCCTGGGTTGTCGATGGGAAGCAGCATTCAGGAAGCCAGAGCCCAGTTCATGACACTGGGGTTTGCTCAACATTGCTCAGTGTCTGCTGTTTTCCCCCTGGAGACCTGGGCGGGACATGCCCTGGGAGACACCAGAATCAGGGCTCCCAGGGGTCAGGTCAGCGCTCGGCCCCTGACCTATTCCCTTGTGGACTTTCTGGGCAGGCTGGCGATCTCGGCGTGGTGAGAACACAGCTGCACGGGGTCTGTCCTGCTCTGTGGTCCAGGTGTGGTCCAGGTGAGCCCGCTCGCCAGCTGCAGACAGGATGAGAAGCTCATGAAAGAGGCTTCTGCAGGTGTGGTGGCCACAACGTTCTCTGACTCTGGGAGCTGATCCTAGTCTTGTAGCCGCTGGGCACAGACCCTCGGGCTGGATGTGAAGACCCCAGTCTTCTGCCGCCTTGTTCCGTGGTCCCCCCCGCCGAGTCCCAGATGGTGGATCTTCTTGTGTGCTACCAGAGGGTGGCAGGAGGGGACGCTGAGCCTGCCCCCAGCCCCCTGACTCCGTGTAGTAGCACATCCCGTATGCAGACTTGTGTTAGAATAGTCTATGTTGATAATGTGGTAAATTCTAGACTCAGGATAAATTAACTTAACATCTCTACCAGGGTGTAATGTAATATTGAACACATGTGTAACGTGCTTTAAAGGTGAGTCCACACTCCAGACCCAGCTCTTGTTCTTCCTACACGCTGATTACCTATACATTGTACCTAAATTGGCATATAACCCAAATAAACACCAAAGTATCATCCTTAGATCCATTTTGGGTGGAAAACCTCATAATTATCAGTCTTCTAAAGGCAAGTATTTACGTGCTTGGGCTCATAATTATTATCCTAATTGTGTCATTTTTTTAAGTCAAAAAATGCTAAACACAGAGCATGTAGAATCAGAAATTGCATAGATTTGCCTCAGAGAAAGACGCCCCTTTTTATAACAAACATAAAATATAAGACATCTGAAAAAAGCTGACCCTGAAAAATTATCTTATGGTCACATTTAGTTTCCTTTTTTCTAAAAAACTGTATTTTATGACTGTTTTAATGGAAACATTAAAATTTCTATTACATTATGGAGTAAAAGTGGTAGCTCATGCTAGTGTAATTATATGTAAATTATTCAACCTTTAAAGACAGCAGTGTCTCCTGAGTTTCAAAAAATACAATTTTTTATTTTAGCCTTCTCTCCAATATTAGGAGTATATTTTACTCTACCAAATTAAATAATTTAAGCTTAAAGTTGGATTTCCTTATGTAGCACTTTAAATATAAGAATCTCTTATAAGTCTAGCTACCTTCAAAAACAGTTGTGATAAAACAACTGTTTATGCCTCAGAAACATTTTTGAGATTTATATTCTGCTCCTTATGTTAATATTCCGAGGATTATATTCATCCCATTTTTAGTGGACCTCAAATTCATTTCATGAGAAGTAAAGACGCACTCAGCAGCAAAGTCAGACAGCTTGACATGTCATTAAAAACCTCATTCTCTTCCTGTTTCCCCTTCCACGGTGAATTTCTATGTGATATCTTATCACCTCCAGGGTGGAGAGATGAAATCAGCTTTTTGAATCACTCCTGAGAAAAGAGGTGTGTGAGAAAACACAACTGTGAAATGTCGTACCAGCCCAACCGAGGCACTGACAATCCCCTGGCCACTTCCCTCGGCTGATCGTCTTCTCGTTAATGCTTCTTAGTGAAATGCATTAATAGAATTTTAAAAAGGGTGCTCCATTTACTTTAGACTTGGGAAGAACAAATTCTCATCAACTCTTCTTTACCCAAAATACAAATGGCCGCTTTTTAATCTTCTCAAGGCCTATTTTCCTATTCGTTTAGCTTTTTGGTAAGCCTCATTCCCGAGCTGTGCAATTCATCCTCCTTGGTCTCCCTGCAAAAATTGTAGAAAAGGATGGAAATTTTCTCAGAAACACAACAAAACCTACTGGAGTTTTGAAAGGAGTTGCATTGAGTTACTGGTCAGCTTGAGGTGGACAGACTAAAGTGGAGTCTTTCAATGTAAAAACAGTATAGCTCTCGCGTGTTTAGGATTGACTTAATTTCTGTCAAAAACATCTCACAATTTTCTGTGTAAGGCTCTTACATATCCTGCTTAGATTTTTTCCTACCTATTTATAGTTTTCCAATTTCATTTTCTGTTTGTTTCTGATGTAAAATTGTGTTTTTGTTTCATTACCTTGTATCTAACACACTTACTCAACATATTAATTAATTCTCATAATCTTTCCATAAGTTCCTTGTGGTTTTCTATAAACACAATCATGCCATCTTTGAACAAAATGAGTTTATGTCTCATTGTCTAATATTTTAATTTTACATATGATGTGAGGTTATGATCAAAGTTTCCTTTCAGAATTCAAGTTTTCAACTGTTCCAGTGCAACTTATTAAAAAGATTATTCATTCCCCACTGAATTTCCTTGGGACCTTTGTTCAAAATCCATTGACCATATGTACCTGGGTTTACTTCTGAACTCCTGTCCTGCTCTGGGGACCTCTGTGTCCAGGCCACCCTCCAATGCCATGGGGACCTCTGTGTCCAGGCCACCCTCCAATGCCATGGGGACCTCTGTGTCCAGGCCACCCTCCAAGGCCAGGCTGCCCCAATGACGGTGGTCATAGTTGGTCCATCTGAGCTACACTGGATCTGCTTAAACTGTTCATTTCTTTTATTCTAAGGAGATTCTGCTGATATCTTCCTTCCTCCTGGGTATCTGATTATAATCAATTAAGTGTCAACCATTTTAGTAGAAAAATCGAAGAGGTAATTTTTCTTACTAAAGTGAGATAAGAAGAAAGAAAGAAGTAACATTTGCTCTGTAGGGCATCTGCACATTCTACTAAAACTTTGGGGTAATCTTGGCCCAGTTCCAGAGACTGAGTTGGCTTATGGGGAGCTGTGTTCACGGGGCGGACCAGCCTGGGGTCATGTGGATCTGGGCTCGGCCCCAAGCCCCTCACCAATGCTCAGCCTCTGCGGCTCTACCGTTGGGAAACAGCCCCAGGGGAGGCTTGTCCCTGAGTGAGCACTCCCCACCGGGGCCCTGTTCTACAGCATATTCTGACTCAGCAGCCCCTTCCTTACTATCAGCCCTCTCGCATCTTCAAGGATGTTTTCTTACATCTTTTTCCAGACTTTCGGTTGTTTTCTGTTGGAGGGTGGTATGGGGTTACTTGGTAGAGCAACACTCAAAGCCTTCCTTTTTAAACGAGTACAGACAGGTAGCAGTCAAGATAAAAACCAAAATAAAGAAATCAAAAAAGCCCAGAGGAAACAAATAATCAGAGAATACGGATAATTTCCAAAAAATATAATGACTACCCTCCAAGAGATGATGGGACTATGCATTCATGGAACAAGAACAGATTGCTGAGAATAATTATCCAAGTATTAAGTGTGGGAGCTTGATAAGGCTTGGCTCCGTGTCCGCACAAAATCTCCTGTTGACTCTTAGTCCCCAGCGTTGGAGGTGGGGCCTGGCGGGAGGTGCTTGGATCTCAGGGTGGATTCTCATGAATGAGCTAGCACCATCCCTTGGCACTGTCCTCGAGACAGTGAGTGCGTTCTCATGAGATCTGGTCATTTAAAAGTGTGTGGCAGCTCCCACCTCGCTCTTGCTCCTGCTCTGACCCTGTGAGACGCCTGTTCCTGCTTTGCCTTCCACCATGATTGGAAGCTTCCCGAGGCCTCCCCAGAAGCAGAAGCTGCCATGCTTCCTGTGAAGTCTGCAAAACTGTGAGCCAACTAAACCTCTTTTCTCTATAAATTACCCAGTCTGGGGTATTTCTTTATAGCAATGTGAGACTGGATTCATACAGAGCTCTTCCTGAGAGAAAAAAGAATGCGAAACACAGTGAGTGATCAAAGGATCAGGCAGGAAGTTCTAACATTTGAGAAGGGCCTGGGAAGGCGGAGGTGGCAGACAGCATGGGAGACAGTCAGCAAGAGGGCGGAAGACACGTCCCAGGCCCCGGCAACGGAGGGTCCCAGCGTGAGAGGACTCCCAAGGCTGGAGCTGGGTGAGAGGGGAAGAGAACCCTTTGAGGCATCCTGGTGACTCCTTAGGGGAGGGGACCCTGTGCACTTCCAGAGAGAGAGAGGGGATTTCCCAGCCCTCACACATCTGAGGGCCTGGGGCGAGGGGGTGCTGCCGCAGTGGCACCGTTCCCCTCAGACTCGCTCATCAGGACTTCAGCACTGCCCGTCCATGGGGACGTCTGCACTCACAGTGTCCTCGGCACTGCCCTCCGTGGGGACGTCTGCACACACACTGTCCTCGGCACTGCCCGTCCATGGGGACGTCTGCACTCACAGAATGTCCTCGGCACTGCCCTCCGTAAATGGGGACGTCTGCACTCACAGTGTCCTCGGCACTGCCCTCTGTAAATGGGGACGTCTGCACACACACTGTCCTCGGCACTGCCCTCTGTGGGGACGTCTGCACTCACAGAATGTCCTCGGCACTGCCCGTCCATGGGGACGTCTGCACTCACAGTGTCCTCGGCACTGCCCTCCGTGGGGACGTCTGCACACACACTGTCCTCGGCACTGCCCTCCGTGGGGACGTCTGCACTCACAGTGTCCTCGGCACTGCCCGTCCATGGGGACGTCTGCACTCACAGTGTCCTCGGCACTGCCCTCCGTGGGGACGTCTGCACACACACTGTCCTCGGCACTGCCCTCCGTGGGGACGTCTGCACTCACAGTGTCCTCGGCACTGCCCTCCGTAAATGGGGACGTCTGCACTCACAGAATGTCCTCGGCACTGCCCTCCGTGGGGACGTCTGCACTCACAGTGTCCTCGGCACTGCCCTCCGTGGGGACGTCTGCACTCACAGAATGTCCTCGGCACTGCCCTCCGTGGGGACGTCTGCACTCACGGAATGTCCTCGGCACTGCCCTCCGTGGGGACGTCTGCACTCACAGTGTCCTCGGCACTGCCCTCCGTGGGGACGTCTGCACTCACAGTGTCCTCGGCACTGCCCTCCGTGGGGACGTCTGCACTCACAGAATGTCCTCGGCACTGCCCTCCATGGGGACGTCTGCACTCACAGTGTCCTCGGCACTGCCCTCCGTGGGGACGTCTGCACTCACAGAATGTCCTCGGCACTGCCCTCCGTGGGGACGTCTGCACTCACAGTGTCCTCGGCACTGCCCTCCGTGGGGACGTCTGCACTCACAGTGTCCTCGGCACTGCCCTCCGTGGGGACGTCTGCACTCACAGAATGTCCTCGGCACTGCCCTCCGTGGGGACGTCTGCACTCACAGTGTCCTCGGCACTGCCCTCCGGGACGTCTGCACACAGTGTCTTTGGCCCAGCTCGGGTTAGGAGCACTCGCTCTGGAGGCCTGACTGTGCTTTTGTAAATTTTCACAAACAGTCACTCAATAGGTTTTATTTTTTGTTTCCAATGATTCAATGACCAATTCTGCTAAATTTCACACAGCCGAAACACTTGAGAAAATTGGTAGTAAAGAACATTTGGAATCCCTGAGGATTTTCAGAGTTGAGCGTGTGTGGTGGTTAGCTGTATTCCTCCACTGGGCTGGGCCACGGTGCCCGGGTCTGATGGGACATTACTCTAGAGGCCTCTGGAAGGCGTTGGATGGGTGGGCTGTGAGGAAAGAAGATGAGCCTGCATAGCGTGGGTGGGTCTCCTCCGATCCGTTGAAGGCCTGACTAGAACAGAGATAACACCCTGCACCAGGAAGGAACTCTGCGTCCGACGGCTTCAGACTAGACTGGCAGTGCTGGCTCTTCCCCGGGTCTCCAGCCGAGGGTCCACCCTGCAGACCTTGGACCTGCCGGCTTCCACGGTCACACAAGCCAATTCCCTAAAGATAAATCTCTCTCTGTGTCTCCCTCTTTAACAAAAGGCCACCTTTAACCTTTAACAAAAGGCGACCTGCTGAGAAGTCCTTGTGCTCTGTGCTTTGAACTGGACATCAACAAACAACATGGCACTTAGTGTTTTTAAACTGACCAAGGGACAAGCCTGGAGCAGCCTCTTCCGGGGCCTCGATTAACCAGGAGGAGGTGGCTGCTGTGCCCCAACCCAGGTGACAGATTCGGGTGCCGGCACCTCCCCTGAGTCTCAGAGTCCAGGGAGTCACAATTCTACAGGGACAACAGAAACACACAAAAGTGGGCATAAAATAATCATCGATAGAAGGTTTGTCACTTTGATGTCTCTGTGAACTGATTTAATGTGGTATAGAAAGATGGTCCCGTTACTTTAGAGGTGGTTAGATATCTCTGTATAATGCCTGTATATAATAACTCTTACGTGATATAGAAAGATGGTCCCATTATTTTAGGGGTAGTTAGATATCTCTGTATAACACCTATATATAATAACTCCTATATGATACAGAAAAATGTTCTCATTACTTTAGAGGTAGTTAGATATCTCCATATAATGCCTGTATATAATAACTCTTATGTGATATAGAAAGATGGTCTCATTACTTTGGGAGTAGTTATAAATCTCCCTATAATGCCTGTATATAATACTCATATGTGATATAAAATGATGGTCCCATTACTTTAGGGGTACTTGGAAATCTCTGTATAATGCCGACATATAATTCTCATGTGTGATGTAGAAAGATGGTCCCGTTACTTTAGGGGTAGTTACAGATCTCTGTAGAGCTCCTGTGTGTAATACCCATATACTATGCCTCTGTTGATTCAGATAGATCAATTACTTCATAGAATGAATCTGCGTGTCTATTTTTAGGTGGATGAGTTGCTATGTTTTACCATTACTATTCTTGCTACATTAGTTCAGCTTCTACAGGTAACCAAATGATTTTCATTATCGTATATTTATAATGTCTCATCCAGTTATTTTCTGGAATGAGAGTACAAATAAATGTATTTCTCAAGCTGAAAACATACTTGTTTCTCAGACAAAATCCACTGAGTTTGCACTTGCCATTAGTGAAAAATGCCGTAAAAACCCATACCCCTGCTGAGGCCTCGGAACCTGAGAGGTGTGGCCTGTCTCCTCTAAGCCGTTTATCATCCGTGGTCCACAGACACATCAGAGAGTCTCCAAACGCTTTCCTGATTGCTTCTCCCAAGTACCCCGGACAGGCACTGTTGTTGGCACCAGGGAACACCCCGGGGAACAGAGCAGATCCAACACCAGGCCCAGGAGAGTCGGCTCCCGGTGACGCCTGAGATGTCTGTGGACTCCAGGCAATACTTGTGCAAGAGGCCGTGGGGGCCAATGGGGCATGATAGTGTGACCTTCAAATTACCAGTGTGCACGGCACACGGAAGGAACACACAGTGTGACCACGTGATTGCCTGTGCATACGGGGGGAACACAGAGTGTGACTACGTGATTGCCAGTGCGTACAGGGGGAACACACAGTGTGGCTGCGTGATTGCCAGTGCGTACAGGGGGAACACACAGTGTGGCTGCGTGATTGCCAGTGCGTACAGGGGGAACACACAGTGTGACCGCGTGATTGCCAGTGCGTACGGGGGGAACACACAGTGTGACCGCGTGATTGCCAGTGCGTACGGGGGGAACACACAGTGTGGCTGCGTGATTGCCAGTGCGTACAGGGGGAACACACAGTGTGACCGCGTGATTGCCAGTGCGTACAGGGGGAACACACAGTGTGACCGCGTGATTGCCAGTGCGTACAGGGGGAACACACAGTGTGACCGCGTGATTGCCAGTGCGTACAGGGGGAACACACAGTGTGGCCGCGTGATTGCCAGTGCACACGGGGGGAACACACAGTGTGACCGCGTGATTGCCAGTGCGTACAGGGGGAACACACAGTGTGACCGCGTGATTGCCAGTGCGTACAGGGGGAACACACAGTGTGACCGCGTGATTGCCAGTGCACACGGGGGGAACACACAGTGTGGCTGCGTGATTGCCAGTGCACACGGGGGGAACACACAGTGTGGCCGCGTGATTGCCAGTGCACACGGGGGGAACACACAGTGTGGCTGCGTGATTGCCAGTGCACACGGGGGGAACACACAGTGTGGCCGCGTGATTGCCAGTGCACACGGGGGGAACACACAGTGTGGCTGCGTGATTGCCAGTGCGTACAGGGGGAACACACAGTGTGGCTGCGTGATTGCCAGTGCGTACAGGGGGAACACACAGTGTGACCG
Organism: Homo sapiens; assembly: GCF_000001405.40. NCBI lineage: Eukaryota > Metazoa > Chordata > Mammalia > Primates > Hominidae > Homo > Homo sapiens. Next base: position 242,007,264 of record NC_000002.12, read on the forward strand.
CGTGATTGCCAGTGCACACGGGGGGAACACACAGTGTGGCTGCGTGATTGCCAGTGCGTACAGGGGGAACACACAGTGTGACCGCGTGATTGCCAGTGCGTACAGGGGGAACACACAGTGTGTCCGCGTGATTGCCAGTGCGTACAGGGGGAACACACAGTGTGGCCGCGTGATTGCCAGTGCGTACAGGGGGAACACACAGTGTGGCCGCGTGATTGCCAGTGCGTACAGGGGGAACACACAGTGTGGCCGCGTGATTGCCAGTGCGTACAGGGGGAACACACAGTGTGACCGCGTGATTGCCAGTGTGTACAGGGGGAACACACAGTGTGACCGCGTGATTGCCAGTGCACACGGGGGGAACACACAGTGTGGCTGCGTGATTGCCAGTGCGTACAGGGGGAACACACAGTGTGGCTGCGTGATTGCCAGTGCGTACAGGGGGAACACACAGTGTGACCGCGTGATTGCCAGTGCACACGGGGGGAACACACAGTGTGGCTGCGTGATTGCCAGTGCGTACAGGGGGAACACACAGTGTGACCGCGTGATTGCCAGTGCGTACAGGGGGAACACACAGTGTGACCGCGTGATTGCCAGTGCGTACGGGGGGAACACACAGTGTGACCGCGTGATTGCCAGTGCGTACAGGGGGAACACACAGTGTGGCCGCGTGATTGCCAGTGCGTACAGGGGGAACACACAGTGTGACCGCGTGATTGCCAGTGCGTACGGGGGGAACACACAGTGTGACCGCGTGATTGCCAGTGCGTACAGGGGGAACACACAGTGTGGCCGCGTGATTGCCAGTGCATACAGGGGGAACACACAGTGTGACCGCGTGATTGCCAGCTCGTACGGGGGGAACACACAGTGTGACCGCGTGATTGCCAGTGCGTACAGGGGGAACACACAGTGTGACCGCGTGATTGCCAGTGCGTACAGGGGGAACACACAGTGTGGCTGCGTGATTGCCAGTGCGTACAGGGGGAACACACAGTGTGACCGCGTGATTGCCAGTGCGTACAGGGGGAACACACAGTGTGACCGCGTGATTGCCAGTGCGTACAGGGGGAACACACAGTGTGACCGCGTGATTGCCAGTGCGTACAGGGGGAACACACAGTGTGGCTGCGTGATTGCCAGTGCACACGGGGGGAACACACAGTGTGGCCGCGTGATTGCCAGTGCACACGGGGGGAACACACAGTGTGGCTGCGTGATTGCCAGTGCGTACAGGGGGAACACACAGTGTGGCTGCGTGATTGCCAGTGCGTACAGGGGGAACACACAGTGTGACCGCGTGATTGCCAGTGCACACGGGGGGAACACACAGTGTGGCTGCGTGATTGCCAGTGCGTACAGGGGGAACACACAGTGTGACCGCGTGATTGCCAGTGCGTACAGGGGGAACACACAGTGTGACCGCGTGATTGCCAGTGCGTACAGGGGGAACACACAGTGTGGCCGCGTGATTGCCAGTGCGTACAGGGGGAACACACAGTGTGGCCGCGTGATTGCCAGTGCGTACAGGGGGAACACACAGTGTGGCCGCGTGATTGCCAGTGCGTACAGGGGGAACACACAGTGTGACCGCGTGATTGCCAGTGTGTACAGGGGGAACACACAGTGTGACCGCGTGATTGCCAGTGCACACGGGGGGAACACACAGTGTGGCTGCGTGATTGCCAGTGCGTACAGGGGGAACACACAGTGTGGCTGCGTGATTGCCAGTGCGTACAGGGGGAACACACAGTGTGACCGCGTGATTGCCAGTGCATACAGGGGGAACACACAGTGTGGCCGCGTGATTGCCAATGCACACGGGGGGAACACACAGTGTGGCCGCGTGATTGCCAGTGTGTACAGGGGGAACACACAGTGTGACCGCGTGATTGCCAGTGCGTACAGGGGGAACACACAGTGTGGCCGCGTGATTGCCAGTGCACACGGGGGGAACACACAGTGTGGCCGCGTGATTGCCAATGCACACGGGGGGAACACACAGTGTGACCGCGTGATTGCCAGTGCGTACAGGGGGAACACACAGTGTGGCTGCGTGATTGCCAGTGCACACGGGGGGAACACACAGTGTGGCTGCGTGATTGCCAGTGCCACACGGGGGGAACACACAGTGTGGTTGCGTGATTGCCAGTGCACACGGGGGGAACACACAGTGTGGCCGCGTGATTGCCAGTGCACACGGGGGGAACACACAGTGTGGCTGCGTGATTGCCAGTGCGTACAGGGGGAACACACAGTGTGGCTGCGTGATTGCCAGTGCGTACAGGGGGAACACACAGTGTGACCGCGTGATTGCCAGTGCACACGGGGGGAACACACAGTGTGGCTGCGTGATTGCCAGTGCGTACAGGGGGAACACACAGTGTGACCGCGTGATTGCCAGTGCGTACAGGGGGAACACACAGTGTGACCGCGTGATTGCCAGTGCGTACAGGGGGAACACACAGTGTGGCCGCGTGATTGCCAGTGCGTACAGGGGGAACACACAGTGTGGCCGCGTGATTGCCAGTGCGTACAGGGGGAACACACAGTGTGGCCGCGTGATTGCCAGTGCGTACAGGGGGAACACACAGTGTGGCCGCGTGATTGCCAGTGCACACGGGGGGAACACACAGTGTGACCGCGTGATTGCCAGTGCGTACAGGGGGAACACACAGTGTGGCCGCGTGATTGCCAGTGCACACGGGGGGAACACACAGTGTGGCCGCGTGATTGCCAGTGCACACGGGGGGAACACACAGTGTGGCTGCGTGATTGCCAATGCACACGGGGGGAACACACAGTGTGGCTGCGTGATTGCCAGTGCGTACAGGGGGAACACACAGTGTGACCGCGTGATTGCCAGTGCGTACAGGGGGAACACACAGTGTGGCTGCGTGATTGCCAGTGCATACGGGGGGAACACAGAGTGTGACCGCGTGATTGCCAGTGCGTACAGGGGGAACACACAGTGTGACCGCGTGATTGCCAGTGCATACAGGGGGAACACACAGTGTGACCGCGTGATTGCCAGTGCGTACAGGGGGAACACACAGTGTGGCTGCGTGATTGCCAGTGCATACGGGGGGAACACAGAGTGTGACCGCGTGATTGCCAGTGCGTACAGGGGGAACACACAGTGTGGCTGCGTGATTGCCAGTGCGTACAGGGGGAACACACAGTGTGGCTGCGTGATTGCCAGTGTGTACAGGGGGAACACACAGTGTGACCGCGTGATTGCCAGTGCGTACAGGGGGAACACACAGTGTGGCTGCGTGATTGCCAGTGCATACGGGGGGAACACAGAGTGTGACCGCGTGATTGCCAGTGCGTACAGGGGGAACACACAGTGTGACCGCGTGATTGCCAGTGCACACGGGGGGAACACACAACTGCGCTTTGGGAAGGACCGACTGGTCGAGGGGAGGAACCATGAATGGTCATTTAAAACCATTTTAAACCTTTTTATTAAACAAAAAAAGCAGAAATCACAAAAAAAGGAAAAGCAAAAGTCAAAGTTATACAACACAAAGTTGAAGTTTTCAAAACCTGAAAATGGAGTGTGTGTATTGAAGGGAGTTTCATATCTTTCATAAATGATCACTAATGCAGAAAATTTCACCTTCAATTACTATCAGTGTATTCATCAGGCGTTTTGGAATTCGGTTTATCTTAAATGCCTTCTATGTTTGTAGGTTTTTTTCTTTGAATTAGAACATTTTAAGGTATGTATACCTGTATGAAAATAGACGCATGACAAACACGTCATAAATAGAAGATGTCTTCACTCTAAAGATGCACACAGGTTTTTAAGTTACTATAAGTTTTTACTAGTTACCTACTCAGGTAGCAAGTTAATAGGACCACAATCAAGATTGTCTACTTTTGAAAATATCAACCAGGTAGACAATTATGGGACAAAATGACGTCCCCAAAGGACGTGGGGCTGTGGTGTGGTGAGACTCGTCGGAGACGCTGGACACCAGTGCTGATGCCAATGGAAAGAAAGGGCGTGGGGGGCTGTGGGTTTCCTCATGTTATGACCACGGTTTCCTGGGGGTGCAGCGCGTTCTCTGATGCTCTGACCACGGGTTCCTACATGGGGTGTGTTTTCTTCATCATCGTGGGCCCTGTGTTTTAAGTTCTATAACCAACATTTCCATGGAGTCTCTTTCATACTCAAAACCCATGTTTACATTTGTAAAAGAAAAGTTACAGTTATCTATTTAAACCTTCCAGTGGATAATAATGAAACTCTTTAAAACACAAGCCACTAGGCAGAAAGTCCACACCGAGGTGCTGGGGTCGCCTCAGAAGCTGACAATGCCAGGAGCTCCGTCCAGCCCAGCAAACTGAGGCAGGAGGCTGGGTTTCAGGTCCTGACCGGCTCAGAGAGAGGGCGGCTTCCAGTCTGGGTTCGTTTCTCGCTGAGAATGTACTGTGGATGCAAGGTTGGTACGGGGTGAACAGATGCTTAATTCACTGGGGCCCCTTCCCTGGGCAGGAGGCCCACGAGGCTGAGGAAGTCAATGAATAAGGACAACCACCTAGCGAACAAAACCCAGCCAGAACCAAAGCAAATGAAAGCAGCCTTCCGTGTCGCTGGTGCTCTAGTGGGTGGAAATTACTAGCAGCTTCTTGCATATGGTTGACTTTTGTGCTTAATATCTGGTGTTTTCTACTTTTGGGATTTTGTCCTTGGATGCCATGCAGAGGTCGTGCTGGAGTGGATAATCCCAGCTCCACGCCCGTGCCCCACATCGAGGTGACTTTGGGTGTGAACGAGGCAATGGAATGCTAGACTGACGTCTTCATGCTGCTGACCAACAGCTTCCCAGCGATGGCAATGGTGGGACAGGGGTCATTCCGTGGAGAGTCGGGGCGGGTGCTGTGTTTTCAGAGGTCACAGCCGCCACCGCCCTGCTCCGAGCTCCAGGTTTGGGATGGTGTCACCGAAGAGAACTCGGCCTCTGCGAAGGGCTGTGCGGGGAGATGCGGTGGAGAGGAAGAGCCGCCGGGGTGTTGAGAAACGATGATTTCAAAAACTTCTGCTGAAAGTGAGGAATGCATAAGAAGTGGGTGGTTTTCAGTTCTGCTCTTCATGGCTCCCACACTGCTGGTTACGGCCCATTTCCATCTTTCTTTTTTATTTGTTTATTTATTTTTTTGAGACGGAGTCTCGCACTGTCGCCCAGGCTGGAGGGCAGGGGCGCGATCTCAGCTCACTGCAAGCTCGGCCTCCCGGGTTCAAGCCATTCTCCCGCCTCAGCCTCCCCAGTAGCCAGGGTTACAGGTGCCCGCCACCACGCCCGGCTAAGTTTTTGTATTTTTAGTAGAAACGGGGTTTCACCGTGTTAGCCGGGATGGACTTGATCCCTGACCTCGTGATCCGCCCGCCTCAGCCTCCCAAAGTGCTGAGATTAATAGGCATGAGCCACTGCGCCCGGCCCTTCCATTTCCATGTTTCTTACACTGAGCCCTTGGTGAAATATTTTTCATTTACGTAGCTTTCTCATCTAAATCATTCCAACTCTCCTGCCAACATTGCATTAGCGTGACCTTCCTCTTCTGAGATCGTCATGGAGCAGTAGAACCTTTTCTACCTAATTTTAACCTCAGAATCGCAGTGTTGGGGGGAGTTTTGGGGGGAGTGAAAAGCCGTCTTAGCCTCAGTCAGGCTCTGCTTCTAACACGTCTACAACATTCCCGTCAGTAGTTGGACTAAGATTGATTAAAGCAAAACAAACAGAACACCGTTTTGAAACAGGGATGACGGCTGCATGTCGGGGGAGCCTCCCTCACCGCCTCGGGCTGGGCCACGCAGACCCCGGCCAGGACTGCCCGACCTGGTCCCCGGGGCGATGGATGGAGAGAGGACTCTACACTGCTAGGTGAGTAGATCTCAGAGGCTCCACAGAGAAGGGGGAGCCGCGGCCTGTGCAGCGAGTGGAGTCTCAGGGATCCCGCCTGGAGCCTGCGGTGGGGTCGGGCAGGCCTGGGGGGTCTTCGTGGCCCAGCCCGAGGTGGCCGGGGAGGCTCTCCAGGGATGCAGCCATCGTCCCTGTTGCAGTGCAGTTTTCTGTTTGTTTTGATCAAATCCTGGACCAGCAACCGACAGGAGAGCATCTGGGGGTGCGCGTGGGACGTGCCTAGCCCCTGCCAGCCCGGGCAGACTCCGCACATCTGCAGGACACACTGCGTGTCGTTACAGGCAGCTGCAGGCCTCTCTGGGGGGCGTGGGGTGCCCTGCACCCCTCCATCCTTCTGCGGGGCTCCCCTCCTTCCATGCCCTGGGCTTCATGCCCCGTCAGGGGACACCCATGGGTCCCACCCAGAGCTCCGCCTTTCGCATCCCCAGAGACGGCTAGTGTCTTGCTCCTCTCGAACCCAGCAGTGCTGCGTCCTGCCTTCCAGCCCGCATGGAGCGGATGAGCTGAGACAAGGGGCCGGATGCGAATCACAGCTGAAAAGACCGCTCCGGCCTGGTGGGCAGGATGTCTGCACTTTCACAAGACTTTTCAGCCACCTTGAAAAGGGATCCTGAGAATATTAGATCCTATTGCAGGGTTACGGGTGGGAAATTGTTTTAGGAACTCCCGATTCCCTGATTCTCAGAAAGTCAAGCTGAACCTCCTGCCGACAGGAAAGTTTGTGCGCAGCTGAGCTTGGCGAGGCTGCCAGGCCCCGCGTTCCAGAGAGAGGCAGGTCAGGGCCTGGCTGCCCTGCAGCTGCCCCAGAAAATCCGCAATGGAAATTTGCCTCTCAGTACTGAGGACATTGCTCTCACATGCGGTGAGTTTGTTTTCTGAAGAATCCATCCACTTTATCTGAGTGTTGAGTTCATGTGTGTGGAGTTGTCATGTTATTCCCTGTTTATCCTTTAGTGCCTGCAGTGTCTGCAGCAATGACCCATCTTTCTTTTCCAATGTTGGTAAACTGTGTCTCCCTCCCCTCCTTTTTTTATTCAATGGTAGTGTTAGAAGTTCATCAATTTTATTCAAATTTATTCAAAGAATTGGGTTTGGTGTCATTCATTTCTCTATTGTATTTTAAAATAATTTTGTTGTTTTTGATCTTACCTTTATTATTTCCCTACTCCTGCTTGGTTTTGATTCTTTTTGGTTTCCTTTTTCTACCTTTTAAAAAGTGGAAACCTACATTATTGAGAACTTTCTATCTTTTTAGTATAATCTCTATTAATAGAACAGTGTTACCATTCCTGACTGTGGACTTTTGTCCATTTCTATTTTGGGTTTTTAAAATTTTTGTTTCAAGTGTTTTAGAGTTCTGGCACTTGGTGAATTCACGTGTAGGACTGTTGTTTTCTTGACCCTTTTGTCATTATTTATTTCTTCTCTTTATCCCTGGTGATTTTGTTTGCTGCAAAGCCTACTTTGCCTGATACTAACGTGGCTTATCCTGCTGTCTTCGATGAGGGTTTGCATGGTGTTTGCTTCACTTTTCATCTTTTGATTTTCATTCTATCTCTATCATTCTATTTGGGGTGATTTAATTTTACACAGTGCATCGCTGTCCAGGAAATAAAATGTACATCGTTAACTTTTCACACTTTGCCTGGAACCCATATTTGCTAGTTGGAATTTGTGAATCCATCTTCATGTAGGTCTCCTTCACCTGCCCCTCCGGTGACAGGAGAGTTATGAGCTAGGTCTGCTCACTGAGTCTCCACGAGAAAATATTCTCATTTAAAACATTCCTTTCTCATGTTTTTCTCTGTTGTTAAGATTGGATAATTTCCATTTAGCTATATTCAAATCCACAGACTCTTTGTTCCATTCTGATATTTCTTTACCTTCTGCTGTAAGTCCCATCCAGTGAGGATCTTTCTTTTAATATTGCCCCTCCATTCTAAGATGTCCATTTGTTTTGTATTTACATCTTCTAGTTCCTTCGTGAGATTTTCTCTGTTCCCATTGGATTCAAGAGTGTTTGTGACTATGGGCGGAGTGATTTTCATGTTTCTGTCAGCAGATCACACAGCTCAGTCATCTTAGCATGGGCATGGGCTGGCTGGCTCCTGTGTGAGTTATTTTCCTGGTTCTTCATATCCTAGTAAGGTTGAATTGCATTCTGGACACCATGAATATTATGTTAGGAGACTCTGCATCTTATTTCATTCCAGTGAAGAATGTTGATTTAGTGTTTGTTTTAGTGAGCATTAACCTGATTAAATTCAGGCTGCAAGTTTCAATAACATTTTGTGGTCTAGGCTTCCACAGCCAGTTCCTTTCTGAAAGCCTTCAGTACTGTTTGCAACTGCCCTGAGTGTGCACCGCCAGGGTCTAGGCTGAGGTCTGTTCATGAGCTCAAATACATGTGAGCAACTCAGGGCAGCCCAGGAGGCCACACGCCACTTACCAAGACTCTCCCTCTCTCGAATCTCCCTCAAATGTCCTCTCTCCCTGGGACCCCTCATTTTTGTTCTTGAGCTAGAAAGCCGGGGATTTAGTTACCTCCTGAGCTGTGCACTCCCACAGCTGAGCCAGGCCTGGGCCAAGTGCTGGGCAGACGGAGGGAGAAAGAAGCAGTGGGTCTGGCCCCATCTTGCTGGAGCCCCACATGGAGAGGAGGTTCCCCTGTGGGGCTGGGTCCTGCCCTCTGCCATTGTTGGCACAGTTGCTGCCACAGACCCAGGTGATTGCCGAGGGCAGGGGGCAGAGGGAAGGGTGTGGGGAGGGTGGGGTGTCTGCCCTTCCCCTTAAGTCCTCTCTCTGTGGCCCCAAGCTCAGACTGTGTGGTCCTTCCTGGAGTGTCCTGCACGTGGCCCCTGAGCGCTTTTGGACCCTGCTGCCTCAATGCGGGCAGGGGATGCAGGAGGGAGGCAGGAGGGGACGCAGGTGCACCCTCTGCCTGGTCACTGCTTCTTGTGTTCTGCACCATTGTTCTTTCCGGAGTCTGTGGTCAGGGACTACCTGGGAGAAGCAGGTGGCATGTCTCCCCTCCTCAACCAGGAATAGAAGCTCCCTGAGCAGGGCCTTCGCAGTGAGGACTCCATAGGGCTCTGGCCGCAGACCTGCCTCAGCTTGCTTGTATGTTCGGTCCTAATGCTCAGGAACGAAACTCGCTTGGATATTTATGCAAACTTTTGTCCCTAGAGTCGTGCAGCTTCAACCACTGCGTACTTTTCATGGAGTCCTTGTTCACATGCATTAGTTTCCTTTTCTAATATTTATACTTTCATGGTACATTAAAATTTGTTCTGTAATGTTTCTATCCCCTAAAAATGTCTTTAAAAAATGAAATTAGATACATATAAAATACCGACGCTTCTTCAGTTATGTCTTAGCCCGTCCGCGTGATCACGAGCTGGGATGGGTCAGCTCATGCGGTGCTGAGGAACCACATGGCTTAAGAGTTGTGACGATCTTCAGGACTTTGTTATGTGGAAGATGGTTTCTGTTTCTACTTTGAATATGAATGTACATTGGTAGGAACAGGACGGGAATGCCACCTCGTGGCATGTCACTATGTGTTAAGAATTCTAAGATGTATGGTCCCGTGAAGAACTTCCAAAGGGATGGCTCACTGACTGACGGTTCCTGACCGCGTTTCACTGCTTCAGGGATGGTTCTGCTGCATTGGTCTTTCCTCGTGGATGATGGCCAGGATTTCACCCCAGTGCAACGTACTGAAGCCCCACTCCTCTGACTTCAGAGCTGTCCAGGGTCCAGCCAATGAGGCAGCTGCCAAGAGGTACCACATACAGGTTGAAAGCACCTTTTTTCAAGGAACTTACAGGACAGCTCCGGGAACTGAGGCCTACACAACAATGGAGAATTCAGGCTTTGTTTCACTTTCTTAAAAAAGAAGTCCAATTAGATGTATGAGTATGACCATGACCATGCATAAATATAACTAATTTCTGAAAGTGCTGCATACGTGAGTGCTGGTTCTCGGGTGCCAGTACAACGCCACGTGTGTGAGGCTGTCAACACTAGGAAGAAGAAAGACACTCCCAAAATACAAGTCAGAACAGGGGCAAGCGCTGGAGGAGACCAGTGAAAGGCCACCCGCCACCCCCAGAGCCTGGTAGAAAGCAGCTCGCCCAGGAGGGGTGGCCGGGTTCTGTGCCAGCTTCCCGGGGCTACTTAACAGTGCTCCAGAGACTGGGGCTTCAACAACAGAAACCTATTGTCTCACAGTTCTGGAGGCCAGAAGTCTCTGAGATCAAGGTTAGCCGGAGGTGGTGGCAGGTGCCTGTAGTTCCAGGTACTCAGGAGGCTGAGGCAGGAGAATCGCTTGAACCTGGGAGGTGGTGGAGGTTGCAGTGAGCCGAGATCACACCACTGCACTCCAGCCTGGGCAACAGAGTGAGAATCCGTCCACAAAAAAAAAAAAAAAAAAAAAAAAAAAGGAGGTTCCAAGTACTATGAAGAAAAATAAAGCAGACTGGACTTGGTGGCTTATGCCTGTCATCCCAACACTTTGGGAGGCTGAGGTGGGAGGATTGCTTGAGACCAGCCAGGGCAACGTGGCAAAATCCTGTCTCCAAAAAAAAAAAAAAAAGTTTAGCTGGGTGTGGTGGCATGTGCCTGTAGTCCCAGCCACTGGGGAGGCTGAGGAGGAAGGATTGCTGGATCCCAGAAGGTGAAGGTTGAAGTGAGCCAAGATTACACCATTGCACTCCAGCCTGGGTGACAGAGCCAGACCCTGTCTCAGAAAAAAAAGAAAGAGAAGAAAAAAAAGAAGAAAGAAAGAAAAAAGAAAGAAAGAAAGAAAGAAAGAGAAAGCAAGCAAGCAGAGATGGGGGCATGCAGGGGAGGTGCTGGGGACGCAGGGGAGGGGCTGGGGACGCAGGGGAGGGGCTGGGGACGCAGGGGAGGGGCTGGGGATGCAAGCTTCCCTGAGCTTCCACAGTTCTCTGCTCCTCTCCTGTCTCATGGGGCGTGGGACACCTGGGGCTTGCGGTTGTTTTGCGCCAAGCTAATATCTTGTTCTTCCCAACAGACGGAGGCCGATTGAGGCTTCTCTGTCCTCCACGGGGACCAGCATTGGCCTAAACCTGCAGACACCATTGCAAAGTCAGCTCAGGTGAACCCACTGGCAAAGGATTCCAGCGTGGAGACACAGAGGTTGACATTTCTTGCCGTGGGTGATTTAATGTTGGGCCTCAATTTTTCACTTCCCCCGCAAGAGTATGACACAGCCCCAGCCTTCCTAGGGCCCGAGGGAGGGTGGATGGACTTATCCATCCCATAGGTGCTGCTCGAGACTGGGTGACTTGCTTCTGCCAATGAGATTTTCACAGACATGGCACAAGCAGAAGCCTGGAATGTGTGGGCACTGCCAGGCCTGCCCTCTAAGGCTCTTGATTTTCCCCACGAGATGTGCGAGCCCCAGGGGAGGGTGGCTCTGGCTGTGGGATGAGAGGCGTGTGGAGCAGGCATGGTTCCCATCCTCAGCCTGGAGTCAAGGCCAGACTAGATCAGCCTGAGCCCAGCCACGCCACGGGTGCAGGAGTGAAGAGCAAATGCCAACGGTCCATGACAGTGACTTTCAAAGGGGCATGTCGTGTGCCTCATCCCAGCAACAGGGAAGGCATTTCTCTATCAGTCAGTTGGTAAATGATTATTGACAATGTGTGGGAAGGTGGAGTGATTTGAGTAGATCTGGCCTCTACTCTCATGGAGCTTCCTTTCTAGAGGGAAAGGCAGATGTTGGATGGATAAATATAAATGATTCTAATAGGTTGGTGCAGCAGTCATGAAAAGTAATGGCAAAAAAAGAAACGGGGAGGAGCCGCTGCTGCGGTTCATTAATAGTAACGGCAAAAACCGCGATGACTTCTGCACCAACCTAACCCGGTAACCACGGGTGTGTGAATGTGGCGATGGGCAAGTTCCGAGAGCTAGGAGAGCATCTAGCTTCCTGGGAAGTTCCGAGTGGTAGGAGAGCATCTAGCTTCCTGGGAAGTTCCGAGTGGTAGGAGAGCATCTAGCTTCCCGGAGTCAGGAGACGGGGGTTGGCAACCTGACCAAGGCTAAGTCCAAGGGAGGGGGGTGGGCGGGGAGCGATATGTCAGTGGAGACTCCAAGGATGAATGGTATTTAGAGAGTAAACCCCAGTGGTGAGAGGGGGTGTGTGGCTGGCACAGAGAAGAGCCTGTGCAAAGGCCGGCGGGGCGAGAGGACACCGGGTGCTCTTCCACCTGAGGGGCGACCAGCAGGCTGGAGCTGAGCGAGCTGAGGATGCGGAGCCCGGGAAAGGCACCCCAGGCAGACGGCACAGCAGGGGAAAGGCTGGAGTCAGGCCTGAGCCTGTGTGGTTTGAAGAACTGACAGAGGCCTGTCCGGCAGAGGGGAGAGACCTTAGGCCAGAGTAGAGGGCAGGGCCGTGTTGGGCACTGTGGGCTTTGGATGGTGCTGGCATTTAAGAGGGGGGACCATAGACCAGGGCAGAGGGGAGAGGAGGACCTGGCTGGGCACCAGAGTGGAGACCATAGACCAGGGCAGAGGGGAGGGGAGGGCCGGGCTGGGCACCAGAGTGGAGACCATAGACCAGGGCAGAGGGCAGGGCCATGAGGGCACTGTGGGCTGTGGATGGAGCTGGCATTTAAGAGGGGAGACCATAGACCAGGGCAGAGGGCAGGGCCGTGCTGGGCACTGTGGGCTGTGGATGGGAGCTGCCATTTATGCTCGGGTGATGGGAATGTGTTAAAAGATTTTAAGGAGGGGAGTAACAGTTGGGATTAATGTGTATTCTGGGAATCTCAACAAAGTAAATTCATAGTTTGAATTTTCATAAGCCTTCTGCACAGGCAGAGAGAAATAAGATCGTGTCTACAGCTGTGTGATGATTATATTAAAAATATTACTAAGTTTTTAAACGTCATTTCAAATGGTGTGTTTCTATCTCACATTGGACAAAAGTAGATTGCAAGGTTAATGGAAAGTAGAAAAGTTAACTCATGAACGTAAGAGACATCGATTTGAAAACAAAACATTTATTCATTTACTTCTGCTGCAGTTTTCTTGACTGCTGAATTTCATGAGAAGGGATTGTTCAGGGAGGGTTGTGGGGCGGAAGACTTGGACGGCAGCTAGTGATTCCGCTGTTCAAACCTGAGGGTGGTGGAGCTGGAGCCTTGGGGAGGGGCCGATGCTGCCTTTTAAGTCTGAGAGTCGTTGAGCTGGACGTCCACGGAGGAGCTGGTGCTGCCACTGATGTCTTAGATTGTGGAGCTGAAGGCAATGAAGGAGCTGATGTGGCTGTTCCTCTGTGAGGGTCGTGGAGCTGGAGATCCAGGGGGAGAGGTGTCCTAGTTTGAGGTTCCTGCAGCTGCAGACCCAGAGAGGAGCTGGTGTTTCTTTTGTTTGAGGGTCGCACAGCTGTAGAACCCGGGAGGAGCTGGCGTTTTTCTAGTATTAGTGTCCTGCCACTGGAGAGGAGCTGATGTTCCAGGAAGCTGATGTTCCAGTTAGAGGGCCGTGCAGCTGGAGACCCGGCGGGGGAGCTGATGTTCCAGGAAGCTGATGTTCCAGTTTGAGGGCCGTGTAGCTGGAGGCGCGGTGGGGAGCTGATGTTCCAGTTAGAGGGCCGTGCAGCTGAAGACGCAGGGGGGAGCTGATGTTCCAGTTTGAGGGCCGTGCAGCTGGAGACCCGCGGGGGGAGCTGATGTTCCAATTTGAGGGCCGTGCAGCTGGAGACCCTGGGGAGAGCTGATGTTCTAGTTTGAGGGTCCTGCAGCTGGAGACCCGGGGGAGAGCTGATGTTCCAGTTTGAGGGCTGGGGAGCTGATGTTCCAGTTTGAGAGCCGGGAAGCTGATGATCCAGTTTGAGGGCCGTGAAGCTGGAGACCCTGGGAGGAGCTGATGTTCTAGTTTGAGGGTCATGCAGCTGGAGACCCTAGGGAGAGCTGATGTTCCCGTTTGAGGATTGGGGATCTGATGTTCCAGTTTGAGGGCTGGGGAGCTGATGATCCAGTTTGAGGGTCATGCAGCTGGAGACCCTGGGGAGGAGCTGATGTTCTAGTTTGAGGGTCATGCAGCTGGAGACCCTGAGGGGGAGCTGATGTTCCAGTTTGAGGGCCGTGCAGCTGGAGACCCTCGGGGGAGCTGATGTTCCTGTTTGAGGGCTGGGAAGCTGATGATCTGGTTTGAGGGCCGTGCAGCTGGAGACCCTCAGGGGAGCTGATGTTCCAGTTTGAGGGTCATGCAGCTGGAGACCCTGGGAGGAGCCGATATTCCAGTTTGAGGGCCGTGCAGCTGGAGACCCTGGGAGGAGCTGATGTTCTAGTTTGAGGGTCATGCAGCTGGAGACCCTAGGGAGAGCTGATGTTCCCGTTTGAGGATTGGGGATCTGATGTTCCAGTTTGAGGGCTGGGGAGCTGATGATCCAGTTTGAGGGTCATGCAGCTGGAGACCCTGGGGAGGAGCTGATGTTCTAGTTTGAGGGTCATGCAGCTGGAGACCCTGGGAGGAGCCGATATTCCAGTTTGAGGGCCGTGCAGCTGGAGACCCTGGGAGGAGCTGATGTTCTAGTTTGAGGGTCATGCAGCTGGAGACCCTAGGGAGAGCTGATGTTCCCGTTTGAGGATTGGGGATCTGATGTTCCAGTTTGAGGGCTGGGGAGCTGATGATCCAGTTTGAGGGTCATGCAGCTGGAGACCCTGGGGAGGAGCTGATGTTCTAGTTTGAGGGTCATGCAGCTGGAGACCCTAGGGAGAGCTGATGTTCCCGTTTGAGGGCTGGGGAGCTGATGATCCAGTTTGAGGGTCATGCAGCTGGATACCCTGGGGAGGAGCTGATGTTCTAGTTTGAGGGTCATGCAGCTGGAGACCCTCGGGGGAGCTGATGTTCCAGTTTGAGGGCTGGGGAGCTGATGTTCCAGTTTGAGGGCTGGGAGGCTGATGATCCAGTTTGAGGGCCGTGCAGCTGGAGACCCGGGGGGAGCTGATGTTCCAGTTTGAGGGTCATGCAGCTGGAGACCCTGGGGGGAGCTGATATTCCAGTTTGAGGGTTGGGGAGCTGATGTTCCAGTTTGAGGGCCAGGAAGCTGATGATCCAGTATGAGGGCAGTGCAGCTGGAGACCGGCGGGGAGCTGATGTTGCAGCTTGAGGGCCATGCAGCTGGAGACCCTGGGGGGAGTTGATGTTCCGGTTTGAGGGTCGTGCAGCTGGAGACCCGGGGTGGGAGCTGATGTTGCCGTTTGAGGGCCTTGCAGCTGGAGACCTGGAGGGAGCTGATGTTCTAGTTTGGGGGTCATGCAGCTGGAGACCCTGGGGGGAGCTGATGTTCCAGTTTGAGGGCTGGGGAGCTGATGTTCCAGTTTGAGGGCCGTGCAGCTGGAGACCCGGGGGGAGCTGATGTTTCGGTTTTAGGGCTGTGAAGCTGGAGACCCGGGGGGAGCTGATGTTTCGGTTTTAGGGCTGTGAAGCTGGAGACCCTGGGGGGAGCTGATGATCCAGTTTGAGGGCCTTCCAGCTGGAGACCCAGCAGGGAGCTGATGTTCCAGTTTGAGGGCCTTGCAGCTGGAGACTCTGGGGGGAGCTGATGTTCTAGTTTGAGGGTCATGCAGCTGGAGACCTCGGGGGAGCTGATGTTCCAGTTAGAGGGCCAGGAATCTGATGTTCCAGTTTGAGGGCCGTGCAGCTGGAGACCTGGGGGGGAGCTGATATTGCAGTTAGAGGGTGGTGCAGCTGGAGACCTGGGGGGGGAGCTGATGTGACAGTTTCCGGGTCATGCAGCTGGATATCCCAGGGGGAGCAGGTGTTTTTTAATTGGAGGGTCATGCTGTAGAACCTGGGAGGAGCTTGCCTCTTTCTTGTATGAGTGTCATACAGCTGGAGACCCGGAGTGGGGCTGATGTTCTAGTTTGCGAGTTGTGCAGCTGGAGACCCGGGGAGGAGCTGATGTTCCTGTTTGAGGGTCATGCAGCTGGAGACCCGGGGAGGAGCTGATGTTGTAGTTTGAGGGTTTTGCAACTGGAGACCTGGAGAGGAGCTGATGTTGTTCTAGTTTGAGGCTCCTGCATCTGGAGACTCAGGTAGCAGCTCATGTTTTCTGATCAAAAGGTCCTGGAGCTGGAGACACAGGGAGGAGCTGGTGCTGCTCTTGTTTAAGTCTGAGGGTCGTGGAGCTGGAGACCCGGGGATAAGCTGATGTTCTAGTTTGAGGCTCCTGAAGCTGGAGACCCAGGTAGGAGTTCATGTTTTTCTGATCAGAGGGTCATGGAGCTGGAGACATGGGGAGGAGCTGATGTTTTCCTAGTTTGAGGGTCGTGTCGCTGGAAACCCGGGGAGGAGCTGCTGGTGTTCTAGTTTGTGGGTTGTGGAGCCGGAGATCCGGGGAGGAGCTGGTGTTTTTCTCATGTGAGGTTTGTGGAGCTGGATACCCAGGGGAGGAGCTAGTGTTTTTCTAGTTTGAGGGTCGTGCAGCTGACCCTCAAATGACCTCAAACTAGAAAAACACTGACCCCCAAGGGTGTCCAGCTCCACGACCCTCAAACTAGAAAAACACCAGCTCCTCCCTGGGTGTCCAGCTCCACGACGCTCAAACTAGAAAAACACCAGCTCCTCCCTGGGTGTCCAGCTCCATGACGCTCAAACTAGAAAAACACCAGCTCCTCCCTGGGTGTCCAGCTCCACGATGCTCAAACTAGATTAAAATCAGCTCCTTCCCGGGTGTCCAGCTGCACGACCATCAAACTAGAAAAACCTGGGGAGTTTTTTTTTAGTTTGCTGCTGTTTTTCTAGTTTGAGGGTCATGTAGTTGGAGACCTGAGGAGGAGCTGATGTTCCAGATTGAGGGTCGTGGAGCTGGAGACCAGGGGAGGAGCTGGTGTTTTTTCTAGTTGGAGGATTGTGCAGCTGGAGACCCAGGGAGAAGCTGATGTTGTTTCAATTTGAGAGCCGTGGAGCTGGAGACCCGGAGAGGAGCTGATGGTGTTCTAGTTTGACAGTTGTAGAGCTGGAGACCCAGGGAGGAGCTGTTGTCTTTATAGTTTGAGTGTCATGCAGCTGGAGACCCTGGGAGGAGCTGATGTTCTAGTCTGAGAGTCGTGCAGCTGGAGACCCTGGGAGGAGCTGATGTTCTAGTCTGAGAGTCGTGCAGCTGGAGACCCTGGGAGGAGCTGATGTTCTAGTCTGAGAGTCGTGCGGCTGGAGACCCTGGGAGGAGCTGATGTTCTAGTCTGAGAGTCGTGCGGCTGGAGACCCTGGGAGGAGCTGATGTTCTAGTTTGACAGTCGTGCAGCTGGAGATCCAGGGAGGAGGTTGTCCTGTGGTTCAAATCTGAGGGTCCTGGAGCTGGAATCTATGGGAGAAGTTAGAGACCTGCAGAGGAGCCGGTGTTGGTGTTTCTAGTTGAGGGTCGTGGATCTGGAGATACAGCATGGAGTGGTGTTGTTCTAGTTGAGGGTCATGGAGCTAGAGACCCGGAGAGGAGCTGCTGTGTTTCTAGTTGAGGGTCATGGAGCTGGAGACCAGGGGAGGAACTGGTGTCTTTCTAGTTGAGGGTCGTGGATCTGGAGATACAGCATGGAGCGGTGTTGTTCTAGTTGAGGGTCGTGGAGCTGGAGACCCAGGGAGGAGCTGGCGTGTTTCTAGTTGAGGGTCGTGGAGCTGGAGACCTGGGGAGGAGCTGGTGTGTTTCTAGTTGAGGGTCGTGGTGCTGGAGACCCGGGGAGGAGCTGCTGTGTTTCTAGTTGAGGGTTGTTGTGGTGGAGACCCAGGAAGGAGCTGATGTTCCAGTTGAGGGTCGTGGAGCTGGAAACCCAGGGAGGAGCTGGTTCTTCTGTTGTTTAAGTCTGAAGATCGTCGAGTTGGAGATCCAGGGAAGAGCCAGTGCTGCGGTTCAAGTCTGAGGGTCTTGGAGCTTGAGCCCCCAGGAGGAGCCGGTGCTGCCACTAATGTCTTAGGTTGTAAAGCTGGAGACCCGCGGAGGAGCTGGTGTTGCTGTTCTAGTGGGAGGCTTGTGGAGCTGGAGACTGAGGGAGGAGCTGGTGTGTTTCTAGTTGGAGGGTCGTGCGGTTGGAGACCCGGGGAGGAGCTGATGTTTTCCTAGCTTGAGGGTCGTGGAGATATAGACCCACGGATGAGCTGGTGCTGCTGTTGTTTAAGTCTGAGGGTCATGGAGCTGGAGATCTGGGGAACAGCTGGTGCTGCGGTTCAAGTCTGAGGGTCTCAGAGCTGGAGCCCCCTGGGAGGAGTAGGTACTGCCACTGATGTCTTAGGTTTTGGAGCTGGAGACCTGTGGAGAAGCCAGGCTGGTGTTCTAGTTTGAGGTTTGTGGAGCTGGAATCCTGGTCAGGAGCCAGTGATGCTGTTTAAGTCTGAAGTTCATGGAGCTAAACGTGGAGCTGATGTTGGGGAAGTAGAGAGAGAGAGTTTCAGGACGCCGTGGAAACTGTACATGTAGCTGAATCCCAAGCAAGTTAAGCCTGGGAGCTTCTCAGTCCTCGGGATTAATGCATTCCTTTTTCTCTTACACAGTTTGGATTTGTTTTCTGTCTCATGAGACAGAAAGACCCTGATTAATACCCTCAGGAATTGAAAAGCTTAAAAAAACTAAATGATATTGGAATAATAATAATAGAAATTAAACTATGATTATCCTGACTGACAGAATCACACACCACACACAATATATATTTTCAATCAGTTAGTAAAATAATATATAAATTGAAACATAGACCCATGAAGAGCTGTAAAAAGTTATTTCATGGAGAAGTGATGGATGACAGAGATTAATCTGAGAGTTACTGTTAATGGAGAAACTTAGAACTTACCATTTTTCCTGTGAGGTTTCGGTGCTAATACTGATACTCTGTGAGTTCTGGCAGCTGAATCCATTCACATAGGCTGGTGATGCAGCAGGTGTCACAGAAGGACCCTGTCCCAGCTGGTCCTGCTCCACTGCTAGGATGGTGTGGCCTCTGATCTCTGACTGTGTCTTGAGGGGAGACCAGGCCCTTGATCACAAGCGTATCCATGGTGAGGTTCCGTGGATGGAACCTCATGGATGTTCCCTTCCTGATGTTCATTGGCCATCTTGCTATTTAATGCATCTTGTTAATAACTGTCTTCTAAACATTGAATAGAAATAAAGTATTTGTACAATATGGGTAAGGTATAAAGAATATTGACACATTGGACACAGAGGACCTCCACCAGGTTTAGGGAATAGAATCTGAAGAGACATAACTTTGGATGCTCCCTGGAGGCCCTGCCTGAGTCCCAGTCCCTTCTCTTCTCCTACAGAGGGAACCACTTCCTGCTTTAGTCTTTATTATTCCCACACTTTTCTTCATAGTACGTTTCTTTCACCGCGTATGTGTACATCCCTAAACAATAAGCCATTTAGTTTTTGAACTTTGTTTTCTTTTTGAGGCAGGGTCTTGCTCTGTTGCCTTGGCTGTAGTTTTGAACTTTGATGTGAGGAAATTCTCCTGCGTGGCTGCTCCTGCACTGCATGGCTCTGAGCATCTGCTCTATGTCTATTTCTGTCCTCCATTCTCTCCTTGAGACCCACCCACACTGACATGGTTCATTTTCATTGCTGCGTGATCTCCTGTCTCCATTCTCTCCCTGAGACCCACCCACACTGACATGGTCCATTTTCATTGCTGCATGGTCTCTCGTTGTCTGAGGGGAGCATGGGAAATGTCTTCATCTTCCCGTGGATGAGTGTTTGGCCAGGTTGGGGCCCTGAGGACTGCGTTTTGCTGGGAACATTCTTGGGCATTTCTTTTGTCCACAAGTGCAGGTTGCTTCTGGTCAGTAGCTTTCAAGTTTTAAAATTTCATCCCAGGTAAAAAATGTAATTTTCCTCATAACCCACAACACACATCCTTTCATATACAAGCATAACAAAAATATACTTCACAACCATTCTTAGCAGTGCCTGGTGTTCCTGCTTCTCTCCATTCTCCCCAACAGCTGCATGGATTGGGTGGTGGGATTTTTGCCCATCTGGTGGGTGTCACGTGATATCTCCCCGTTAGGCTGAGCCCCTCTTCATGTTTTCATTAGTCATTCCTCCACATTTCCTCTTTTGTGGAGGGCCGGTTCAGCTCTTTTGCCCAGTTTCTGTTAAGTTGTTTGAATTTTTGCACTTTTCTTTTATTATTCCTATTGTTATGTGTTTGAGACACAGTCTCACTCTGTTGCCCAGGCTGGAGTACAGTGGCACAATCTCAGCTCACTGCAGCCTCCACCTTCTGGGTTCAAGTGATTTTCCTGCCTTAGCCTCCTGAGTAGCTGGGATTACAGGCGCCCACCACCACGCCTAGCTAATTTTTATATTTTTACTAGAGATGGGGTTTCACCATGTTGTCCAGGCTGGTCTCAAACTCCTGACCTCAGGTGATCCTCCCATCTCAGCCTCCCAAAGTGCTGGGATTACAGGCATGAGCCACCATGCCCGGCCTGCATTTTTCTTTTTCAAGAGGACTCTTTATAGATTATGCGTGCTCATTCTGGTGACTATGTGTGTGGCAAAGATGGGTTTGAATCCACCAGGATGAACGTGCAGGATATCCTCTCTGGTGGGAGAAGAGACAGAGAGGTGTAGACGGGTACAGAGAATCAGACCCGAGAGGAGGCCGAGTCAGGCGGGGGTTGCAGGCTGCTGTGAGGACTTGGCTCCTTCTCTGAGGCGGGTGGGATTAGCAGGGGATTTAAACGGAGGAACTGTGGGATCTCCCTTATGCATTTCTGCCATGGTTGGCTCAGCTGAACGCACCTCTTGAACAAGACTTGGCCTTGGACACCCAGAGGCCCTTGGTTGAGGGTTTACCTCCTGACATGGCCACTGACACATCCACGTTTGGCTCCCACAGGGCTGGGCGGCCCCAAGACCTGCTCTGCCTGGGCCTTTCATTGGTGGCATTTCTCAAGTTTGTCCCCTCTCAAGTCTGCTCCCTCTGGAAAACCAAACACCTCTCTCTCCCACATGGAAACCCCCATCAGCACCTCCCCCAACTCACAAGGCATCCCGTCAACATCACAGTCCCGACCTTCCCACACGGACAAGCTCACGGGACCCCCCGATGGACCAGGACAGCGTGAGCACTAAGACATGCCCTGAGACTCACAGGAAGAGCGGACCAAGAAGACGGGAACAGCACGGGGCCCTGGGAGCTGCAAATGCCCACGATACCGTGAGAGATGGAGAAAGGTATGACAGGAGGAGCAGACCAAGAAGACGGGAACAGCACGGGGCACTGGGAGCTGCAAATGCCCACGATACTGTGAGAGACGGAGAAAGGTATGACAGGAGGAGCAGACCAAGAAGACGGGAGCAGCACGGGGCACTGGGAGCTGCAAATGCCCACGATACCGTGAGAGACGGAGAAAGGTATGACAGGAGGAGCAGACCAAGAAGACAGGAGCAGCACGGGGCACTGGGAGCTGCAAACGCCCATGATACTGTGAGAGACGGAGAAAGGTATGGCCATGGCGGACACAAAATGTTACTCAACATTTATCACAGGCCTAAATGGAGAACATAACGCTATCAAACCCTTAGACAAAAACACAGGGGAAAATTCGTACGGCCTGGGGTTAGGCGAAAAGTTCTTAGACATGACACCAAAAGCATGATTCATAAAAGATTGACAAATTAAACTTAATCATACATTTAAAATTATAATTCTATAAAGCAATATAAAAATCCAAAGAGAATGAAACACAAACTATGGTCTAGAAATAAACATTTGTGAATCACACGTCTCACAGCCTACTGGCACGCAGGATATGTGAAGAACCATCAAAACTTAACCATAAGAAAGTAAAAGCCCCAGTATTAAAGAGAGGGCCAATATTGGAACGGAGGCCTCATCAAAGAAGGTATAAGGAGGGCATATTGCCCGAGAAAGAGGCTCAACGTCATAGAGATGCTGGAGAAATGCCAATCAACAGAACCTCTGCAAATCTATTAAAAGGGCTAAAAACAGACAAAAACCACAGGCCGACCCAGGTTCTAATGATGATGCAAAGGAACTGGGACCCTCATAAGCTGCATGGGAATGGGAGGGGCCCCACCATGCTGGAAAGTGGTCCAGGAGTTTCTTATTAAGTTAAGCACATCCTTACCACGTCACCCAGCAACCCCACTCCTGAAATTTCCCCCAAGAGAAAACTTAAATGTGCACACACAAACCTGCACACAAGTGTTTAGGCCTCATTCCTCATTGCCAATAACTGGAAGAAAACAAAATGTCCACCGGCAGGAGAAGGTGTGAACCAACGCGGATGCTTCCACATAGGGAGCACCAACCTGCAGTGGAAAGAAGCACCCACAATGCCCCAGGTCTCCCAGGCCACATGCCCGGTGAAGGAAGCTAGTTTCGGTGGGCACAGGCCGAAGGATGCCACCACGTGACATCTTAGAGAAGACAGTGTACCGTGTCGGGGAGCAGGGCAGTGGTTTCGAGAGGCTACGGGTGGAGGGGCGAATGGAGGAGCTCTCTGGGGAGATGGCGTGAGCACCTGAACCTCACTGTGGGCTGCTGCAGTTGAGAGGCTGTACAGCACACACTGGCTTCAGTACACACAGACTGAAGGAGGAAGGCTCCCACAACTCAAAGACAGAGGGTGTCACCTCCATGAAACAAAAACATATTAAAAAAAACTCCTAAAATTAAGAAAAAAACACAACAAGTATTTTATAAGCGCGTTGGACTTTGAGTTGACATAATCGACCTGGGAGCGTGGAACTGAAACCACAGGCTTGGCAATCCCGGAGGGAGAGAGTGGAGGGTTTAGACCTCAATTGAAGGGCTCAGTACCTGGCTATAGGAAATAACAGATTTAAAAAGCGGCAGGGAGGAAATAATTTCTGCTGATGAGGCTGCATTTCTCCAGATAGCCAGCAGAGTAAATTAAAGCAATATAGTAAAACAATGCACATCTTGACGGAAACTCACGATCACAAGGTTGTGGTGAAGGAGATTTGAAGATGTCCAGGAAAGAAAGACAAATGAGATGCATGTTGCAGCTGCCCTTCAAGGGGGGTGTGGGCCAGGTAGCCGTGATTCTCCGTGACGTTGCAGGAATTCTCCTGGCTGGGTCCTCAGGAGCCGTTTCTTCTTGTCCACACTCACCTCCGGGGGCTGGTATGGGTCCCTGGTGGTCATGACTGCACTCAGGGCCAGGGGCCTGCTGAGGCTGCTCTCCCTGTTCCCGAAACACAGGGGTTTGGTCCAGATCCCGCTGCTCACCACACAGAAAGCCTGTCACTGAGACGACGCTTACTGCCAATGAGGAAGGCATGCATCAGGAGCTGCAGGCCTGGAGATGGGAGGTCAGCTTCAAATCCATCTTCCTGACTGACTGTATAGCAGGGAAGAAGTGTGACTGTGTGTAAGGAAAACAGGAATTAGGGAGAGTGAGGAAGAGGAGTTGGTCAGGAGGAGGCAGGTGGCTGGTCAGGCACTCATGATGGGTGAGGGGTTTGGCATCTCACTGTCCAGATGCCGTGATCTGGTGAGTCTCTCTTCCTTCACACTACCCGGGAGGCCTGATGGTCAGTTTCCTGAGAAAGGAACTCAAGACAAATGTCAAGTTCTCAAGTTTCAAGACCACAAGGATCCATTTCTATGTTATTCAGAGAAACCATGAACATCAGTTCTATGGGACAATCGGGCCAGTTCAACACCAGATCTGATCTGCCATGACACCTGCTGCTCGGCCCTCAGATAAAGCCCAGAGTCCAGTGTCCTCTCCCCGACCCCAGCCTGGCCCCACACCCACACCCCCCCACTTCACCCTGGGCCTCAGTGCTCTCCCACTGCAGAGGGGTCAGGGAGCTGCACACGCCCCGCGTGCACCTGGGCACGTGGTGTATTTCAGATGCACCTGGTGTCACTGTTCGCACAAACCCAAGTGGGAAGAGATCCAAATTCTCGTTCACCACAGATGGATGAGGACGTCCCAGCAAGTCCCTCAGTGGAGTCAGCCAGCACAAGGCGAGTGAGGGACCTCCGGAGACATGAATGGGTCTCAGACAGTGTGTGAGTGGATGAAGCAGGAAAAACACATGCTGCTAGTTAATTCATTTATGTTGAGCTCAAAATAGTCCACATCAGAAAGACTGTTTGGGGCTGCAGGAATTCCGTGGACAATTGCAAACAAGGCAAGGGAAGGAGGACCAGAGAGGTGAGGAGGACGCTCCCTTCGGGGACGGAGAGAGTAAGACCTGGCATTGCACACGGGACGGGGGGCCTGTCGAGGCACCTCTTTGCTTCTGAGAGTCTGTTTTCATGGACAGTCTTCTACAAAATGTACATGGCAGCTTTTTAGGGCCAGGGTCACCGGGATTTGTCTTTACACCTCCCCAGCCCGGGAACCACCACCTCTACCAGCCCCGTCCACACAGTTGAATCTCATCTTAAGTTCTCTGGAGCCCGACCCCCCACGCACACCCTCCTGGTCTGGGCGTCTCACCTGCATCCGCACAAGTGCCTCAGGAGGGTGGAGTGTCTGGTGCTCGGCACTGGAGGCTCAGCCCACACTGAGCCGGACAGTCGCAGGCCTCCTGGATGAATGAAGCATGAACGAATCCCGATCCTGTTACCACAGCTTCTCCCCAAGCATCCCCAGCAGAACGTTGTGTAAAAACCACACCAGGATTCGTACATGCCAGAGGACTGAACTTCTGCGTGTTGAAGATAATTCATCTTCCTGAATCACTGCCGATCTGCCATGTGGTTAACCACGGAATAAACATGGGGGAGAGTGTAAGCACCGCCCTAACAACCTCACGCTTCTTCCGTTACCCTTTAAAATTACAGGGTACTGACTTCATAATTGTGTTTCTCTTGTAAATGAGACTCTCATGGAAAAATCAGCTATGTAGGTGACAGCTTTGTAAACCTTTAGATTGAAATGTCACTTCGATTATTTCAAGTGTAAAAGTGTTTCAGCTTTTTTGAGGTATAATTGATACTCAGAGAGCTGCACACATTTCATGTGTACACTTTGGTGAGGATTGACCTGAGCAAACACCTGTGAAACCATCACCAAATCAAAGCAATCGAGGAATTCTGCACCTCCTGGAGGCTTCCTTGCGCCTGTGCCCGTGGTGAGGACACAGCACGAGATCTTCCCTCTCAGCCAGTCGCAAACAGCCAATAAGAAAATCACACCAGGCCTCCTGGTGAACACACACCTGTAATTTAATTGTTGATCTTTTAACCTGGCATTCACATTCTTCATTGAGAATACGGCAAAGACTTTAGAAGTCATCTAAAGTATCAGTAATTTGAAGTCCTTTAATACAAAAAGTATAGAATATTACCTTTCGTCACATAGCAATAGGGAAATGAAAAAAGAAAATTGACTTATTTTCTTTACTGGCTAGGAAAATATTCTTAAAAAGATACGTGCAGGTGAATCTAACAAATAACAAATTTATTTCTTTACGTAGATAAATATAAGGTTAGATCCGTGTAAATAAATGAAGCCATTAATGGTAGAGTCCCACAGATCACAGAACTGACCCCGCATCCAGCTCTGCTCACGATTTCAGGGAGTCATTTCCAGGCGCAGGTTGAGCTGGAGAAGCTGGGGAACCTTGTAGCCCCACTGTCCTTCCTGCCTCATAGGGCCTCTGAGGGGTGCCTGGAACATCTCTCCTCTTGGTCTTTGAAGATCATTTCACTTATGCAACATTTTCCAGGTGCCATGGACCCGAGCCCAGAAACCATGGTACCAGAACAACCCGAGAGCTGGGGTCACCCGAGAGAGGGCAGAGGGTAGACAGTGGCTCCCCAGGAGTGAGCCGAGACCCAGGGTCACCCGAGAGAGGGCAGAGGGTAGACGGTGGCTCCCCAGGAGTGAGCTGAGAGCAGGGGTCACCCCCAGGAGTGAGCTGAGAGCCGGGGTCACCCAAGAGAGGGCAGAGGGTAGACAGCGGCTCCCCAAGAGTGAGCCGAGAGCCGGGGTCACCCCCAGGAGTGAGCTGAGAGCCGGGGTCACCCGAGAGAGGACAGAGGGTAGACAGTGGCTCCCCAGGAGTGAGCACCAGGCACTGTCAGGGGTTCTCTCCCCAGCACATTTACAAGGGACTCGATGGGTTCTTCTTCCTTCAGGAGCAATCCCAGTGGGCAGAAGGAGGGGATGGGAGGCCTGGCAAACGCTCCTCCCCAGTTCCATTCCAAGCTCCACGGGGCTCCGGCAGGCCCCATGTCATGTGCAGATGAGGGATTAGGGTTCCTGCCTAGCCTCGCTGCTCTCAGGCCCTCATGGGCTCCTCTCCCCACCCCCCATGCAGCCGGCAGACCCTGCTCCCACCCAGCTGTTCTCAGTGTTTCTCATCCTTCCTGGATGACGCCCTACCTGGGGCACCCATTCCTGTGGCACCCCAGCCCTTCACTGCAGCACGCATCCTGTCACCTCCACAGTGAGACCATCCTGGAACCATGATCAGCCCATCAGTTTCATCCACCCTCCTCCTAGCCCATTTTCTGTGCTTATTTATTGTTCCCCAAACTCCTGCCTATGATTTAAAACTAAGTGTGAGTCTAGTCTGTTACAATGATATGGATTCCAGATCTTCGGAATCAAAATGCTCCAAGGTTTAACTCACAAACTTGTCTTCTTTATTTTGCATTTTATGTGAATGCCTTTGGTAATACCATCATCGGTTGCGCCGATGGAGGGAGCAAAGATCTCATGGTGTTGGTTAAAGGGAGTGTGGCCCAGGGCCTGAGGTCTGAGAAGGAGCTTATTCCTCGGCGAGGTGGAAATAACACAGACTGCAAAGCCCACCTTGGGGGCACCACAGAGGAGAAAGCAACCACATTACTGAGAGGCCACAGAATAACTGAGCTCGTTTAGGGGTGAGAACGAGGCTGCATCTCTGCCCTTTCCCTCTCCCCTGCCCTCGTTCTCTCTCTCTCTCTTTTTCTCTTTCTTCCTTTCATCTGGGTCTAACTGGGCTCATTTGTCTTCAGCATCCCTAGGAAACTTCATGAAACCAGTGTTATTATGGTCAATTTGCAGTTTAAAAATTCAGTGCAGAAAGGTTAAACAAATTGCTCAAGTTTGCCCAGCCAATATCTGGCAGAGTCAACGGCACTGGAATTCAGATGTGGCTACATGTTTTGTGGTCTTTCTATTCTTTCTGATACATAAAGTTTTCATTTAACGAGACTTATAATGCATAACACGGTTTTGAAAGGTGAAGACAAAGTGAGGTGCACACTAAGGGGCAGCCTCCCCTGCAGGAGTGAGGTGTGAGCGCTCCCGGGAGCCGGCAGCCAGCAGCAGGCTGGGCCTGAGGACAGAGCCTGTGATTCCATCCATGATTTACCAGTGCTTTCAGCTTTGAACACGCGTTAAATAAATAGAGCTGTTTTCAAAATTAAATGAACAATACATTCTTTTCAGCATTTCCACCTAATTGCAATTCCTTTTTCTTTTATTCATGAATTCAATAGTCTATGCTTTTTGAAAACTGATATTCCCTGTAATGAAGCCCTGTGGTTTCACTGAGTGTTGGGTTTGAAATGTTGTAAAATACATGTAACACTCATCCCATTCAAAAGGTGTAGAAATGGATTACTAAGGGGTACTCAGGGGAGTTTTGCTTGAAAGCTGAGGCAAAATCATAGTTGATGCAGGTGAAAATATTTAATTTAATAACCTTTAATGAATAATTCAGTTTTCAGGTTACATGAAAGCGACACCTTTATTTGCATTACACATCTCTGCCCCCAGTCATGTCAATGTGTCTTTCCTGAATGCAGTTTTAGGATAAGGACAATCCTTGGAAATCCACCTTCCAGAAGGTTCCACTGTTGCGGCTTTGGGATCAGGAAAGGGGATTTGCAGGAAGGGACAATTGAGAGGGCTTCTCCCTGCTATGGAGACACACAGCTGTCTGTACTTCACGGGACCCCCTCCTTCAGATCCAGAAGACACTGAAAAGAAACGCAGGGCTTTGAACCTGGGCTGGGGCTCCCGGGGCTGGGCGGCTGCTGCCTCTCGCTGAGGGAATCCACACTCTCGAGGCAGCACCTCGCAGAGCAGGTCACCTCGACTGCCCCATGATGTCCACGAGGCTTGTTCCTGTCTTACTACGATCGAGAAGACAGCATGTGATTTTATGAACACCCCGTAAAGAAAACCTGAAAACCGTGTTCAAAGAAATGCCATTGAGCAAAAGGGCAGCTGTGGACCTGGCAGGTGGGGCCTGCGGTGCCTGAGGTCACGGCCAGCAGCCCCGGGAACGGCTCCGTCTCAAGGACATCTTAAGGCCAGTAGGGGCATTTGGGACGGCAGAGGCCTCACCCTGAAAGTGGTGGTTTCCACAGCTGGACACGTCCACAGGACCTCAGAGGGGAGGGTCAGAGCTGAGAGCTGAGATCCAAGCCGCGGTGTGGGTGAAGAAGGAGCGGGCAGGGATCGCTCTCCGGGAGAGGCCTGGATCTGGGCCTGAGCAGAGCCGCTGCGGACCAGACACAAGTGGCCACGGCAGCCAAACCAGATTCCCGGATCCCGGCCGACGGCCTTGGAATCCGGGTCACAGAGCCTTTCTCACGCGGTTTTCATTTTGCCTGGCATGGATCGAGTTTCTTAGTCTACAAACGTACAAGGGCTCACTTCAAGGCCACAATCCATCAACACAGCCAGCCAGGCTCATGCTCTCAGTCAATTTTCTTACTTTAAAAACCTATTTTACCTCAGCCTGCAGTCCCTGAGATGGATGGGTGTGAGCAGAGCTGTGAGGAAAGCAGCCCCTACTTGTGAGAAACACCTGCGCCTCACTGGGCAGACTGCAGGTGCGACCCACGCAGCCTGCAGGTGGGAGGCGGGACCGGGCTGGCTCAGAGGTCGGGCATGGAAAGCCATGGCCGAGGCTGACATCCACTCACTCCCCCCACAGTCCTCTCAGCTGGACAGCAACACACACCCACACTCTCATGCCAGTTTGCACACACAGCCATGATCATTGCACACACACGCACACACAGGCTGCTGCACAAGTCACACCTACTCATTCACACTCATGCACACTTACATGATAGATGCAAAATCCTTGTGTTCCAGGGGAGGATGTGAGGACGCAGGGGTGTGTGGCTGTCCATCCCACCGTGAGGGTGCAGGTGTGTCTGTACTCCTCCGTGCTGGGTCCTGGGGTGTGTGTGCAGGTGTGTCTGTCTCCACCTCTGCACCAGGTCCTGGGGTGAGTGTGTGGCTGTCTGTCCCACCGTGAGTGTGCAGGTGTGTCTGTACTCCTCCACACCAGGTCCTGGGGTGAGCATGCAGCTGCCCGTCCCGCCGTGCGTGTGCAGGTGTGTCTGTCTCTCCTCTGCACTGGGCCCTCACTCTGCTGCTCCCCCATTTTGTGGCTGGGAAAATTGTGATATCTGTGATTTTTCTCATCAGTCACAGCTGGAACTTGCACGACTCTGTCTCACACCCATTCACACAGCCGTGAGGACATCGATGTGCAGCCTTGACCTCCTGCAGCACATTCATCAGGCTCCCGTCGCCGCTGGGCCATTGTCAGGGCCTGGTTGCCCACCTGGCTGAAGCCTCCCCGTCATCACACCCCTCACCGGAGCAGCCCCAACTCACAGGCTGTTAGTTGTCACCATCAAGCACACCAGAAATTTTAAAATGATTTCTCTAAGCCAGGCACAGAAAGGCAAACATTGCTCTCTCTCTCTCACTAATTTGTCAGATTTAAAAATTGAAACAATTGAACTCATGGACATGGGGTGGGGAAGGACGGTTGCCAGAGGCTGGAAGGGGTAGCGGGGCTGGGAGAGGTGGGATGGTTAATGGGTGCAAAAATAGAAAAATGAGTAAGACCTGGTGTTCGATAGCACAACAGGGGGGCTACAGTCAGTAAGAACTTGACTGTGCATTTTAAAATAACTTAGGGAGTGTAGTTGGGTTGTTTGTAACTCAGTGGATAAGTGCTTGAGGGGACAGACGCCCCGTTTTCTGTGATGTGCTTACTTCACACTGCATGCCTGTATCCAAACATCTCACATACCCCATAAATTCATACACCTATGTGGCCACAAAATTTAAAAAAATCATTTATCTAAGGATAAAAGTGAAGTTCCCCTCGTTTCATGCAGCTTCTCTTCAGTGCTTTTGTTTTTCGAGATGAACCTTCCTCACTGGTATTGTTGGCACCAGGAGTCTGTTCGGGACAAGCTCCCGCCATTTCTCACCACTCCCAACTTCGGGGGAGTCTCTCTAAACACACGTGTTTTGTGGTATTCGGCTGACATTCTGACTACTGTAAGAAATCAATGCATGACATACAAATTCACACAATTTTGGGGAGGGAGAGACTGCAGGTTATGCTTTCAAAAATTTTCATGATTTTAGATTGTTTTTTCTTTTTAGAAGTTTTCTTTTTACGTGAGATATTTGACTCAAGCATTGTTAAAAATGCAACAACATCATAAAAGTTTGGTGGTTCAAAAAATAATGATGACACAAAACTCTAGTGCCTCTACACTTGGACAGTTTTAATTTTTTAATTTGGTAAATCTGGTTACAGAAGCCAAGTGATTTTTCAGGCACACCAAGTTTTCAGCGCTTGGCAGGAAGTAGAAATGAACATGTCTAGAATTTTCCACCATGCAGACCTTCAGAGCATGTGTGCCTATGTCTCTATGTGTATGTATACACATATGTGCAGACGTGTTTTTGTGTGTGTATGAATGTGTATCATGTGTGTACATGTGTGTTATTCATGGATTGCTTTTGCTAAGCAACAGATAATGTAGTGATTCCAAAGGAGTTTCAAGCTCATCTTTATTCTTTTTTTATTTTGCTGAGTAAAAAGTACAGCTGTAGCGGAACGTCCTCCTTAACTCACTGTGCGAGACGGATGTCACACGGATGACTATAAAACGTAGCATGCATGACGTATGCAATTTATAGAAAGAAAACCAGATGGAAATAAAAGAAGAATAAAATTGGCATAAATGACCCCAAATCACACCTGAAACACACTCTGTGGCCACTGATGGCTTCGGGCGCTCTGCGTTCGGGAGGCCTGGAAAGTCCCAGCTGCGAACATCTCCGCGGCCCCGTGACTCGGTTCACCGCATTGCTCAGACATCCACACCTCCCGTTACTTTACCTTAAGCCTTGACTTATTTTTCACCTTTTAAAGTTAAGATCCGTGATCAGTGAGTGCCACTCTGTGGGGAGTCACGTGTTTGAGATGGGAATTTCCACAGGCAGCTGAGAGAAGAGGATGGAGTGGGTGTCCCTCCGAATGCTGGTGTCTGATGCCTCAGTGAAGGCGAAAGGGTTGATCCTGAGAGGAGAAGAATGAGCTCATTTGTGGAAGAAATGATAACTGCTGACCACAATACAGGCCTTCAGGAGTGGTGCTGAGTCCAGGGAGCATGTATTAAATGCCATTTATGTGGCAAGCACAAAGCTAAGGACTGTCCAGTCTGTGGAGAGTAAATCTCCTTCCTGCCTTGCAGGCTGACAAAGTCCAATCATTAGTGACCATTCATGCCAGGAAGGTGGAGCTGCCTCCCCAGATGCAAACAAATCCTGTGGCTTTTCCCTGGTAGCCTCGGTGGTGGGTCCCGGTGGGGAAACAGTGACAGATGAGGGTGATTCCCAGGGGTCCTGCGAGAGGCCATGGTCGGAGGGCTGGAAGGAGGCGGGAAAGGTGCTGGTTCATTCACAGCTCCAGGTGGGCTGGAGGCATCCAGGCGGGACTGTGCCTGGGAACACAGGTGCCACCCACGGGGAGCTGCTGTTCTAGAGACGGCCATGGGCACCTCTGGGAACCCAGGAGACCCAGTGACCCACAGCTTTTATCACCTGGCTTCACAGATGGGATCTGGGACTTGGCAGTTAAACCGCTTAGGGAGGTCCCATGACTGCCAGGTGGGAGGGCTGGATTCGAATCCCAGAGGGAGGTCGCCTCCCCTTCCGCCATCGTATCCCCGACTCACTGCCTCTCCACCCTGGAGATGGGGAGAGGGAAGAGCTTCGGAGACCAGGGTGGGTGGGTGTGTCCCTTCACCCCGGGGACTGAGGCCTCCCTCCTCCCCGTGACATGTGACCCCCAGGGCCTGCAGGTGCCCAGACAGCCCAAGCTCACGGCACCCTACAGGGAAGCCTTTGATCAGGTATGGAAATCAGGGCTGAGAGTCGATATCCTAAATCAACCTTTAATTTCCAGAAGTGCTTTAAGGCCCACTTGAAAAGGGAAGGAAAAGGCAAAAGTTTATGGTGGGGGTGGGGAGTCCCGTTGGCCACAGCCTGGCCACTGTCACCACTTCAGATGGTCACTGTGGCACTGGGACCAGTGCTTTTGAAGGACAGACACACTGGCTGGAGCTTTGGAGACTGACAACCTTGACCCCTGCCAGGCGTCCTAATTACAGCCTGGAGGCGCTGGGACAATGCACTCCCAGCTCTTGTTTGTTTGTTTGTTTTGAGACAGAGTCTCACTCTGTCGCCCAGGCTGGAGTGCAGTGGTGCAATCTCACTGCAACCTCCACCTTCCAGGTTCAAGCAATTCTCCTGCCTTAGCCTACAGAGTAGCTAGGACTGCAGGTGGGTGTCACCACACCCAGCTAATTTTTGCCTCGGCCTCCCAAAGTGCTGAGATTACAGGTGTGAGCCACCGTGCCCGGCTAAACTCCCAGCTCTAATTCCGGTTTCTCTCTGGAGTTTTGTTCTCCTCAGTTGTTGACTCAGCAAAGATGAATCCAACCTTTTAGAGAATAAAAGTCAATGGGGTTCATTCCACCAGCCAACTGAAGCAGAGAGGGTGCGAACGAGGAACATCCCACACAGAAAATTGAGACCCACAGAGGACAGAGGGGCCCCAGACACCTGGGGCCGCTGAGTCTGCAGAAAGTGAATCCAGCCTGCAGGGCTGAGGCTGCTCAGATGTAGCAAAACTTGAAACGCCACTGTTGAGTTTTCTTCCCGGGGAGGATGGACCCAAGAGGCCGTTCCCCACTTGGACGGCAGCCAGTGGTTTGCACCCCAGATAGTGGCCCTGGCTGAAGGGTCATCTGTGTCCATGCACCCCACGTACAGTTACAGACACACACGTGACCTAATGTGAGGAGGAGAGAGGTGCAGAGCCCACAGGAGGGAGAGCTCAGCGGGAATTGATGGAGAGGAGGACTCAGCTCCCTGTGGCCCAGACCTGGCTGACCATGTGATGGCCGCTCTCCGCCCATGCTGGGGGACACAGGCAGGTGGTGTCCGCCCCACGCCTGTCCAGCGGAGTCTTACTACCAAGCATGCCCCAGGTTTACCTGCCCAATCTCAGGTGCTGCAGCAGTGACCTGTCCACCCACTGTGAGCTGCTGGAGCCCTGGTACGGGTCCTTCAGCCTCTGCACTGAAGCTTCCTTATGTCGTGTCAGCAGCAGGCTGGGCGCACTGCCGTCAGGATGAAGAGCATTGCCCTGGGTACACCTGGGCAGAGCAGAGGTGTTGGCTCCTGCCGATCACACGCCTGTGGAGGACCCAGCTGCCCTGCAGACGCGCCTGTGCATGCGTGGAGCATCATGAGGGTCACTGGGCAGTGCACACTCCTAGGCACAGCCACTGAGAGTCCGCTGCTCGGTGAGGACAGCATGGATGAGGGGCTCAAACAGGGGCCTCCCAGCCAAGCCAGGCATGTGGAGGAAAGTGAGGGCTTCAGCCAGCTGTCAGGCCCCTGGCTGGTGACACAGGAACCCTGGACCCTGCCGGTGGGCCCAGAGCAGCGATCCTGGAGCACCATGGTCAGGACACCTCTGCGCCAACAGCTTGGCTGCCGGCCACACCCCGGCCGAGGCGGCCTTCCCTCCCCCAGGCTTCGCTCACTCCAGACAGATTTCTTCCTGACTCGGGTGTCAACCTCCCCTGTCCAGAGCACTGACTTTGGAAAACGTAAAATTGTAAACTCTCTCTGCCTCTTCCAGGTGTAAATCTTCTTCCAGCCACTGGCCAGTTCCACAGCCCAGGAAATGTCCTTCTTCAGGCCTGGGAGCTGCCTTGGAAAATGAGGCATCGAGAAAGAAATGGCCCAGCCCCCCAAGCCCTGTGGAGGGTTAGGGGGCCTCTGAGGAGGGTTAGGGGGCTGGCCCCCTGCTGAGGCCTCCAGGGCTCTCCCACCTGCTCGGTGGCCCCTCAGGCTCCTCAGCCCTCCTGCCATGTGCTGCAGAGGAGCTGGGGGCTCTCCCTTACCGCATGGTCTTGAATAAAGCCTTTCTTGCTTGTTTAAAACCGTCTGATACAATTTTTGTCACTCCAATTACCTGTTCTCATAAGAGACTGTGCATTGGGGTGGTCATCCACACCCTGTGGGTGGAGGCGGGGTCCTGAGGCCCACCTGCATCCGTCCCCAGGGTGCACACAGAGAGTTTTGGGGTCACCAAAGAAGCATCCACTCGACACTAAGAAATAAAGGATGAAAAAAGCAACACCTACAAAATTTAAAAATAAAGGTAAACGAAATGGCACCTAAGAGTGTGATTAACATAAACGAGAATAACAGATGTGCACACATGCACGTGTCCGCCCTCCCAGGTAGAGACACCCCTAAATCACATCAGAACCTTCTACAGGGCCAGAGCGGTGACAGCAAGGGACACAGAGAATGGGGATGAAGGGAAAGGACAAAGAAACCCACCTGGAACAATGGGTTACCTTGGTGGAGACAGCATCCTGTCTGGTGGGGCAACCGGGGCAGTGACCCCTCCAGGTACCTAGGCAGAGAGTCACACAAGGGGCTGAGAACCCACAATATGAGAGGGTGGGTTCTCGGCTGAGCTCCAGGAGTGATTTGGGGATTAAGAGAATGGCCACATCAGGAACCCCACCCCTGAGGTCCCCTGGCCCCCACCATGCTGCATTCCTGGGTCATTCCAGGCCCTAGCTGCTGTTGCCACCCCTGCTGCTGCAGAAACCCGGGTCCCATTTAAACCCTGATATGGTTTGTCAGTTTCACCACCCAAGTCTTATCTTGAACTGTAGCTCCCACAATTCCCATGTGTTGTGGGAGGGACCTGGTGGGAGGTGATTGAATCATGTGGGCAGGTCTTTCCTGTACTGTTCTCATGATGGTCTCATGAGATCTCATGGCTTTCTAAGGAGGAGTTTCCCTGCACAAGCTCTCTTCTCTTGCCTGCCACCATGTGAGACGTGTCTTTCACCTTCTGCCAGGATTGTGAAGCCTCCCCAGTCAAGTGGAACTGTAAGTCCAATAAGCCTCTTTCTTTTGTAAATTGCCCAGTCTCGCGTGTGTCTTTCTCAGCGTCATGAAAATGGACTAATACAAACTCCCTCTGGTGAGGGCCAGTTGTGGCTGCTCAGCCGCTGTGGAAACCTGGGTTCACTGCCGCAGACTCAGTGGTGTTTCCAATTCCAGTTCTGGCCTGAGAGGTGATTGATGGGCTTTTGATCATAGAGTTAGAAATACACACATTTATATTAAGAAAGTAGCCAAGAAGCCACCACTGTGTGCCCCATAAAAAGTAAATGCTAATTTTTTTGTGAGAGAGCCGAGATCTCTGATGTGGCGTTTGGAACATGGAACCACTTGACAGGAAGGCAAGGCCCCAAAATGCAGCCCTGATGGAAGCTCAAACATCCTGGCAGGCAACAGAGCAGCAGAAATAGAAAAGGAGAAAAATAACAGAAAACCAAACGAGGAGCCACGGAGAAAGAAACCCAGGACGGAGCAGGTGCGGCTGTTACCTGAGGACGGAGCAGGTGCGGCTGTTACCTGAGGACTGAGCAGGTGCGGCTGTTACCTGAGGACGGAGCAGGTGCGGCTGTTACCTGAGGACGGAGCAGGTGCGGCTGTTACCTGAGGACGGAGCAGGTGCGGCTGTTACCTGAGGATGGAGCAGGTGCGGCTGTTACCTGAGGATGGAGCAGGTGCGGCTGTTACCTGAGGATGGAGCAGGTGTGGCTGTTACCTGAGGATGGAGCAGGTGTGGCTGTTACCTGAGGATGGAACAGGTGTGGCTGTTACCCATGAACTAAATGCAGCTCCACATCAGAGAAGAGAACACAGTGAATACAGCAGTGCTTGAATTAACAAACTTCACATTTAGAAACATACCTTCTATAGTCACAATTTCATTTGCCAAATTAGATACACTTTGCTGACACTTGTGTAGGTTTTATTGCTTTGGATGAAGGCAATCTATCATAGCATAATCGGTTTTGCCCTCCCACGGAGCTTCTCAGGACACTGTTTAATCAGACTTCCTTAAAGCTCCCCTAAAAGAGGTCTCCTCCCTCCCCGATACTGACATCTGAGAAACCCAAGCTGCTCACACAAATTCAAGATATTCATCATCTTTCCCAAATTTATGGCTCTGGCTCCTTTCACACCCTGACATGGGGCATTTTGGTCGGCAATGCCCTCCCAACCCCAGTGCCACCTCTGATCAAATTCCACCTGGTTCCTTAGCTTTCCTTTCCCATAAATATCATCGAAACACTCAGCTTGCCTCCTGATGGAGAGAGTGATTTTATGCAAATTTCCTTACTCATCATTAATTTTAAAGACCAACATTCATCAAGGAAGAAAAACTGTTTCTAAAAGGCACACACATCTTATATAAAACATTGCTTAATACAAGAAGATCTGATTTTGTGGGAACCATTGCTTTGAAGTGGTTTCTATATCCAGTAATTTGATGCTATTCTGTGGGACTTTAAGACAGAGAGCCTCTGCTAGCAGAACTGGGGCGGGCACACAGGGAACTGGAGTGGGCCCGTAGGAAACTGGAGTGGGCACACGGGGAACTGGGGTGGGCACACGGGGAACTGGGGTGGGCACGCAGGTTCAGAGCTGCCCACGTTTGTTCTCAGCTTGCACATCCCAGAATGCATTTTCACATCACGCTGTAACAATTACAGACGCCCTTCACAAGGTAAGGGCTGATAAATGTGCAATTCCGGGGAGTCTGAAATGAACATCTGGAAAGGAGAAGGCAGCCTGGCCAAATGAATGTGCTCATCAGACACACTCGCCAAGGTCTCCCTCATCTGGCAACCTTGTTCCTCCTAGAAGCAGGGGCCCCTCAGAGCCGCCAGAAGTTGGGGAGGGGCCTCCATAGACATCTGGCTGAGGCTTCACTCTGAGCCTCCTTAGCCATCAGCAAAGGGGAGTGGGGATGCAGCGAGCCTGGACCTTCCTGCAGGATGCAGCACGGGGGGGTGCGGGGTCACCTGTGGCCCCCCAAGCCCAGCTGTGGAAACCTGAGTTCATCCCTAACAGGAGCTGGGCTTCCCTTGGGATCTTCTTTCCTGACACACACTCCATGTCAAGGGGTCGCTAACACAGGACTGGCTTGGTGTCAGAAATAGCTGCAACCTTTTTGCACCCCTTCAATATGCAAAATCAGGGAGACAGTCACCGGAACTCTCCACACCCAGCGTCACCTCCACACAGACCCCACAGGGGCCCTCAGTCCAGCCTTGTGGACAAGTCCCCAGGCTGTTATGGTGTCAGAGGCAAAATTACAACAAATCTAGTTTAAAGACTGAATTGGCTTCTATTTGTGATTCTAGACTTGGGAACACCTGGCCTTGGAAGCAGGATGGGTGCAGTCAACTGAGCGATGGTGTCCCATGAACTGAGCGATGGTGTCCTGTTAACTGAGCAATGGTGTTTCGTGAACTGAGTGGGGGTGTCCTGCAAACTGAGCAGGGTTGTCCTGTGAACTGGGTGGGGTGTCCTGTGAACTGAGTGGGGGTGTCCCATGAACTGAGCGATGGTGTCCCGTGAACTGAGTGGGGGTGTCCCGTGAACTGAGTGGGGGTGTCCTGTGAACTGGGTGGGGTGTCCCGTGAACTGAGTGGGGGTGTCCTGCAAACTGAGCAGGATTGTCCTGTGAACTGGGTGGGGTGTCCTGTGAACTGAGTGGGGGTGTCCCGTGAACTGAGTGATGGTGTCCCGTGAACTGAGTGGGGGTGTCCCGTGAACTGAGTGGGGGTGTCCTGTGAACTGAGTGGGGGTGTCCCGTGAACTGAGCGATGGTGTCCCGTGAACTGAGTGGGGGTGTCCCATGAACTGAGTGGGGTTGTCCCGTGAACTGAGCGATGGTGTCCCGTGAACTGGGTGGGGTGTCCCGTGAACAGAGTGGGGGTGTCCCGTGAACTGAGCGATGGTGTCCCGTGAACTGAGCGATGGTGTCCCGTGAACTGAGTGGG
The DNA here is from genome assembly GCF_000001405.40 of Homo sapiens. Taxonomy (NCBI): domain Eukaryota; kingdom Metazoa; phylum Chordata; class Mammalia; order Primates; family Hominidae; genus Homo; species Homo sapiens. The sequence goes on from NC_000002.12 coordinate 242,045,407, forward strand.
GGTGTCCCATGAACTCAGTGGGGGTGTCCCGTGAACTGAGCAATGGTGTTTCGTGAACTGAGTGGGGGTGTCCCATGAACTGAGCGGGGGTGTCCTGCGAACTGAGCGGGGGTGTCCCATGAACTGAGCGGGGGTGTCCCGTGAACTGAGTGGGGGTGTCCCATGAACTGAGCGGGGGTGTCCCGTGAACTGAGCGATGGTGTCCCGTGAACTGAGCGGGGGTGTCCCATGAACTGAGCGATGGTGTCCCGTGAACTGAGTGGGGGTGTCCCATGAACTGAGCGGGGGTGTCCTGCGAACTTAGCGGGGGTGTCCCGTGAACTCAGTGGGGGTGTCCCGTGAACTGAGCAATGGTGTTTCGTGAACTGAGTGGGGGTGTCCCATGAACTGAGCGGGGGTGTCCTGCGAACTGAGCGGGGGTGTCCCATGAACTGAGAGGGGGTGTCCCGTGAACTGAGCAATGGTGTTTCGTGAACTGAGTGGGGGTGTCCCATGAACTGAGCGGGGTTGTCCCGTGAACTGAGCGGGGGTGTCCCGCGAGCTGAGCGATAGTGTCCCGTGAACTGAGGCTCTGCAGATAGAAGAGCCTCTGGAGAGCAGGAATGAAACACAGAAGGCAGGTGGGTCGTTTCCAGGCTACTTTCCTTCAAGGGTTAAAAAATAGAGGGCTTCTGTGTTAGGTGGACTCAGGTTGATTTCAATGGCCTGAGATTTTTTGAAAACTGTCCATTTCCAACGTCAGTTTGGTGATGTGGGCCTTAGCACAGGGGACTCCATTCTGGCTTGGTCGGTTCTGCTGGGCCTAGACCAGGACACTATCCAAAGGCTGGTCCAAAGTTGTTAACCAATTTTGTTTAATAACCGCATTATTGCATACTATGGAGATTAATTTGGTATTAATTTGCAGTAGTTTGCTTTAAGATACGATTTTAATTACATTCTCCAGAACAACCACTGAGCAAGTAAATTAAAAAGGAGTAAAAGAAACATCAAAATAATTAAAATTGTATAAATGAAATATCTGTTTAACATAAAAGTAGGCAGTAAAAGAAGAGTAAAGAAACAAAACAGATACAAGCCATAGAGAAAACAACTGGTAAAACAGTGGACGCAAATCCCACCTTTTCAGTGATCACATTCAGTGGAATCGCGGCCAGAAAGCAAAGGGCGGCAGAACAGGAAGCAGCGCAGCCCAGAGATGGGCTTCCCGCAGCGGAGAGAGATGCCGGGGCGGCGATGCGCTTCCCACAGCGGAGAGAGACGCCGGGGCGGCGATGGGCTCCCCGCAGCGGAGAGAGACGCCAGAGCCGCGATGGGCTCCCCGCAGCGGAGAGAGACGCCGGGGCGGCGATGGGCTCCCCGCAGCGGAGAGAGACGCCAGAGCCGCGATGGGCTCCCCGCAGCGGAGACAGACGCCGGGGCGGCGATGGGCTCCCCGCAGCGGAGACAGACGCCGGGGCGGCGATGGGCTCCCCGCAGCGGAGACAGACGCCGGGGCGGCGATGGGCTCCCCGCAGCGGAGACAGACGCCGGGGCGGCGATGGGCTCCCCGCAGCGGAGACAGACGCCGGGGCGGCGATGGGCTCCCCGCAGCGGAGACAGACGCCGGGGCGGCGATGGGCTCCCCGCAGCGGAGACAGACGCCGGGGCGGCGATGGGCTCCCCGCAGCGGAGACAGACGCCGGGGCGGCGATGGGCTCCCCGCAGCGGAGACAGACGCCGGGGCGGCGATGGGCTCCCCGCAGCGGAGAGAGACGCCGGGGCGGCGATGGGCTCCCCGCAGCGGAGAGAGACGCCGGGGCCGCGATGGGCTCCCCGCAGCGGAGAGAGACGCCGGGGCGGCGATGGGCTCCCCGCAGCGGAGAGAGACGCCGGGGCGGCGATGGGCTCCCCGCAGCGGAGAGAGACGCCGGGGCGGCGATGGGCTCCCCGCAGCGGAGAGAGACGCCGGGGCGGCGATGGGCTCCCCGCAGCGGAGAGAGACGCCGGGGCCGCGATGGGCTCCCCGCAGCGGAGAGAGACGCCGGGGCCGCGATGGGCTCCCCGCAGCGGAGAGAGACGCCGGGGCCGCGATGGGCTCCCCGCAGCGGAGAGAGACGCCGGGGCGGCGATGGGCTCCCCGCAGCGGAGAGAGACGCCGGGGCGGCGATGGGCTCCCCGCAGCGGAGAGAGACGCCGGGGCCGCGATGCGCTCCCCGCAGCGGAGAGAGACGCCGGGGCCGCGATGGGCTCCCCGCAGCGGAGAGAGACGCCGGGGCGGCGATGCGCTTCCCACAGCAGAGACGCGTCAGAGTCCAACGGGGAAAGGTGGAAAAAGACGAACCGTGTAAACAATAATCAAAAGGGACATCGGGTGGCTGAATGCAGACAAAATAGACTTTAAGCCAAAAGTCGTTGTTTGAGACACCAAAAGGACATTTTATAAAAACAAAAAGGTCAATCTCTCCCAAGACGTAACAAATATGGACACATATCACCCAACACCAGAGCCCAAAATATGCAAAGTAAAAACGGACAGAATTAAAGGGAGAAATATATGGACACACATCGCCTAACACCAGAGCCCCAAAATACACAACGTAAAAAACGACAGAACTAAAGGGAGAAATAGACAATCTGACAGTGAACGTTGGTGACTTCACTGGTCCTACCTTGAATGAGTGATGGAGCCACTAGGTAGAAGATCAACAGACAGGAATGAACCCCGTGAACCAACCAGTGGATCCAGCATATGAGCCTCTGCCAAACGGTCCACGCAGAGCCGCAGCCACGTTCCTCTCGAGAGGAGAGCGAGACATTCTCCAGGGTGGACCACACACCAGAGCCTGAAGAAGCCTCAGGAAATGGAGAAGGACTGAGATGCGAAAGTTATGCTCCCTGAACAAAACGGAATGATAGGAGGAATCAATACCAGGAAGGAACTTGGGAAATTCAAAAACAGGTGAAACAATGCAAATAACCAAAGAATTCAAGAACACAATTTAATAAAATTATAAAATAACTGAATACTAATTAAAAGGCAAACACAAGATACTAAAATTTATGGGAAATAGTACTTAGGAGAAAATTTAAAGGTAAAAATGCCTGTATTTAAAAAGAAATATTTCAAGTCAATAACGTAATCTTCAATCTTAAGAAATGAGAAGAATAAACACAACTCATGTGCAGCAGACACAAGGAAGGAAATAAAGATACGATGGGGGGTAAATTAAATAGAGAATTAAACAACAGTAGCAACAATTCTTGAAACCAAAAGTTAGTTTTTGAAAACCTCAGCAAATTTAACAAACCTTTAGATAGGCTGACCAAGGAATAATAAAGATTAAAATTACTAAAATCAGCAATGAAATAAAGGGCATTACTACTGACCTTAGGAAATGAGAAGGATTATAAGCAAATATAATAAATAATTGTATGCTAAAAATTAGATAAACTAAAAGAAGTTGACAAATTTCTGGAAAATCTCCAAAAGAAATAGAAAATCTAAATAGAGCAATAACAGTAAAGAGATTGGATTAGTAATCAATAAACTTTCCACAAAGAAAAGGCCAGCCCCAGATAGCTTCATGCATGAATTCTACTAAATATTTAAAGAAGAATTAATACCAGTCACTCAAAACATGTCAAAAGGCCAAAACCAAAACAGAAGAAGAGAGAATAGTCTCAACTCATTCATTCCATAGTCCCAGGATTACCCTGGTACCAAAACTGCACAGAGAACTCACAAGATAATAATCGATATCCCTTATGAATAGAGATACAAATATTGGCAAAAATATTAGCAAATTGAATCCAGCAATATATAAGAAGGAATTATACACCATGAATGACTGGGATTAACTTCAGGAATGCACAGTTGATTTAACATAAGGAAACAAAGCAATACACTGTATTAAAAGAATTTTAAAAACCATAATAATCTCAAAAGATGCAAAAAATTCATTTGACAAAATCCAACATCTTTTTAAGGATAAAAGATGAATGAGCTAAACATAGAAGGAAACTTCCTCAATCTGATAAAATCCTTCTAAGAAAAGCCCACAGCACACTTAAATTTGAAAGACCAAATGCTTTCCTCTTAAGATCAGGAACAGTACAAGGACGTTCACACTCTCAACTTCTATTGAACATTGTCATCGATGTTCCTGTGAGGCAATCAGGCAAGGCAATGAAATGCAAGTCATCTGGGTTGGAAGAAAGAAGTCAAACTCCTGCGATAGTTTGCTGAGAATGATGGTTTCCAGCTTCATCCATGTCCTTGCAAAGGACATGAACTCATCATTTTTTATGGCTGCATAGTATTCCATGGTGTATATGTGCCGCATTTTCTTAATCCAGTCTATCATTGTTGGATGTTTGGGTTGGTTCCAAGTCTTTGCTATTGTGAATAGTGCCACAATAAACATACGTGTGCATGTGTCTTTATAGCATTAGGAGATATACCTAATGCTAAACGACGAGTTAATGGGTGCAGCACACCAACATGGCACATGTATACATATGTAACAAACCTGCACATTGTGCACATGTACCCTCAAACTTAAAGTATAATTAAAAAAAAAAAGAAGTCAAACTCTATTATGGATGACATGAACTTGTATATGGAAATCTCTAGAAACACACACACAATTTTAATGAATAAATGACTTCAGAAATGTTGCTGGGTACATGAACAATATACAAAAATCAACTGTAGACCTATATGATGGCAATAAAAATTTCAAAAATCAAATTAAAACAATTTCATTTACAATAGCATCGATGAATCAAATAGGAAGAAATATAACAAAAAAGTTATGACTTGTTACTGTAAACTACAAAACACTGTTTAAAAAATTAGATACATAGAATGATATTTTATGCTTATGGATTGGAAAACTTAACACTGTTAAGGTCAAATTGATCTGCAGATTCAACAAAATCCCTTTCAAAAATTTCAACTCAGCTGCTTTACTTCTAGAAATTGACTAGTTAATCCTAAAATTCATATGGAAATATAAGGAGCTACAAACACCAAAAACAATCTTAAAGAAAATTTTAAACAAAGTTGTTGGATTCGTGCTTCATGATTTCAAAGTGGCACAGCCAAGCTACAGTAGTAAAAACAGTATGACAGAGGCATAAAGATAGATACATACATCAATGAAATTGAACTGAAAGTCTAGAAATAAGCCCTTATATTTATGGCCAATTGATTTTTGACAAGTGTGCCAATGGAATTCAAGGAGGAAAGAATGGTCTTTACAACAAATGGTACTAGGACAACTGGATATCCACCTGCAAAAGAATGTAATTTGATTTCTACTTCACACCATATACAATTTTAATTCAAAATGAATCATAGGTCTAAAAGTAAGGTTAAAACTATAAAACTTTTAGCAGAAAACATAGGAGTACATTCTGTGTGACCTTGGATTTGGCGATGATTTATTAGAACTGACACCAAAAGCACAAGCAACAAAAGACACATCAGATAATTTGGACTTTATCACAATTTTGTAAATATTCAAAATAAATTTAAAGATTATCTTGCAGTTTCAAAAGACACCCTCAAGTATGTGTAAAGACAACACACAGAATGGGAGAAAATATTTGCAAATCACAAATCTGATAAAGCACTGTTATACAAATATATAAAGAATGCTAATAACCAGTGATAAAAAGAAATACAAGCAAATTAAATGAACAAAAACTAGATAGTTCTCCTAAAAAGATATACAGATGACCCATAAGCCTTTGAAAATGCTCAAAATTATTAATTAGGAAAATGCAAATTAAACCACAATAAAACATCACTTCACAACAACTACATTGACACGAGAGAGAGAGAGAGAGAGAGAGAGAGGGGTGAAAATATCAGAAGCTTCAATCATTGTTAATGGAATTGGAAAATGCAGCCACTTTGGAAAACAGTTTGGCAGATCCTCAAAACTGCAACAGAGTTACCATATAATTCAGCTATTTCATTCCTGAATGTATACTTAGGAGAACTGTGGTAATATTCACACACAAAAGCTAGTACACAAATGTTCATAGCAACATTTGGTATTGATCATAATACCAAAAAAAGGAAACACATCAAATGTTCAACAACTGATAAATGGAGAACCAAAATGTGGTATATTCATACAACAGATTATTATCAGCAATAAAAAGAAATGAAAAAATGTTGTAAAATAGTTGCATCATCAAAACATCACTTTAAATGAAATAAACCAAAGATTCTATTTACATGAAATGTTAAGATTCCATTTGCATGAAATGTCTATAATCAGCAAATCCACAGAGGCAGAAAGTAGATTTGTGGTCGCCAGGGCTTGGGGGAGAGGGAGGAAGGGGAATGACTGCTGTTGAGTCCAAGGTTCATTTTAGGATGATTTAAATGTTGTAAAATTATATAGCAGTGATGGTTGGACATCTCTATGAATACACTAAAAATGTTGAAGTGTATACTTGAAAGTGATGACGATCGTGGTCTGTGAATTACATCTTAACAAGCCTATAATTTAACAGAAATTTGCAGGTAGTCACTATTATTGGAATCATAACATAGAGAAGAACAATGAATAAGCTTCAAGAAACTGTGTTATGAATATGAATCTGGAACAAAGAATGAACGACGAGAACACATGGACACAGGAAGGGGAACATCACACACCGGGGCCTGTTGTGGGGTTGGGGGAGCGGGGAGGGATAGCATTAGGAGATATACCTAATGCTAAATGACGAGTTAATGGGTGCAGCATGCCAGCATGGCACATGTATACATATGTAACAAACCTGCACGTCGTGCACATGTACCCTAAAACTTAAAGTATAATCATAATAAAATTAAAAAAAAAAAAGACTGAAATACAGAGCCTGCAGCCTGAGTTCTAAGCTCCATTATATTTTGGCAGCCAATGACATACTGAACATCCAGTGGTGATTCTCCACCGTGTCTCTTCTGGACTCAAGGGTAGCCAATGATAGATACCGAACATCGGGTGGCAATTCTCTGCCGTGTCTCTTTTGGACGCAAGGGTGTGATGGGGATTTGCTGGGAACTTGTGCTTCCTCCATGGGTTAATGAGGGGCTAGTCATTTACAGACTGGTCGGGGGCAGTGCCTGACACTCAGGGGCCTGGGGCAGTAGGGAGGGTCAGATTTTGACATTTTAGGGAGTTTGGTATTGACTTGAGGTGAGAGAGGTCGCCGAGGACTGCGATGGTCGCTCTTGTATTTGAACAAAATGACTGCTGCCAAGGTGTAGGACTGATGGAGGGAGACCCTCAGTGTGGACAGCACTGCCCCAGACGCCTTGCAGCGTCACAGATGGGCACTGCTGCAGTCGCAAGGGGGTACCCACCACTGGCAGGAGCAGGAAAGGGCAAAGCAGGCAGCATCCAGGGCTCTCGTGACCAGGAGACAAGGAGAATGGAAAGGTGGTCACTGGGATTCTCGCCTGGGTGGCTCCAAAACTGGGGGCGTGGTTAACTAAGATCTGGAATTGGAGGGAAGAACCACATTTAAACATAAATGATCTTTTTAAATATAAGGATGATGATGATGACAGTGTGTGTCTGTTTTGATGCATGTCACATTAAAATCTGGGGGTCTGTGAGCCATGAAGTTGACAATTTCCAATAAGCATAAAGTGTGTTTCCTTAGCTGAGAAAATTATTTACAATAAAGGGAATGCTAATGTATGTTTCATTGCTATGTGCAAGGAAGCTGAAGTTACTGATACATAATTTCTCCCAAGGAGAATTGTGGCTTCAGTGGAGCCGAGAGATGTATCCTTGGGAAACCAGCATATTTAGATACAGCTTAAGAAACAGGTGCCCCTGAAAACACAACCTGAGCCCACTTGGAGACATGAGCAGCCTTTGACTATTTGGAGGCCCAAATAGACCTCCAGCAGCAGGGATGGGATGGGGCCCTCTGTGGAGCTTCGAGGGAGAGATATGGGCCACAGAGTGTAGATGGCTCTGTGAAGACAGGAGGTGTTTGGAGAAAATAAAGGACAAAGTGGACAGAGGGATGGAGACACAGAGAGACAGATATACAGACACACAGACAAGATAGAAGGACAGGGGACAGAGGGGCTGGTTCTTCCCCCAACTCTTTGTTCCCTCTTCTTCTTTTGCAATGAGCTAAGCCATCCTCTTAAACTATAAAATAGTTGTCACGCATCCTGCAAAACTTTTGTTCCTTAAATTATGTTAGGGTGTAATTTTCTCACATCTCAGTCTTTCCAAAGAATATTTACTCTCCTTAGAAATTAATTACAAGTCCTTTTTATAGAGACTACTCCCTAGTTGAAAAAGTATTGCTGAAAAATTATATGCTGTCATTGACTTATGACTGATCAATTGATGTCATTTGACAATTATAATTCATACCGTATTGCCACTTACAGCTAAGTGTAGTTATTTACTTAGCACTAAATTGTTTTGAAGGTTACTTAGAGCAGTACCAATTTATTGTATGGGATGGTATAATGGCATTCGATGGCATAAAATACTACATGCCTTTATCATCCTTGTTATATTTTATTACAACACTTAATTTTCCATTGAAATATGTATGACAGCAATTTTGCTGCATAAAAGAGAATTTTGTATTTTAAAAGTATGACTTTCCCTTGAGAGATAACGTAATGCCTTTGAACGCGGCAGGAGCCCTGCACGATGGCTGTACATGTGGAGGCAGCGGGTGAAGCCTCAATCCTGTCACCTGCTCCGTAAACAGGCACTCGATGGGCTGGAGCACACACGAAGCTTCTCTGCAAACTCTGGCTTCCCACTCGGATATTCAGCAGCACACGGCCATTGTTAATGAGATGCTAAATGTTCTACCCTCAGAGCTGTGCCCCTCGATGACAGAGAAGGAATAGAAAGTAAGGTTTGATTGAATGGCATTTAGTTATCCGTGTTCGCCATGTTTAAACACCTCAGGCAGGGGTGGAGGGGGCTCCCTCTTCCTTTTTACACTTTGACTTTTTGGCTTGGACACTTGTGGCTCTGTGACAGTCCTGAGTGGCTTCATTTCTGGTGACTGCCTGTGGACGTGCTCCTGCCAGGCTCACCTCAGAGGAAGCAGAGGTCGCTGAGGTGTGCAGTCACTAGAGCTGTGGATGACTTCAGCCCCCAGGGCCCAGAGTACATGTTTGCCAAAATGTGGAGGCAACATGCATGGCCCTGAACACCAACTGAGAGTAAGACGGAGACCAAGAGCAACCAGCAGGAGTTTGACCTCTGGATCGAGCCATGCCTGAAGCCTCCCCTTTTTGAACTGTCCAGTTAATGAGAGTTCATTTTGTCCCTTTTTTGCATAAGTGCGTTTTAGCTGATTTCCCTCACTCGTAACCAAAGCTTTTTGATGCAGAGATGGTACTGGATGTGGGTCTGTTCATATCACAAGCTTCAAAGGGGCAATGAGCAGAGTTAAGTGTCTCCTGGCTGGAGAGGGTTGAAGCTTTGTCATGAGGTAGGAAGACTCCTGCCAGACCTCAACCTGGCAGGTGATAGCCCGTGGGGATCCCGACAGCTATGCATTCCCAGAGAAAGGGCAGCTCAGGGGAGTTTGTGGTTTGGAGAGAAATGGTGCGTCCAGCTGATGTCAGAGGAGACAAGGACGAGCTCCAGCCCCAGTTAGGTTCCCGGAGTGCACAGCCCACACTCCTGGGTGTGAGCAGGACGGGAGCCTGGAGCCAGGGCCAGCATTCACCCACAGTTAGGTTCCGGGAGTGCGTGGCCCACACTCCTGGGTGTGAGCAGGACGGGAGCCTGGAGCCAGGGGTCCTTCCAGTCCATGACAAGGAGGCTGGGCTTGCTCTGAACAGAGCCGGAGGCCAGACTGGCTTGAATGGGGGAAGAGGAGCAGCGGCCGGAGAAGTGTGGGGGTTGGGCGGGGTCGGAGGGCTTCCGAAGGGCTGACCGCATCTCTTAGATAACAAGCGGGAACAACGCGGGACCCACTAGGAGCAGGCGTTTGTCCCGGCCTTGGAAGCGGTGCTGGGACCCTTACTCAGGTCAGCAGGCCCGGAAGGCCATGGCCCCCATGGCTCCTGACTCAGAGCTGGACGAGGTTCTACGGTTCCAGGGTAGGATCGGTCCCTCCCACCATTTGTGCAGAGCCAGGGGCCTGCGAGACCCAGAAGAAAGCTGTGCCCTTGCTCCTGGCGGCTTGTCCCAAGTGGGCGGCTCTGGGCCTGGTCGCCCAAGGGCTTTGCGGCTGACATCCTTCTCTCCATGGCGCCCTGGGACCTGCCCTGCTCAGCGCCATTCCCTAGGTAACGGGGGGACCTGGGGTGTACTGCCAGGAGCAGGCGGAGGAGCAAGCCCCCTCTTCCCAGGCTCCACGCTTTAGGCCCTGACTGGGAGTGGTGCTCCCCGGCGTGGCCGTTGTCTCCTCAGCCTGGGGAGCAGGCCCTCTCTCCGGATGGCCGAAGCGTGTCCCTCAGAACTAAGCTCTGGCCAGGCAGACCTCTGTCCCCATGTCTGTTTATGAACCTGCACTGGGACCAGAAGTTAAGAATCCAAGCATTCAAAATAAAAGCCGTAAAAAAAATTCCTAAACTTAAGAAACTGCACATTTTCTGGAACGCACAGTTAGGACGGGTTTATGAGGGGCAGTGTAAAGCGTGTTGCAAAGCCCCCAAAACCTAAAAAGGACCCAGAAAGTATTGACTGCATCCTCCTGGATATAATCTATGTGCGTTGCAAGCGCTAACACCGCCTGGCCAGCGAGAATGGCTGCTTGCACATCCTGTGGGCTTTATGATTTACTCTCATAGAAAAGACACACATATCTAAAAACACATGTCACCAGCAGAGTTAATCACCTGTTGGACACACAATGCGCCGCACACCCCAGATCTGGAGCCGCCTCCAGGTCTGCAGAGCCTGGCGGGGTCACAGGCATCCATCTCTTCAAATGACGCTTTCTCATAATTCAACAGCCTTCAGCCTATGAACAATAATTTAGTTTTTGTAAAGAATAAAAAACACATCTTTTTATAAATTTGTTGAAAGGTAAAGTTCATTTTTTTCTCATTCCCCTCTTTTCTTTCCATCTCTTCTTGATGATTATTTTTTGAGGTTACTTTAATCCAGGATGAAATACAGCAATTAGAAAATAACATGCATTAAATCTTACAGTATATTAGAGAAAATCGTCAAAATTAATAAAAGCAGAAAGAGTCCTCTTTTGTAAAGAAAAAAATGAAGAAACTAATAGTCTAGAAATATGCGTATGCATTTAGTGCATAAAAATGGAAAATGGAGGGTAATTCCGTGCAAGCTGGACACCTGTATTTGAATAAGTTTAGTAATGAAAAAGGGCCAACCTATTTTATTTTAAGATGAGGATTCAGGGGGACTGGAGGGCCGTGGGCACCTGCGTCTTCCAGAGGCAACCCTGGAATGAGTTTGTTTCCATTTCTTGCAGCAGCTGGCTTAGCTAACCACACAATCTGAAAGATGCCTGAAGGCAGTTAAACAGTCCTCACCTATTCAGCCGTAATTCACCCAATTAGGTGACAGGTCCGACCCGAAGGACCTGGAGAGGCTCTCACAGTCATCACATCTTCTTTTTGGCCAGTTGAGAGCTGGCTCCGACTCGGAGGCGTGGGGGGCCCTGCACAGACCCAGGGGAGCTGCTGGGATGGAGCCCACCTCAGGGGTCTGGGACGTTGCTTCAGACTCGCCTTTCAACGGAACATGCTGGGCTGACAGCCTTGTGGTTTCCCTGACTTTGAATCGGGTCTGTTTGGCATATTTGCTTAGAGACCTAGTCTTGAAGAGTTCGATGGTTTGGCTTCAGAAATTGTTTTAGAATATTTTCGAATAGGACAGAGTGATCAAGGGAAAAATGCTGAATAGGAAACACTACCATGTAAATGTGGAATCTTTTAAAGAGCTAAAATATTAAAGTACTGAAACAATATGAAGATGTTTGATTTACTTATTTTCACACATACAAGATGTGTGTGTATTTGTGAGTGTGTATCTGTGTGCATTCCTGTGTGTGTGCACCTGGGTGTGCACACCTGCGTACCTCTAAGCACCGTTCTAGCTGTGGGGAAATAGCAGTGAACAATAGTCTTGCCCTCCTAAAGGGAGAGAGAAATAGGAGAAACGGGTAAGGAGCCTGGTACGGGTCGAGTGATAAACGCTGTGGAGAGCGAAGCAGAGGGGCTGGGGTCCTGGAACCCCAGGCAGGGTCCACACTGAAGTTTTAAATTTAGGGGATCGGGAGGGTTATTTTGGTCAAATAGGAGGGGAACCTGCAGGAGCTACTGTGCTCTGGACGAGGAATGAGGCTGGCAGGCCTGGCCGGGGCATCCAGCTCTGTGGACCTGAAGCTTCCGTGACGGTGGCACTCATTTAGGGATGACAAGCCTTAGAGCCAAAGGTGGAGGTGAGCGCGAGACCAGGTTGAGCAAAGCCCCATCAGCCACGAGGCTTCCTAGAGGGCAGGGGGACTGGAGGACACAGGAGCATGAGGGCAGGAGCCCTGAGAACAAGGGGCCATGCTGGCAGGCGAAGATGTGGCTGATTGTCTGGGAAGGGGAGGCCAGTGCTGGGTGAGGGCGTGAACCTGCGTGCCCTTATATTTTGTGGTAGCCATATTTACAAAAACGAAACAGTAACCGGTAAAATTCCTGCTGCCGATGTATTTTACTGAACTCAGTATATCAGAACAACTATCCACTCACCCTGAAATCAATGCGACACATCTTTGGACATTTGAGACTCTATGCCACATACCAAGTCTCTAAAATCCAACTTGTATTATACATCTATAGCCCCCGCCCCATTCAATCCAGGGCAGCATTGCAGTGCCGTGGCCCCCAGCAGCCCACATCAGAGCCTGGGTGCTGACGTCCTGGCAGGGGGAACTGGAGGCGCCAAAAGGAAATGCCTTCTTCAGTAGGGGAGTGTCCCCCGCCCCACTGCTCTGGGAACAGCTGCAGGCAGGTTCCCTCTCTCCAAGCACTCTCAGACAGTGCTGTGATGAGACCCTTGTCACAGGTATTTTTGGGGACTCTGTGTCTTCTAGGAAAGGCTCCCGGGTCGTGGTCTCCCTGACAAGAGTCCTGCACTATGCAGGTTGCTCTCCTGATCCTCAAATGTGTCCTGGAGCTTCCCCTGGACCCTGGACACCCCAGCACATGGGTGAGCCGATGTCCAATGCAGGCCACGCACGAAATGCATCCACAGTGGGAGCCAGTGGTCATCCTGGTCAGGGCCAGCCTGCAGTTACCCCTGCCTGGCAAATAAGACATGGAGGTCGGGAGGGCTGGTTCCCTACTCCTGGTCATGTCACGGGACATTCTGGAACTGAGGCTCCATGTCTAGAAGCAGTGCCTGCTGGTGTCCCTGTGAGCTTGGGGGCCCATCTTCCAGGCCAGTCCTTGGTTCCTGCATAATCATTATGATACTGCCTTTCTTCTTCATAATTTTATGGAGGCTGACTTTATTTTCATTTCTCTGGTATATTTTTTAAAAACAAAAAGCAAAGTAGAAAGAATAATGTAAGACAAATGCCATTTGTTTTCTACCCGATAATATTCTGTAATAATTGTAACTCTCTTTTAACAAAATAAAAAACATGAACTGTTGCAGGCAAACCCCTCTGTCACCCTCCACTGTCTTTGCCATTTCTGATCTTTGCCAGAATTGTCTTTTAAAATTTTATTAGTGGTGAAATATGACAGTTTCCCACCTAAGATCAGAAGCAGCAGAGGGCTGCCTGTGCCCACCAGAGCCGTTCACGATGGTGCCAGGAATCCTAGTCGGCTTACTCAGACAAGCAAAAAACACATCATGTTTGGAAAGAAAAGAGTGAGATTATCATTACTCACAGAGGGCATCATCATCTGTAGAAAATTCTGCATAACATGTAAACCAAAAATAAATTCTAAGCCCCCCAACAATCTAAACAGACTCCTCCCCTTGGCCAAGGGCATTCCAGAGTTAACCTGAAAAAATAGCTCAGCCCATGATGGGAATGGGGTCGACGAGCCTCGTTATTCCCTCTCCCATTTGGAATTCAGGAAAAGCTGACTAGCATTAATATCAACACAGATCTCTTAAGTCTGAGAAGAAACATTTACAGTCTATACCTGGAGGCTTCATTTGCATGATAAAACCTTGGTCTCTACAATCCCCTATCATAACCCAGACACTCCCTTCTATTGATAATAACCAATTGCCAATCAGAAAATCTTTAAATCTTAAATGACCTGGAAGTCCCCCACTTAGAGTTGTCCCACCCTTCGAGATGAAACCAACGTACATCTTACACGTGTTTGATTGATACCTCATGTCTCCCTAAAAGGTAGAAAACCGAGCTGCCCCCGACCACCTGAGGCACATGTTCTCGGCATCTCCTGAGGCTGCGTCACAGGACATTGGCCACTCTCTTTTGGCTCATAATAAATCTCTTCAAATACTTTACAGAGTTTGACTCTTTTCATTGACACAAAAAAATGCCTAGAACTAAGAGGGAAGTTACCAAGGCTGAGGATACACAGAACAACTGTTTCTATAAACTTGCAATGAACAATTGGGAATTTACATTTAAATATCATTTATAAAGTCATCAAAATATGGAACATTTTGATAAATATTTGACAAATATTTTTAAGACTTGTAAAATGAAAACTAGAAAATATTGCTAAGATAAGTTTTAAAAGACCTAAATAAACAGAGAGGAAAACCATGTTCATGGACCAGACGACTGGATATTTGGATGGTGTCTCTCTCCTTAAATTAATCTGTTCAAAGCAATCCCAATAAAATCTCAGTAGGTTTTTTTTTTTGTAATTAACATCAATTTTCAGCTGCTTCTTAAATTCATAGAAAATAGCCAACAGGCTGAACAAAACTGGAAGGCTTACCTCATCTGATTTCAAGACTTCCTCTAAAGCAATCGCATTTGGTACTGTGGTATTGGCCTCAGATAGACACTCAGACCAAAGAGACAAAACAGAGCTCAGAAACAGGCCCATAGGTCCCATAGGTGTAGAGCTGACTTTTCAGCTGGGATGCCAGTGACTCTTGAGAGGAGCATGTGTGTGTTTTGTTTTTGCTCCTGGGATATTTCCTTTATTTCTTCTAAGCCTGGAAATGAAAAACACAATCAGGATCTAGTTAATCTATAGCAGGAAGTTTCTTAGAATATCTGGTCTAAAGGCGTAGAAAATCTGCATGGTTACTCATTCCTGAGTGTCTGCAGGGCTCTGGGCATTCAGCCAGGTGCTTTGCATGCATCTTCTATTGAATCCTCCCAACAACTCTGAGGACATTTCTGCAACCAATCTTTTACAGGAGCCCAGAGACTTGTGCAGCTCGTTCTCCATCACATCCCAAACCTGTGTCAGAGCAGAGAGTTGGTGTCAGGCCTGCGACCTCTCAGTAGCCCCAGATGGACTCATTTCAATGATTAACAAGTTCAAAGAATCCCAGACAGGAGATCAGCTACTAGAATCTCAACAATTAACACCCTCACCTGGGTGCTTCATTTAAATGTTTATAGCCTTGCAGTAAAGCTGCACAGGAAGGTGGGGCAAAATCAAGCCTGCCAAACATAATTTTAAAAAGACCCCAGGAGATGTGTTTGAGGCTGACAGATTCTTCTGTGCACCCAAATTGCCTGTGAGCCCGTGATTTCCCGATCTCCATGGCATGAAGGGAGGCCTGCTCTTCTTAGATGCTTCAACAAGAGACTGGTGAAGGAAGATTAGGCGTGGAAATGGATCCTGTGTCTCAGTGGCCTTGAATATTTGAGTTGAAAACATAATAAAACAAAAGAAGAGGGCTCCTCTCAGCATCCCCATCTTCCTTTTCTTACCTGGGATGAAGGGTGTGATGTGCATTAACAAGAAACAGGAGGACCCTCCCCAGACACACCGAGGTGGGGGGTGCAGTATGAGGGTGTCACAAGGACCCTCCCCAGACACACCCAGGTGGGTGGTGCAGTACCAGGGTGCCACGAGGACCCTCCCCAGAGGCACCCAGATGGGGGGTGCAGTACCAGGGTGCATGGCTCATTTTTTTATTTTTTATTTTTTAGTATTTATTGATCATTCTTGGGTGTTTCTTGGAGAGGGGGATGTGGCAGGGTCATAGGATAATAGTGGAGAGAAGGTCAGCAGACAAACAAGTGAACAGAGGTCTCTGGTTTTCCTAGGCAGAGGACCCTGCGGTCTTTCGCAGTGTTTGTGTCCCTGGGTACTTGAGATTAGGGAGTGGTGATGACTCTTAACGAGCATGCTGCCTTCAAGCATCTGTTTAACAAAGCACATCTTGCACCGCCCTTAATCCATTTAACTCTGAGTGGACACAGCACATGTTTCAGAGAGCACCGGGTTGGGGGTAAGGTCATAGATCAACAGCATCCCAAGGCAGAAGAATTTTTCTTAGTACAGAACAAAATGGAGTCTCCTATGTCTACTTCTTTCTACACAGACACAACAACAATCTGATCTCTCTTTCTTTTCCCCACATTTCCCCCTTTTGTTTTTGACAAAACTGCCATCGTCATCATGGCCCGTTCTCGATGGTCGCTGTCTCTTCGGAGCTGTTGGGTACACCTGCAGAAAGGCTGTCACTTCACACTTGGAAGATTGCACAGCGGCCAGGCAGAGGGGCTCCTCACTTCCCAGACGGGGCGGCCGGGCAGAGGTGCTCCTCACCTCCCAGACGGTGTGGCGGCCCGGCAGAGGCTGCAATCTCGGCACTTTGGGATGCCAAGGCAGGCGGCTGGGAGGTGGAGGTTGTAGTGACCCGAGATCACTCCACTGTGTGTGATGGAGTCTCACTCTGTCGCCCAGGCTGTAGTGCAATGGTGCGATTCTGCAACCTCTGCCTCCTGGGTTCAAGCAATTCTCCTGCCCCAGCCTCCTGAGTAGCTGAGATTACAGGCATGCACCACCACACCCAACTAATTTTTATTTTGTAATTTTAGTAGAGACAGGGTTTCACCATGCTCATCTCAAACTCCTGACCTCAGATGATCCACCCACCTTGGCCTCCCAAAGTGCTGGGATTACACAGGTGTGAGCCACTGCACCTGGCCTCATTTCTTAAATTTTTCAGTTATGATTTTTCTAACACATTCAGCCTCATATGATGTCCTAAGGCAATGTGCACCAGATAATTTATTGATTAGAAAATGTAGTAAAATGTTTTACTATATTTCAGAATAAGTAGATTCACAATGATAAAGTAAAAATATCAGGAATGGTCAATATTTATTTCACTAAACATCTTCTAGGAAATAGTATCTTGCAATTTGTAAACCTCGAATGTCTGAGACAGGTCTCAGTCCATTTAGAAAGTTTATTTTGCCAAGATTGAGGACACGTGCCTGTGACCCAGCATCAGGAGGTCCTGACGACATGTGCACAAGGTGGTCGGGGCACAGCTTGGTTTTGTACATTTTAGGGAGACAGGAGACATCGATTCATATATGTAAGATGTACATTGGATCCATCCAGAAAGGTGGGGACAACTCGAAGCAGGGAGGGGGCTTCCAGGTCACAGGAACGTAAGAGACAAATGGTTGTATTCTTTTGAGTTTCTGATGAGCCTTTGCAAAGGAAGCAATCAGATATGATTTTGTCTCAGTGAGCAGAAAGATGACATTGTCTAGGGTGGGAGGCAGGTTTGCTCTGAGCAATTCCCAACTTGACTTTTCCCTTTAGCTTAGTGATCTTCCGGCCCCCGAATTTATTTTCTGTTCACAAATTGATACTATTGTTGACCGAAAAACCCCCCAAACTCTGTAAAATATGTAAAGAAGTTTCTTCTAAGCCAATATGAGTGACCATGGCCCGGGGAACAGTCTCAAGAGGTCCTGAGAAAGTGTGCCCAGGGAGTTGGGTCACCGCTCGGTTTTATACATTTTAGGGAGACAGACGTTACAGGCAAAGACATTGATCAATACGTGGAAGGTGTAAATTGCTTCTGCCTAAAGAGGTGGGACATCTCCAACTTGGGGTGCTTACAGGTCACAGGTGGATTCAAAGATTTTCTGATTGACAATTGGGTGAAAGAGCTAAACATTTTTTAAAGACTTGAAGTCACTAGAAAGAAAGGCTTGGGTTAAGATAAGGGGGTTGTGGAGACCACGGTTCTTGTTATGCAGATGAAGCCTCCCAGGTCACTGTCTTCAGAGAGAATAGAAGGTGAATGTCTCTTTTCAGACTTTGAAAGTGTCAGACTCTCATTTAATCTCCCTTAGATCCAGGAAAGGCCTAGAAAGGAAGGCCTGGCTGCATTAATGGAGATTCTCTACAGATGCAAATTTCCCCCACAAAAGATGGCTTTGCAGGGCCGTATCAACATAGGTCAAAAAAATACAGTTTGGAGTAAAATATTTTGCTTTCCTACAGGGTCTTCAGGAACTGGATATTGTGCCAGCCAGTTTTCTGTAATTAGTCATCTCAGAACAATTTTTCTCCCTGAGCTGCGGCCCCTCCCAAGGCTCAGCTTGGAGGACACCAACAATGAGGACACCAACAATGAGCACCTCCTGGGCAGCCCTGAGGACCCACACATGGAGGCCGCACAGCCCAGCCCCTACCCTGAGGCACACCGTCTACACAAACCCCGGCCTGGACCCAGCCTCATGGCCCACAGGCAGGTCCTGAGGACACCCACAGCATTGCTGTGAGCCACTTCCTGCACAGTGCGCGGGCAGGATCAGGACATAGCTGCTGGAGCCTCCACCCTGAAAACCCCACTCTTCCCAGAGCCCAGAGGCCAGGGCAGGTCCCCAGCTGTGCACAGCGCTGTTTAACCCAGGCCCTTGCTCTTTGAGCTCAGCCTCTGGGAGAGTTTAACACAGAAAAGGCCCTGCCCTGGCCTCCTAAGATGAAAATCTAGGTGGGGACGGGGGGCACAAGTGTAGTTAAACACCTGTGAGCAAAGCACTGCTGTGGATGGATTTGCGGGGAACACATTGACACCCTACCCTTTCCACACAGAGAAACACAAACATACTCATGCACACTCACACACATGCACACTCACATGCATGCACACTCACACGCATATACACATTCACACACACGCACAATGTTCACACTCACACGCACAATGTTCACACTCACACATGCACATAATCACACATGCATTCACACTCACACGCATACACACACATGCACACACACCCATATTCACCCATACACACACTGACACACATGCTGAAACACACCCACACATGCATACACACAATGCATGCATACTTACAAGTACACACATATACACACACATTTGCATACATACAGTTGCATGCAGAGAGCTTCACACATGCACACACAGGCATTCACAAGCTGTCCCACACATGCACATACACTCTCACTGACACTCTCAGACACACATGCATACTCGCGCTCACACTCATGCACACAACACAAGCCACGCGAGCAGCAGCCAAGAAGCACATGGCGTCAGGTGCGCCCTCCCTCACCTATGACCCAGCCAGGCGGCATCCTGCATTTTAAATACAACGGCTCCCCCCAGCCCTTCAGGTCTTCTTCTCACCGATCAAGTGTGTGTTCACGCGTGTGTTCCTGACATCCCCTTTGGCATGGGGCTGTGCTTCCAGCCTGCAGAATCTGCATGTGGCTGGTGAGAGCGATCCCTGGGGACATTGCCAGGAAGCCTCCCACAGCCGGGAAGCAGCGCTGAGGTATAGGAGGGAGCTTCTCTGGGGGCCTGGAAGGGTTAACTGAGACTGTTAGGCGTGCTCTCAAATGATTACACAAATCACTGTTGTAAATCACAATATCCCTGACTTTGGAATTTTTATCTTGTTTTCAGGTAAAGATCATCTTGTTCTGCTGAAAGTCAAAAGCAGCCCCTATTGTTGTTTTTTAAATAACTCTCTAATTAAAACCAAACAATTCTGTAGACTCTTCCATAGGAAATATATTCATGAGGCTGATGCTTATAGAAAGTTTTATCTTGTGAGTTATTAAATAAAAATGCATTCAAATTTCAAGAACTGTTTATTGGGCCGCAAGCATAGTTAATTTTATCAAATATTGAAGACGTTTTAAAATGGCACATGCTGGGTTCAGGTTGCGGTTCCAATGATCCACCTATGGTACGTGTTTATCTACCATAAACACAGATTCTTGCATTTGAAACAGAACACTGAAAGTGAAACTTAGCAGAAAACCAAACGTATCAACGTCCTTTGAGAAAGAATAAGCACAGGGGTGTGGAGGAGAGCCGGGCCAGCCTCAGACTCAGCCTCCCTGGAGCCCGAGACGTCCACTTCTGTGAGGTCCCGAGGGAAGCGGATGTGGTCCTCTTCTAGCTAGCCACATTTTCCTTTAAGTAAAAAGGCAACTGACAATCTTTCTCAAGTCATCAAAAACTCAGGGAAGATCCATCCAAACAATAACGACAAAAATCAACCAAAGAAATAAGCCAAGAAAAAGGGTGGCAAAGTTAAAATTTACTTCAACAGGCTGGGCGCAGTGGCTCACACCTGTAATCCTAGCACTTTGGGAGGCCAAGACAGGCGGATCACCTGAGGGCGGGAGTTTGAGACCAGCCTGACCAACATGGAGAAACCCCGTCTCTACTAAAAATACAAAATTAGCTGGGCATGGTGGCCCATGCCTGTAGTCCCAGCTACTCGGGAGGCTGAAGCAGGAGAATCGCTTGAACCCGAGAGGCAGAGGTTGCGGTGAGCTGAGATCAAGCCATTGCACTCCAGCCTGGGTGACAGAGCGAGACTCCGTCTCAAAAAAAAAAAAAAATTTCACTTCAACAGAGAAACTAAGACTCAACCAATGTGAGCATTATAAATAAAGAGAATGTAAACGTTATGAAGTTGAAACAGTAAGTTGGAGTTTTCTGAAGAGAAAGCTTTTTCAGGGCCCATACCTCTCCTGCCTTTATAGATTTTCTTTTCCTCGAGCTACCAAAAGATGCCTTTGTCCTTGAGGTCTGGTTACAAGTCAAGGTATTTTACGATATCGATCTTTATCACTTTTTTTCTTGGAACAGAAGATAAACAGGTACAAATGTTTCATTTTTTTAAAGACGCTTTGTGTTCTCAGCTCTTTGATTTTCTTTATTTCTTCAGTCTTCTTTAAGAGCACCAACTGCACCCATGCTATTTCCCGTCGTCTCCACAGCTACCATCTTCTCTGAGGTCACTGCAGTCGCATTGCCATTTTTCGTGTCATCCTGTGTGACTTCCTCAGATCTGTTCCACGCGTCAAGGGCTGTTTCCCGTCAATTTATTCTACTTCTTTGGGCTTCTCTGTCAGCTAACATGTTTACATCTGGAAGGTTTTCCTCTTGCATTTATTTCCTGAGCCATCATAGCTCATTCTTCCCTCACTCCGCAAACTGCCCCTGAGCCCTTACACCCTTCAGTTCTTTTCCCTAGAAGGGCTTAACTGGACTCTTACTTTGGAGCGATTTTGTTGTTTCTTTGGATTTCTTCCTTCTTTGCCCTTTTCAGTTTTGATTTTTGTTTGTTTGTTTGTTTTTTGAGATGGAGTCTCAGTCTGTCACCAGGCTGGAGCGTAGTGGCACAATCTCGGCTCACTGCAACTTCCGCCTTCCGGGTTCAGGTGATTCTCCCACCTCTGCCTCTTGAGTAGCTGGGGCTACAGGTGTGTGCCACCACGTCCGGCTAATTATTTGTATTTTTAGTAGAGATGGGGTTTCACCATGTTAGCCAGGATGGTCTCGATCTCCTGACCTTGTGATCCACCTGCCTCAGCCTTCCAGAGTGCTGGGATTACAGGTGTGAGCCACTGCGCCCAGTCTTGAAACATTTTAAAGACAAAAAAAAGTACAAATAATTTTATAAAACAGTCATATTCCCACAACCAGAATTAACAAAATATTTTGCCACGTTGGTTTCTAGTCCTTTGGAAAGGACTCTGGCGAGGTAGAAGGATCCTTACAGCAACACAGTTGCAGCCTCTCCCACCCGGGGCGGCCAGTTTGAGGTATTTGGTTTGTATTTTTATATGACTGTTTTTTAAGTTTCACATACCCGTATATTTGCATTTATCCGTGACATAAATCTGTCTTTTGAGCATGTTACTGACGTGACGGGCACTGACCTGCATTGACGACTCTGCTCCTTCCTCTTCTCACAGTGCCGGTTAACCCAAAATCCATCTGGTCTGTTTCATTCTACTAGTTTTTGGCTGTTCACACCTAGGCTTCTATTTATCTAAAGTATCCTTTTGAGGGTGGAATGAGGCAGGAACCCTGTTCCCCAGATGAAAGCCCAGTCCCTGGGCTGTGTGCTGAGTGCCTTGTTCCCAAACTTAGGAAGCTGTCTCCATCGGGTCACAGACTCCCACGAGAGTCTGTCTCTGAGCTCTGCACTTTTCTGCCAACCTATTAACGCCACACTGTTTTCATTACCATACCTTTGTATATATTTGCTTTCTCTTCCAATTTGGCTTTTTTTTTCCAAAAAAAAGTTTTAACTGTTTTTTCTCCTCAAACCTTTTAAACGTTAAGTTATTTTTAAAAATGTTAAAAAACAAAAGTAGATGGGATAGGAGAGTGAGCTCCTATGTGTCTGTCCTCAGCATCAAAAAATCACCAAATCAGGCCCAATTTCATTGCCTCTGCTCCCCCACCAGCCTCTCCTCCTCCCCCAGACTCTTTTAAAACCAATTACAGGCACTACACCATGTCATCTGTGAGCATTTCTGAAGATATTTATTCACATATATTCTTCCATATGTGCTCTGGAATCAGTTTGTTAAAGTCCCCATATATTTTGATGAATCTTGATGGAATGTTCACTGAATGCTAAGATGTTGGAGAATTTACTGTTATCCAAATACTCCTGTCCGAAACACTGGTGCTTCTCCTCCTCAAATTCTTCCTTCGGGCCTTTCAATAACATGTTTGTAGTTCTCTCCAGGAAGGTCTTGCACATATTTTTGGATTTTGCTCAACTCTGACTGTCATAGATTTTACTGTGGCCATGAATGGCCCACATTTAGGGTTCTATTCCCCATCTGGTGACTGCCAGAGTAAATGCTAAGAACTCCCAGTACAGCTCTTGTTCTCTGCACTCTTGCCGAACTCTTGTATTGATGTCTGTAATTTATTCAAAGATTCTCTCGAATTCTATATGTATAGAATCATAGCATCTGCAAGAAAGTCAATCTTTTGCTGTACTTTTTTATTCTTATAGTTATTTGGGTTTTTTTTTTTGTTTGTTTGTTTGTTTGTAATTTTGAATTGTATTGCAATGGTTTGGGATTTCAATGTGTTGCTGAATAAGAGCAGTGATAATTGGCAGCATTTTCGTGTTCTTGATATTTATGGGCACTGTATGCTTTCCATCTGCCTAATGTCTTTTTCCTGCCTAAGTGTTTGATTTTTCCTGGTGTCTCTGCGTAGCCCTGTGTGGTTCCTGGCTGGTGCCGTTCCTCTGTTTCCTGGTGTCTCTGCGTAGCCCTGTGCGGTTCCTGGCTGGTGTCATTCCTCTGGGGAAGGAGGCAGCTCTGCTGAACCAGCTACATCCCTAGGCCCGGCAGGAGGCAGGGCGAGGGAGTGAGCTGTGGAAAGAACACATCGACCGGGGCTTGCTCCCCTGAACACCTTCAACACTCTTACCCTCCTCTTTCACTTCATTCTCCTCTTCTCAGCTTTCCTGGGTCACCAATGGGTGGAGGTGGCCTCTCGCTCCTGTCCACCTCATCACAGGCTGAAACCCTGATCATGAACAATGGAAACTGTTTATGGACTCAGGTGCATTCTCGCCTCCCGCATCTCCATTCCTCCTTCCCAGTGCCCCTCAGCTGCGGTGCCCATCTGCACCCAACACTGGGGCAGAACCTGGCTTTGGGGCAACAAGTACTCCACAGAGTAGGTCAATGGGGTGGGGCATTCAGGCAGAGTGACACACGGGTTTGCCCCAAACTTCACCTCTGGTAGGGGGTCTCCTGGGAATCCCACAAAGGTTGGGCCTGGCAGGGATCGGCGACAGGACTCTGCCCTGGCTGGGCCTGTTTCTGTCCATCTGCTCTTTCCCTTCCCTGCCCAGCTCGTTGCTGAGTCTGTGGACATGAGATGCGCCAGGGACAGAGAGCTTGGGCGTGGGGGGGCCTGTGACCCTGGGGTCTTAGGGAGCCTGCTTGGGTCACACCATATCTCCTCTCTGCCCTGCGCCTGGCACTGAGCTGCCTTTCAAGGCTGAAAATGTGGGCTCTGTTTTCCATCTGTCTGCATCATTTATGTTGAGACGCTCCCAGTCGTCTGATTTTCCGTGTTATCACCTCAGGACATTTAAACAATTAACGGTTTAGCAGCAGGAAGATAACTGCCACATACACAGTCAGTGTCCTGGTTAGAAAACAAGCAATCAGAGAAAATATGTTTTGAAAAGAATTAGTGGGCGGGCTGAGCTTCCTATCTTTCACCTGGTAGATTAATGATTGTATGTCAACACAGCGACAGGCTAACATTTTCAAATAGAAAGACATGTGATTAAATCTCTCTTTTGATGTGTTCTGCAAATTGCTTCTCTAAGCTCTGCTTCCAAAGGGCGGCTCTCCAATTAGAGTCAGATTATTATTACGGGTTAGCGATCACTCCTGCTCCCGTAGCTGACTCATTCTTTAACATGCTAATTAGCAAATACATCCAGTGCCTTGCATCATATTTGACCTTCAGCGTTCTTTTCTAACTGGAATCATTTCATGCCATTCCGATGAAATGGAGACATTGTTCT
This sequence comes from Homo sapiens, assembly GCF_000001405.40. Taxonomy (NCBI): domain Eukaryota; kingdom Metazoa; phylum Chordata; class Mammalia; order Primates; family Hominidae; genus Homo; species Homo sapiens. The sequence goes on from NC_000002.12 coordinate 242,070,142, forward strand.
GAGGTTTCTGACCCCTCCCTCCTAAGGGCCCCGTGATCTGCCACAAAGCCCGGGAAGATCAGCCACACACACACCCCTCTCCGGATCATTCTTTTCCAGAGGTCAATGACTTAATAAGTTCACTTTCGTTCAGCAAGTTTACCGTTGCTCCTCTTAAAGTGACAGCTTGTGTGTTCGTGACAATTTGGTATTGTTACTGAAGTGGACCTCACACTGGGGTCAAGAATTCCTAAATTGCTACCTAATGGTCACTGTGAAGAGAGGATGCTGTACCGACCACAGCTGCATCCCACGGGGTCTGGAGAGGACCAGAGGCCTGGGCCCCACCAGGTCACAGAGTTGGTCATGAGTTCCCCTTCTCCTTTCTCTCCTTACTTCATGTAGGTATATTCTTTCTAAAAAGATTAAGTGGCATCATATAAAATTGATATACCTGCTTCTCACTCTTTCAGCTGCCAGAGGCTCCAAGGCCCTTGGTCCTGGCTAGGCCCCTCCATGGTCACAGCAGTGATGGCCTCGTCCTTCCCACATGAGGACCCCAAGGGTAACCCTGGGTAACTCCCACCCAAGGGCCCTGCTTGGAGCCTGAGTCCACCTGCAGCTGGGTGTCCTTTCCCCCATGCCCAACACACTCAGTCTCTGGGGATCAGGGTTTGTGCATCTCTGGGTGGCTGCTCCACCAGCCCCAGCAGGGCGCCGTGGGCGCGTGGGTCCTGTGCCAGCATCTGCCTGGCTGTCACCATGGGCATCTGCCTGAAGGCAGCAGTTCCCCGCCTTCCTGCCTGCTGTGAATCTCGTTTCTGCTCCCTGGTTTCTGCCTGGCTGTCACCATGGGCATCTGCCTGAAGGCAGCAGTTCCCCGCCTTCCCGCCTGCTGTGAATCTCATTTCTGCTCCCTGGTTTCTGCCTGGCTCCCATGGAAGAGATCGTCGCATTCTCTGCTTCTCTCCACTGTCTGCCCTGCTCCTGTAAGCACGGCCATTTCTGTCAAGTGCCTCTCAACCTCAGAGTTCATGCAACACTTGAGGTGAACAAAAAGCCCAGGCCTCTCCATCTGGAGCAGGTTTGCAGATTCTCATAGCCCCCATAATTGTCGCTCCAGAGCGGGTTTACAGACTCTCATAGCCCCCATACTTGTCGCTCTCAGCAGCTATCTCAGAACCTGTTATTTATTAGCCAAGTGATGTGATTGGTCTCTCTTCTCATTAGATCACGACCCCTATGGGGACACGAACCTGTTTATTCCCACACTGAGGCTTCAACCCAGGGCCTACGCTTAGGAAATACTTGACATTTGTTGAGTTTGTGAACAGACGAACATGTCCCCCATTAAATGAAGCTGAGTGAAGTGGAGGCTTAGAGGAGATGGTGACAGCAGGAGATGCAGCCGTGGGAGCAGATTCTCCCTCTCAGTGACATCACCAGTGCAGCAGCTGACCGGCGGCTGACTGTGTGTGGGGGTCAATTGGGCAGCTTCGGTCTGTCCCTCTGTAGAGATGGCTTATGGTGCAGATGTGCAGCAAGCAGGCCTGGCTCTCCTGCAGGCCAGTCCTCACCCACCTGTGCCTCAGTTTCCTCTTTTGTAAAACAGGGACAAGGCAGTCCTCCTCTCGTAGCAATGTGGGGGTGGCTGAGGGAGCTGTGAGCATTTGTCCCTGGACTTAGGACAGAGTCTGGTGTGCCCTTTGAGACTGGGCCACCCTTTAAGCTCCAGCACTCCAGTGACTCCAGCAGCATCAACTGTGCTCCACTCACACGAAGATGCTCTAGACTGTAGACACACCATTGCGTTCATGGAACCGAGAGAGGAAAAACACTTCCAATTAAACTATGACAAGCCATGTAACTAAGATACATTCTGATTCCTGAAATGTGAGGCTGTGAACACCATGTGTGCCCCAGCATCTCTAAGACACCAGTGTCCCAAGGGAAGACACTGAGGACCATGATGGGGCAGTGCCCAGCGGGGCACGATGGCTGAGCGGGCTGCTGGGGGCCAGCTGCCAAGCCAGGTGGGCTAGAGCCCGACTCCCGTACCACCTCCCCGCCCAGGAGCTGGCGGAATGCGTCTTCACATTGTTTTTGCTGTGGCTCCTGACTCTGCCAGCATGAAACACATTTATCTCAAAATTTCTCGCGAACACATACTTGATATTATTGTTCTCAGAATATTTACTGGGAAAGGGCATAAGGACAAAAAGGCACTTTGTTTAGTAACATTTTACTGAATTTGTATTTAATTCATCACAAAAGCATCTAAGCACCTTGGTGGACCCAAAACCACACCTGGAGACATGTCAGTCTCAGACCACAGTTGCTTGAAGGGCCCTTATGACAACTCAACATATTCCCAGGGGTTCCAAGACCACAGCCTGGGATTCTGCACTCCAAAATGAGGTTTACAGCCCTTAGTCAGGTCTGCAAGTTCTTAGCTTCTAGAGCAGCCTCCAAGATGGGAGCTCATTTAGAACGGCCCCATACCCCCTTGAGCACCCCAACTCTGAGCCTCCCCAGCAGCCAGGTGTTGTCTTGGTGTGCAAAAACCCCTGATTGTTTTTAAGCTGGTGTCGACACGCTTCCCTGTCATTGACCCTCATTGTGCCAGTAAAGCTGTGCTACACAATTCAGTTCTGTGTTGTGGGATTTGCTAAGAACCCTGCTGCAAGGTGGGTTGTTGCCCCCGCGGCACCTTCTTCAGAAGCCTGGATTTCTATTAGTTCGTCTTCACGGGTGGAATGGCTGCATGCATTTCCCACCCGTGCACCCTGCCCATGGTAGATCAGAAGGAAGATTAGCAGGAAGGAGTTTGCAGCAATAGAAATGTTTTTTCCTAATCTCTAAGCCGGCTATACAGACTGTCCTAGCCTTATCTCAGAGCCAGTAATGAATTAATCAAAACGCAGAGAGCTGCTTCTGCAGGTGAAATGAGCACTGCTAAGAAGCTGCTGATAACATCCTTCAGGTGATCCTCTTTTTTAAAAAAACATATATTTTGTCTCTATTGGATTATTTTCCTTCTCTCAGGGACACTGCAGCGGTGTATGCCCAGATCAGCATGAGCATGCCCAGATGCTCCAGGGTCCAGCACAATGACCACACCCAGCCCCTCTGTTACCTGCAGTGAGCACCGGTGAAGGGGAATGAAGAAGGCCCTGCTGCAGGGTGGGCAGTGTGGAGGGAGGGACTTGAAGGGGCCGTGGGTCTGCTTTCTCGGGGAGGGACCATGGGTGCAGGCGACAGACACACCTGAGCTCCTGTGGAATCATCTTCCTGACTTCTTGGCTCCGGGCTCCAGGGTCCAGTCCAGTTCCCATCCACACGGAAGGAAAAGGATGAACAAACTGAAAATCAACAACTCTTCTTCACCCGTCGGAGAACTGAGTCACCAGGCAAAGCACGGCCCCCAAATCTGGAGACACAGACAAGTGGGTTCTGAGAACCTCAGCTGACAGGAGCAGAACCTCTGCGGGGCCAGTGCCAGGGACTTGAGCTGCCCCTCATGAATTTCTGGAGATGCCACCTGGACAAGTGAGAGAAAAACTCCAGGGGAACCCAGTCATGGGGGACCTGCGCTTGGTGAATTTTACCTCCGAGAGCTCGACCAGGTTCCCACATTAGAGAGGAAAAATCGGCCAGGCGCGGTGGCTCACGCCTGTAATCCCAGCTCACTTTGAGAGGCCGAGGCAGGCCAATTGCCTGAGCTCAGGAGTTTGAGTCTACCCTGGGCAACATGGTGAAACCTCATCTCTACTAAAATACAAAAAATTAGCCGGGCGTGGTGGCGCGCGCCTATAGTCCCAGCTACTCAGGAGGCTGAGGCAGGAGAATCGCTTGAACCCAAAGGCAGAGGTTGCAGTGAGCCAAGATCGCGCCACTGCACTCCAGCCTGGGTGACAGAGGGTGAACTTGTCTCAAAAAAAAAAAAAAAAAGGGAGGGAGGAAATATCCCCACTTACTTACAGCCAGGGGAAAAGGATTATTTTGAAATACACCCTGTTCTCATGAGGGCTGCTTTAGGGGGAATTATTTCACCAGAGTCTAACAGACCCAAATTTTTCATCAGTCTAACCTACTTGGGGAAAAGCAAACCCCAACTCCAGCCCCCTCTGGCCTTCCAGGCCCACCCAAGGGGGAAGGGGAGATACAAACTCAGCAGCACTCTGTGAGGTCATGGCACAGGGCACAGGCTCTGGAAACTCTGGTCCTAAATCACAGGGCCGTGCGCACACCTTCCAACCACCGCAGTTCCCTGTCTACAGGCCCCTCTACAATAACGGGTGTTTCCCAGGAAGAATGCTTGTTTCAGGCCTGACTCTAGGAGAACTGCCTTTCTGATGTTAAGGTGTCAGAGGGCTGGCTTCTAAACCCTGGGTTAAATCATTTAGTGGCACATTTAGCCATCAACCCGTGAGAGTTCAGAAAGGACGCACGTTCACATGCACAGAAACAGTAAACAGGCCGGCGCCATGGCTCACGCCTGTAATCCCAGCACTTTGGGAGGCCGGAGGTGGGCCGATTGCTTGAGCCTAGGAGTTCGAGACCTGCCTGGGCAACGTGGCGAGAGCCCTCCTACACAAAAACTACAAAAATTAGCTGGGCATGATGGTGCATCCCTGCAGTCCCAACTACTTGGGAGGCTGAGGCAGAAGAATCACTTGAGCCTGAGAGGTGAAGGCTGCAGTAAGCCGAGATTGCCCCGATCCACTCCAATGTGGGCCGCGGGAGTAAAACCCTGTCTCAAAAAAAAAAAAAAAAAAGAAAAGAAAAAGAAACAGTAAGCAAGCTTGCTTCTCTACTCCTCCTCAAGGAGAAGCAGCCATTGTCCCATAATATTCATAAACCTGCTGTTGAAGGTTCTCAGGGAGTCTTGCCTTGCACACCTGTGTAAGTGCAACGGCCTCTCCTGTGCCCTGGTGACGTCTCCCTGGCATTGTTTCTGCTCCAAGTGCCAACTTGGGGATCAGGCCTCACTGTTACCAGCCTGGTGTCTGCACCACCCCTTGTGGTTTTCTTAAACCCTCCTCACAATTTTGTACACTGTCCTTTTATTAAACACTCCTTAAATGATCCCAACTTGAATGTTCTTTGTTTCTTCTCTAGTGGGACTCTGACTGACACCCCTGAGAAGGGACAGGAGGATCAACAATGTAACATAGACCTCTTTCCATTCCCTTTGGCAGATACACATGTCACGTGGTTGCTGTTCTCTGTCTTAATTTGGGTGGTGTAACTACTTGCAACTTCACTGATCTCTCCCTCACCTCCTCCTGGGAGAAGGCCAGAGGAATGTTGAGGCCACAGCAAACCACAATGAGGACCCAAGCGTCTGCAGGACCACAGGGAATTCTGGGCACAGCTCTGCCAAGAATCCTTCCTACCCCCTATTTTCTCAACCAAAATGCTGTCTAATATATTTTCATCACTTCCCTGTACCCACTATGAAAAGTGCTCTTGGAAACTGACATTGGGTCAAGCATACAGAAATAGTTAATATTTAGTTTTACCTCAGAAATTGTGGTCGTTCTGTTATTTATAGCATCTGCAGGAAATGCTTATTTGCTCTTGGAATCCAACATTCTTAATAGGACATCAAGCAATGTTTTCCAGGCACACAGGGTTTATATGGTAGAGCCAGGAGCATTTCATTTGTCCTTCTTACCGGCACCCACCTGGGTCACACAGTACCTGGCCATTCAGCACAGGAGGAGCAAAGGGTGAATTGAATATTGGCATCCAGCTGGGCCACGCCTGGAGGTTGGCAGACATCCGAGTATGTTACGCTTTCCTCCTCCTGTGCTGTATTCATTCCACAAATGTTTATGGCATATTGACCACACCCAGACCCTCTGTTACGTCCCCTGTGGGAGGTCAAATACATGAAAATGACTTGGTGCTGTCTTCAGAGGCTGCAGTTCAGCCCAGCCACGTGAGGCCACCATCAAGACCGCCTTTCACCCAGAGCCCCTTAGGACTAGTGTGGAGATTTGGGGAGCCTGAGTCTGCCCAGATTCTCTGATTTGAATAGAGCAATAACACTTTATTTGCTTTACATGTTAACTGAAAGCCCAGTCAGTCACTGGAACAAAGAGTTTGAGCATTTCAAAGTCAGGTAGGAATGCACTGATCTGTAGCAGGGTTCCAAGCCTGTCTACCCAGGATCAGCTGGAAAGATGTTTGATAATGGAGGGCACAGGTTTTACCACCATTAAAATGAACGACACCTGGTGGAGGTACATTCCAGAGCTTTAGCAAGCTCTGCAGGTGAGCCTGGGTGCACAGCCTGGCAGACTTGGGAGCCGTGTGTCTAGACCCAGGGTGAAGGCGGTGCTGTGCATTAGGGCAACAAGCTGCTTGTTTATGCCCAGACCCCACCCCAGAAAATCTGTGTAGGCACGACAGGGCTTGAGCATCCATATTTGAATAAATAGTACAATACTGCAGGTGACTCTAGTGCAAGCAGCTGGGGACCACAGGTGGAGAAGCATGGTGCAGAGGACCCTGAAATACAGGAACACAGCGCCAGCACATCTGCCGTGCTGGAGTTCTGCAAATGATGGCTTCAGCTCCACAGATGGTGGTTTCCCTTATAACAATTTGAGGCTTAAAAATAGGGCTTCACTTAAAAAGAACAGTGGATATTTCTGAGTGGTGGAATGATGAGTGGTTTCTAAATGTGTCTTCCTTATGTTTGTCTGAACTTTCTGGGTTTTTTTCTATCTTTATCCATTTATTGATGCAATAAATCTTAAGCATATAGTATATGCCACCTACTATATTGTTTCAGCAAAATGATATTAATTAATAATGTAATAATATACTAATTAATATAGGAGTGCAACTAAGAAATCTGTCTGCTTTCTAAGCAATAATTTTAGAGAGGCATTTTTATCCTCCATAGTTTGGTTCTTGGCCTCCTCATTCATAGAAATCACATTATATACACTTCCCAGGGGCTTGTCAAAGCCTATTTAATCAATAGCAAGCTGACATATTTTATTTGCTCCCTTCGAGTTGACCCATCTATTTTATAAATGTGCGGGGTGAGGCTTCCTCTTCTTCAGGTTCCTTTCCTGTATCTTTTTATTTTCTGCAACCTCTTATATTGTTCATAACCACATTTCTCCTATTAGTCATCTTCCCTGCTTTGAATCTCTAGTTAATATAGGAAAAGCTTCATACAAAGTACTGACAATGGTAGCAAATCAGTATCTTAATGTTCTACAGCTGTATTAAACAAGCAAGGAGACTGTCAAACTTTAGTAAGTAAAACAGCAACAGAATCTGCACATCTCCATTTACCAACCTTCTTCATGCATTCTTTCAGTTACACCGTGTAATGAACAGACTCTTCTGGCCTAGAACAATAACATCCACAGATAAGACTGCTTATGAGAAATGTGTTCTGTAATTTGTCCATTCATTCATTTATTCACCAAGTATTTGTTTAGTGTCTGCTATGTGCCTGGAACTTGGACGCAGCAGTGACAAAAGAGACAAAAATTTCTGCCCTGGTGAAGCTTATGTCCTGCGGGTAGAGACAGAGAGAATAAATAGGTAGAAGACACAGTATGTTAAAAGGTGGAGAAATAAGCCCATGTGAGGGGTCCCTGAGTCTGCGGAGTGGCAGCTCTAACTGAAATAGTAAGGGTAGAGCTAATAAGAAGTGGCTTTTGAGCAAAGCCTTGACAAGGTGAGGAACCACTCACACTGTAAAAGACACCTGCAGGTCAAGGTGTCCTCAGGTTGAGAAGTGCCTCATCTCATGCCAACTTTTCAACTTAAAAGATACAGTTTTTGTATGATACTGCACAGATACTGTCTTACTGGGCAATTTTCCTTCCATCTCAGGATAATAAAAGGTAAAACCGGAGGGCACTTCACACATCATAGCCAGAATCACAGTAAATCTGTGTTTCCTTCTTATAAGTGCTCTTTTAAAGTCTGATAGCTCAACAAGTATTGTAGACTGTACAGTTGTCCTTCAGTGGAAGGAGAAACATCTACACAAAGTATGTCATTTATTTTCTTCTCAGGCTCTTTCTTTAAAATACCTGCCATTTGTCATGGACCTCTAAGGCTGTCTGGCTCATAATGTTAGCAGAATCTTTTCTATTAGTGTAATTTGCTCCCAGTAGGGCAAAAAAATCTCGAAATAATAATATTCTTATGTTTCTTTCCTCTACTTCCTTCTGCATGACTTTGCACTCACTAGTTGACTACAGCATCCACATTGCCTTGAAAAGAAGTAGGATTTTTTTTTTAGCTGAAATGAAAAGTGGAAGAAAGAGTAAATTTTCCTTTTTTTTCTTCCCAAACAGGAACAGTACAACATGAGGAAGCAGAATCAATGCACAGAAATTAAGCTAATGTCTTCAGTCTTTGCAACACCACTTGAGCAGCTTGACCAAGTCACTCATGCCTAGTGGCCCCGTTAGTTGCTCTTCTCCCATCAATGAGCTTTGGAATTTTCGTCAGTAGCTGCCTATGCATTACTCATGGATCAGAGAGCAGAAAGAAACCAGACATTGCCAAGTCCCACCTAGGTAGCTACACAGGGAGCCCTGTATTGACCATGGCCCAGAACATGTGCAAGCGCCTTCCCATATGAGAGGGAGGGGCATTGGATTAAGAACCTGGTGACTCAGAAGGAAATATCCCCACCAGTGCTTTGGTGGGACTAGAAAATGGAGCCCACTCCTGACACCAGGAAGTGCTCATCTGGAGTTTAATTGAAGACAAAAACCCCAATGTTGGTGCCCAAATGTCTCTGCCTTTTGAAATTGTTGTGTAAATTCACTGATAATTCTCTTAGATTCACGTGGAGACATTAGTATTTTAACTGTTATTCATCCCTTTAAGGTCATCTTTAGAAGACCCTACATTGTGTTCTAATTGCTCAGCAGGGCTCCCTCCTAGAAGTTTAGACAACAAACTTATGCACATGTGGACTGCACCATCAGTGCCCTGGTTATGTTGGAGTAAAAGTGTAGAGAATTTTTAGGAAAACAGGCAGAAGTGTAGGTATTTTTGCTATTCTTTGCTTCACCTATCCACGGAGGTGGATAAAGACACCTGGGAAGGGGAAAATGTGGGCTAGCAAATAGAGAAGAGGCTGCTACTAGGCTGGGAAGTGCCTCCCTCATTTACGACTAGCCAGAGACACTGAACTTGGCTGTCCAGGCAAGCTTGGGTTCTGGGATATACCGAAATAAACCTTGGCCTTTATACAGACTTATTCCTCAAGCCAAGTTGTTTCACCAACTTGGTTCTGAAGATCCAGACCCCAGTTGGCATGAATCCATCCCCCTTAGACCCCAGCTGGCATGAATCCATCCCCCTTTCCATCTTGCCATCTTCAGCCCTCCCGGTGGAGCGGAGGTTCTCACCTAAATAGAGAAGCTAAATTTCTACCTTCTGATTTTACCTTTTCCATGTGTGCATCAGGCACTTTCTCCAAAAGATAAGAATCATTTGTGTTGACATCTTCACTTATTCAGTTCCACCTTCTCTTCTAACTTAGTAAGGATTTCTGCTAGTTAAATTGGCTTTAATTTCTTTTGCTCCCAGAAGTTATTGGAAGAATGCCCATTAACCATTTCATCATATTATTTCTATAACCCAAATTAATTTTCCAGAACATGCAGCATATCACCATAATGAGTTGCTATGACCAGTTGCATTAGAAAATATTGCCTTTCTATTTTTTTCTGTATTTTTAAATTCAATCAAAAAGGAATAAACTTCTGCTGACGAAGCTGCTTGGAAAAACCCATGCTGTTTAACGTGCACTTTCACTACCTTCAGTTTACCGGCTTCTTTGCTGAAACCCTGGGACCAACCATCTGTGGCCGGTCGTCATCATTTGTACAACCAGTGGCCCTAACTGGAAACTTGGAAAATTCCCACTCCTGGACAATCTGGCACATGGAAACATTCTTCTCAAGATGTGCTAGAATTAAGACTCATTAACGAACAGAAAGCACCAACAGCTCTCATAGTTTACAATAGGCACAGGCCCAGTGGGGTGCTGGAGGTGGCTGGAATCGGCTTGGGGGAGTGGACCAAGTGCACCCCTTCCCGCCTCCTCATTCAGTGTTGTCTCATGGGCAGTGTGAAATTAGCCATGGTTGGAGTCTATACATAACAGAAATTAGCAAATGCTACAAGTAAGGGCTTCCTCACACTCCTGCCCCTCTTCGGAAGAGCTGGGTTTTCAGCTCACCCCGGACATAATGCACTTGGCTACCTGGGCCATGGCCAGGGTATGAATGTTTGGTTCCCCCACAAGATTCCTGTGCTGAAATCCTAATCCCCGTGTGACGGTGTTAGGAGGCAGGGTCTTTGGGAGGTGATGAGGTCACGGAGGGGAGCTCTTGTAAATGGGATTAGTGCCCTTAGAAGGAGACCCCAGAGAGCTGCCTCTCCCCTCCAGTCACGGTGGACAGGAGATCAGGGTGAGTGAAGTCAGAGGCTGTCTGAGGGCCAGCCCTGCCAGTGCTAAGAGGTCCTGCTGCCTGGACACCCAGCCACTAGTGGCCTCATATTTGGTGGACATAGGGAGAAGGCTGTAGGAATTCCAGGCTCAAATGACAACAGAGACAGACACCACCTGTTGTATGAACAAATTGCAGCCAGGAGTTTGGTCCGGGTCTGAGTTCTGCCATCCCTGCTTGGGCTGTGTGTGTCTCATTGCTTGGATCTCGTGTAAGGCAACAGAGAAACAAAAAAGCCATGTCACCATAGAAATAATCATTAACACAATGAGCAAACACTGATACCACATCTGACTGACTTTGCGGCCTTGGCCCACTCCCGGGGTTTCAGCAAAAGTCGTGCCCTTTGGATTGCACATTTCCAGCTAGATGTGCAGCCCGTGTGTTGCACCTCTCTTTCCATTCCTTCTCCACAGTTAGAGGTGGACACTCAAGGCTCCAAAAAGTATAAGACTTTCATCTCAGCCTTCAGAGGGCTTTCAGTCTCCATGGGGAACTGAGTTTTTTTTTTGTTTGTTTGTTTCATTTTGTTTTGTTTTAAGTAGAGAGCAGGGCTGGGCTAAGATTTAAATAACTGAAACAAGTCATAAGGTGCTGATTTCCTGGAAGACAACCTAGGCAATACCATCCTGGACACTGGAAAGGGCAAATATTTCATGACGAACACACCAAAAGCAATAGCAACAAAAGCAAAAATTGACATATGGGATCCGACTAAAGTTAAGAGCTTCTGCACAGCAAAAGAAACTATCAGCAGAGAAAACAGATCATCTATGGAATGGGAGAAAATATTTGCAAACTATGTATCTGACAAAGGTCTAATATCCAGCATCCATAGGGAACTAAATTTACAAGAAAAAAAACAAACAACCCCATTAAAAAGTGAGCAAAGGACATGAACATACGCTTTTCAAAAGAAGACATACATGTGGCTAACAAGCACATTTTAAAAAGTTCAATATCACTGATCATTAGAGAAATGCAAATTGAAACCATCATGAGATACCATCTCACACCAGTCGGAGTAGCTATTACTAAAAAGTCAAATAATAACAGATGCTGGCAAGGTTGCAGAGAAAAGGGAACACTTATACGCTGATGATAGGAGCGTAAATTAGTTCAACCATTGTGGAAAGCAGTATCGTGATTCCTCAAAGAGCTAAAAGAATTACCATTCCACTCAGCAATCCCATTACTGGGTACATACACAGAGGAATAGAAATTGTTCTACAGTAAAGATGCATGCACGTGTTTTTTCATTGCAATCCGCAGCTCACTTCACCCTCCACCTCATGGGCTCAAGCAACCCTCCCACCTCAGCCTCCTGAGTAGCTGGGACTATAAGCCCACACTACTCTGTTCATAATAGCAAAGGCAAGGAATCAATCTATTGCCCAAAAATGATAGACTGGATAAAAAAAAAATAAGTGGTACGTATACACCATGGAATACTATGCAGCCATAAAAAAGAATGAGATCCTGTTTTCTGCAGGAACATAGATGGGACTGGAGGCCATTATCCTCATATCCTAAATTATGAGAACACATGGACACACAGAGGGGAACAACACATACTGGGGCCTACTTGAGGCTGGAGGGTGGGAGGAGGGAGAGGATCAGAAAGACTATCTATTGCGTACTAGGCTAATACCTGGGTGATGAAATAATCTGTACAACAAACCCCCCAGACATGAGTTTACCTACATAGCAAACCTGTACATGTAGGGTGATGAAATAATCTGTACAACAAACCCCCCAGACATGAGTTTACCTGTATAGCAAACCTGTACATGTAGGGTGATGAAATAATCTGTACAACAAACCCCCCAGACATGAGTTTACCTGTATAGCAAACCTGTACATGTAGGGTGATGAAATAATCTGTACAACAAACCCCCAGACATGAGTTTACCTACATAGCAAACCTGTACATGTAGGGTGATGAAATAATCTGTACAACAAACCCCCAGACATGAGTTTACCTGTATAGCAAACCTGTACATGTAGGGTGATGAAATAATCTGTACAACAAACCCCCCAGACATGAGTTTACCTACATAGCAAACCTGTACATGTAGGGTGATGAAATAATCTGTCCAACAAACCCCCAGACATGAGTTTACCTGTATAGCAAACCTGTACATGTAGGGTGATGAAATAATCTGTACAACAAACCCCCCAGACATGAGTTTACCTACACAGCAAACCTGTACATGTAGGGTGATGAAATAATCTGTACAACAAACCCCCCAGACATGAGTTTACCTGTATAGCAAACCTGTACATGTAGGGTGATGAAATAATCTGTACAACAAACCCCCAGACATGAGTTTACCTGTATAGCAAACCTGTACATGTAGGGTGATGAAATAATCTGTACAACAAACCCCCAGACATGAGTTTACCTGCATAGCAAACCTGTACATGTAGGGTGATGAAATAATCTGTCCAACAAACCCCCAGACATGAGTTTACCTGTATAGCAAACCTGTACATGTAGGGTGATGAAATAATCTGTACAACAAACCCCCCAGACATGAGTTTACCTACATAGCAAACCTGTACATGTAGGGTGATGAAATAATCTGTACAACAAACCCCCCAGACATGAGTTTACCTGTATAGCAAACCTGTACATGTAGGGTGATGAAATAATCTGTACAACAAACCCCCAGACATGAGTTTACCTGTATAGCAAACCTGTACATGTAGGGTGATGAAATAATCTGTACAACAAACCCCCCAGACATGAGTTTACCTGTATAGCAAACCTGTACATGTAGGGTGATGAAATAATCTGTACAACAAACCCCCAGACATGAGTTTACCTGTATAGCAAACCTGTACATGTAGGGTGATGAAATAATCTGTACAACAAACCCCCCAGACATGAGTTTACTTGTATAGCAAACCTGTACATGTAGGGTGATGAAATAATCTGTACAACAAACCCCCCAGACATGAGTTTACTTGTATAGCAAACCTGTACATGTAGGGTGATGAAATAATCTGTACAACAAACCCCCCAGACATGAGTTTACTTGTATAGCAAACCTGTACATGTAGGGTGATGAAATAATCTGTACAACAAACCCCCCAGACATGAGTTTACCTACATAGCAAACCTGTACATGTAGGGTGATGAAATAATCTGTACAACAAACCCCCAGACATGAGTTTACCTGTATAGCAAACCTGTACATGTAGCCCTGAGCCTAAAATAATAGATTATTTTAAAAAGATACTGGATTTATGAAGTCCCCAGGAGGTCAGGAGGAAGAGAGAACGCTTGAGACAAGCATGGTCAGTGAGGAGCTTGCAGGGATGGCAGAGGGGCAGGGAGCAGCAGAGTTTGAGTAGAGGAACCAGAAGCCCAGCCCTGGACCCATCTCTGCCTTCCTGTGTGTGCGCCTAACTCAGCTTTCAGGTGAGAGCTGGGGCTCAGGAGGTTATGTACTCACTTGCAGTTGCACGTCTAGGAATCCAGATGATGGTCCCATGTCTGCTGTGCCCCCGCCCTACTCTATTGCTAGGACAGCCAACCTCTACTCAGGGGCTGCAGCCGGTCAGCTGGCATCTACCAGGCTCAGCTGAGAGGGGTTCAGAGCCTAGAGGAGCTGTGGCATGCCAGGTCTAGGCTGCCTGTTGGCTGCTGTCAGGATGAATGCTGTTGTAGATAGATTCTTTTTGGCAACCAGAGACTTTCAGACGTCAATGGCCATGCAGTCTCCATGTTGCCCTTCCCATCCTGACACCACACACTCCTTATGCTGCAGCCACCATGGATGCCTGAGTGAACAGCCCTCAAATTCTATTCTAACTCCTTATTTAAAAGATAAGGAGACCCAAGACTGAGGAATTTGACATAAATAAGGAAACCGGCTTGCCTGAGCTGACTACTGCCTTTGGTCTCACGATAGCTGCCTGGTGGCCTCTGACTTTCACAGCTAGTACAACCTTCCAGCACCTTCCAGGATTGGTTTCTGAAAGAGGGGATTGTTTTTGCTCCCAGTCCCCCTAAACATTCTGTAGGTAATTACAGCACTCATGGCCCCATTTTCTCACTGTGTATTTGCCACCTTGGGTCTGTTCAGATGGCAAGCTCCCGAAAACCAGGCACCTCCTCCTTGTACCCATGGCACCATCGTGGTGCCTGGCTGCTGTCAGCACAGAGCATTAGCTCTGAGACACCTCCTCCTTGTACCCATGACACCGTCGTGGTGCCTGGCTGCTGTCAGCACAGAGCATTAGCTCTGAGACACCTCCTCCTTGTACCCATGACACCGTCGTGGTGCCTGGCTGCTGTCAGCACAGAGCATTAGCTCTGAGACACCTCCTCCTTGTACCCATGGCACCGTCGTGGTGCCTGGCTGCTGTCAGCACAGAGCATTAGCTCTGAGACACCTCCTCCTTGTACCCATGACACCGTCGTGGTGCCTGGCTGCTGTCAGCACAGAGCATTAGCTCTGAGACACCTCCTCCTTGTACCCATGACACCGTCGTGGTGCCTGGCTGCTGTCAGCACAGAGCATTAGCTCTGAGACACCTCCTCCTTGTACCCATGGCACCGTCATGGTGCCTGGCTGCTGTCAGCACAGAGCATTAGCTCTGAGACACCTCCTCCTTGTACCCATGACACCGTCGTGGTGCCTGGCTGCTGTCAGCACAGAGCATTAGCTCTGAGACACCTCCTCCTTGTACCCATGGCACCGTCGTGGTGCCTGGCTGCTGTCAGCACAGAGCATTAGCTCTGAGACACCTCCTCCTTGTACCCATGACACCGTCGTGGTGCCTGGCTGCTGCATTAGCTCTGAGACACTGCTGTGTTTCCCTCCTAGTTCTGCATCAGGTGGTACTGTTTTGTTTTGGTGGCTTGGTTCATTTTTTCTTATTGCAGTATTATCACTGCATAGAAAGCAGAAGTGGTCTTCCCATATTGTGTAAAATCCCCATTAAACATACACCACATGCTTCAGAGCGGCAGGAACAGGAAGAAGGATGGGATTCCCCGTGCCCGAAGGTATACCAAGTCTACATTGTCCTGAGAGTTAGGGACTACAAACACTTGTCCGTGCAGCATTTGGGAAGGTCAGAGGAGACGACTGTGTGGTGTGCATTGGAGAAGCGTGGGGCCCCTGTGCTCACCACCACCCTAAGCCCCTGTGAGGCAGGGGGCACCTGGTGCACTGTGACCAGCACTCTCCCAGCTTCCTGCCAGGAGGAGCCAGCTCCTTAGGTTCTGTAGGGTTTGACTTAAAGAAAATTTTAAAACGTGATTTTTCAATAAGTTGGTTGCCAAAAAATCTCTGTGGTTAAGGAGGCACCTCCCTCCTGGTCACTACTTCCCCCTGCCGAGCCTTCTGCCTGGGCAACTGCACCACAATCTCCAGCTGCACCATGTGTTTTGAAAAGCGTTTCTCCCCGCCCCTCTGGGGTTTTTCTCCTCCTCCAGTGGCGAAATTTCAGAGGGCACTGAGTGGGTTACTCTTCACAAGCACAGAGCTAAGCCCAGTCCTGGTAGAAAGCACACACAAAGAAGACCCAAGACCATGAATATGCTGACCTAAGTTGGACAGAACTGCTTCATGGCTTCCTGCTGTTACTCCATGGGTTTCTGATCCTGTTCTGTAGGTTTCTGCTGTTACTCTGAGTTCCTGCTATTACTCTGTGGGTTCCTGCTGTTACTCTGTAGGCTCTGCTATTACACTATGGGTTCTGATGTTACTCTGTGAATTCCTGCTGTTACTCTGTGGGCTCTGATGTTACACTGTGGGTCCTGTTTTTACTCTGTGGGTTCTGATATTACTCTGTGGACTCTGATGTTACTCTGTGGGTTCCTGCTATTTCTCTGTGTGTCCTGCTGTTACTCTCTGGGCTCTTGTGTTACTCTGTGGGTTCCGACATTACTCTGTGGGCTCTGCTGTTACTCTGTGGGTTCTGACGTTACTTTGTGGGCTCTGCTGTTACTCTGTGGGCTCTGATGTTACACTGTGGGTTCTGCTGTTACTCTGTGAATTCCTGCTGTTACTCTGTGGATCTCTCTGTGGTTACTCTCTGAATTCCTGCTCTTATTCTGTGGACTTCTTTTGTTGCTTTGTGAGTTTCTGCAGTTAGTTTACCTCTTTACCATCCAGCCAGGAATTCTTTCACTAGGAATTGTGTGGATGCTGGCCAATTGGGCTAAATTTAATATTACTATGTCCCCTATTGTGGTGGTGGGGTCTTGGCTTGGCAATTTCTACTAGTATTCCATATGCAGTTAATCTTGACACATCAGTGAAAGAAAAATAAAATCTCAGGCCTCCAAACTTACTATGCCAAAGGGAAAAGTTAATATTGGCAACACACACACACACACGCACACACACACACACACACACATACATGCCTTCTTTTTGTTCCCAAAAGCTTACTTTATCTTATGTGAAATGTAGATCTACTGAGTATGAGACAGATGTATAACCCTCCCCCATACCTTTCTTTTCACATGTGAAATGTAGATTTGCTGTACTCTAATCAGAGCCTCACAAAAATGTGACCACTTGCCTCATAGCCTACTCTCCCCTCTTTCCCCTCCTACCGGCGCTTTTCCCTTAAATATTTGGAAAAAAGTACAGGCCAAAAATCCTACTGTAACCTGTGTTTCTTTTTCCCCAGGCAAATCCACAATTTTGGCAAAATAAACCTCTATATCAGTTGTGATCTGCCTCAGACACTTTTTGGTTTACACAACAATCCAATCATAGCGATTTATTTGGAAATATACCTTCACAAGTTAAATCAAACCACAGCACTACTGGGCATTATTTGTAATGGCAAACTATTGCAAACAATCTAAAGCCCATCATAGACATCATAGAAACTATTCTAATAAATTGATACATTTATATAATGGAATAATCCGCAACCTTGAAGGGAATGAAGGAAGGAATAAAGAGAGAGGGTAAGGAAGAAAAGAAAGGAGAGAGGGAAGGAGGGACAGACAGGTGTTTAAATTGGGGATGTGCAAGCAATATTGCCTGCTTCATTGCCTTCACATTATCTAAAAGCATGTGGTCAAGAAACACTATTACAATAAGCACATCAGAAATAACTTCTAAAATTACTTTTCCAAAATATGAATCCATACTATACACTTCCTGTAATGTGCACCAAATGTAGATGCACACATTTTAACAAGGAAAAGACTAATACTCATATTTGCTTGCTACACACCAGACACTGTTTTAAATGTTTTGCACACGTTAACTCATCTGTTCTTACAGAAATCCTGTAGCGTGCACCGCCACCTCCATGTTTCTAGGAGGAAACTGAGGCACGGGGGCTGCGGCTCCTGGACGCACCTGGCCTTCTCGGCCTGCCTCTCTCCCTCCAGCCGCCCCACATTCTTTTTTCCTAATTGGAAAAAACTATTCACGCTGCTCCTCCAGGGCATTTCAACCTTCTAGAAAGACTCGACAAGATTCGAAACTGTTTATAAAGAGAACGTGCTTGTGCCTGAATGCTGAGTGTGAGCGCGCAGTGATGCCCTAGAGTGCAGTCATCCCGGGCTTGGCGCCCAGCGGGTGGAAATACGGCCGCAGGGTGGAAATGCGGCGGCGGGGCTGCCCAGGCTCCTGTGGGACCCGCGCGGCGCGGGCACGCACATTCTCAGGGACGCGCGTCCTCAGGCCACGAGAACACCTGAAGGCCCCGGCCAGCGTCCTCCAGTGAAGACCCGGACCGGCGTCGTCACCCGCCGCGCAGGCCTAAATCTCAGGTCTTCACCGTCATCTCCCAGCGATCGCAGGGATCTCAGGCACTGACCGCGCCCGTCCCTGCGCCCCCCCGCCCCCGCCCCCCCGCGCCCCCGCGCCCCCGCGCCCCCGCGCCCCCACACCTCCACGCCCGGCACTCTGGGCGCGCGCGGACGGCGGGGCAGTGCCTACTACGCAGGCGCACGCTGCGGGCGTCAGGACCCGGCAGCAACACTGCCACGCGAATCCGCGCCGGCCAATCAGCATGGCCAGGGGCGGGGCTTCCCTGAGGCGCGCCGAGAGGCGGTGGCCCACTTCCGGCAATAATCGCCTGGTCGCCGTCAGGTGCCGGCCCAGGTGGCAGGCGCGCCCGTTGGGCACTGGGGGACGCGGGCGCGTCAGGTGAAGACTGGGGGCTGCAGGCGCGCTAGGTAGGTACGGGGTGCCGCGGGCGCGTCAGGTGAAGACTGGGCGCCGCAGGCGCCTTAGGTGAAGATTGGGGATCGCGGGCGCGTCAGGTGGGGACGATGGGCCACGGGCGAGTCAGGTGAAGACCGGGGGCGGCGGGCGCGTCAGGGGAAGACATGGGGTCGCGGGCGCGTCAGGTGGGGACCGGGGGTCTCGGGCGCGTCAGGTGGGGACGGGGTTGTCGCGGGCGCGTCAGGTGGGGACGGGGTTGTCGCGGGCGCGTCAGATGGGGACGGGATTGCCGCGTGCGCGTCTGCTGAGGTCTGGGTCCGCGGGCGCGTCAGGAAGGGACGATGGGCCGCGGGCGCGTCAGGTGGGGTCTGGGGGCGGCCGGCGGGTGTGGAGGGTTCATTCAGGGAGCTGCGGGCGAGTCAGGTGGGCACGGGGACCGCCCACAGGTGCATCGCGTGTCCTCAGCCGCTTCCCCTGCCCACCTTCTGCGACCCCTTCCCGCCCCCACCCTCCTGGGCCGTCTTGCAGGCCCGAGCTTGTGTCCGCCTCGCTGGGCAAGGTGTTTCGGGGACGACTCCTGCCGGCGTTTGCCCTCCGGGCTCGGCCCTTGCCTCTTCGCCGGTGGGCACCTGCTAGGTGTGACCCCTCATTCCTCCAGGCCACTCTGCCCCGTCTGCTGCTTACCTTTTTTTCCCTACTCCTGGTCTGTGGCTCTGGCTCTGTCTCTGTCTCCTCCCTTAATTTCTTTCCATGCTTATTTTTCTTGCAGCAGACACTAATTTTGCATCCTTCCCCTCACAGTAAGCTCAATTTGACCTTTTTCTCAATTAGATTCCACCTCTGTCCTTGGGTCTATTCAAACTCATTTTGAAGACTAAAGAATCTAGAGAACCATTTCTTCCCTTATGAAGCTGTCTCTTGCTGCCTCCAAATCCTTACCATCCGGCCCTAATCAAAAAAGACGTTTACTCTTTCATATTCTGTTTTCTCCTCGTCTTTACATGTTTACCTTTCCCATGAGGAATCTGTGATTATCTGTAAGTCCTTACAGTAAATCTTATTTCTGACTCTCAGCCCTCAGTGTGCCATTTTTTTAAATGTCCTTTCTGGATCAAATTTGTCCACACTTTTAAGCAAAACAAATAGGGAAACACATGTGGTCTTTTAAAATGGATTAGAGTTTTCTTTCCTGTCTTGTTTTCCTTGTTTTAGTGCCTTTATATTTAGATTCATCATTACTTGAAATCATATTAGTGATCTGTAATAGACGGTAAAAAAAAAAGTTAAAAGGCTTATAATTTAATGGCATCTGTTTTAATAGGGTTTTCAGGAACTGCTATTATAAACATAGTGGGTAGGAGCATGGATCCCGGAGTGAGACTCCATCATTTTGAATCCCAGCTCCACTGAACTCTTTGCCTCAGTGTCTTCATCTATAAAATAGATAATGAAACTTGTAAAACAAGAATAATGTTTTCTATCTTGGAGGACAGCATGAGGATTAAATGAGACAACATATGTAGATTGTTTAGAGTAATGCATAGCCTATAGTAAGCTCTAATAAATGTTTGCCATTATTATTGTAAAGAAAAAATATGCTTGTTGAAGGAAAGACTTTTTTTTTGTTCTGAGTCTCTCATGCCAAGAGTTTCCACCAGCAAATGAACTTCATGAAGTCATTTTCTACTGAAGTACCCCACCCACATGTCCTACCACATGAAATAGAAATTAAGGGAAGATTTAAAATAGTTAATCATTGTAGGCTGTCTGAAATAAGTTGGCATAAAATGTGCTTAAAATTTGCAAATTATACAAGCTACACCCTTTGAGTGCTTGCTCTTAAAAGTTTAATAATTTTCAGGAGTAATTTCTAGTTTTTTTTTGTATTTGCAAATCCCAAAATAAAGGTAATTTTAATTAAAATAAGCGTACAAAGCTCTAGCAATTCACATTTTTTTAGCTGAACAAATACATTCCCATTAAAAGCCGTGGGTTGTCATCATTCTATAAAACTTTAGTAGCATTGTTTTCTGATTTACAAACTCAGAAGCCTCAGTTTGGGAGTATTTTTGAAAACTTGAGATCCAGACCCCAGACCTTTTAAATTGCAACTTGTCTTTTTTTGTTGTTGTTGTTGTTTTTAATCTGCATCCAGAGTTTGTGCTTTAGTTCATGAGCTGTATAGATTATGCTTTAAGAAAAACTTCATTGTGATCCAAAGAGCATACCATAACAAATCTGTGAAGCACACACATCTTCAGAGAAACAAATCTTTTCCTCTGTGTTGAAAATAAGCCTTTGGGCATGGACTATTTTTTTATTTCCATGGCTGCATTTCACTCCTTTCAACCCTTAAAAAAATCAAACTTAGCAGCTGAGAAATTCAGACCAAACTATTCATTTCTCACTGAGTTGCCAAAATGAATTAACTGTAGAGTTTAGGTAGTTGTAAAAGAATTGGTTATATTAATGGAAACAGTAGGCAGGCTCTTTATGTAAATGTTATAAAGATTGTTTGTGAAACTAGAAGATAAGTGTATTAAATGATGAGTGGGCATAGTGTCTAAATAGGTAAGTACAATATTTGTGTGTCATCACGTTTTAAAATATTTTGTCAGCTGAGGATACCGGGATGTACATAGGACAGTCATCCAGATAAGGTTCTGTTGGCAAGATATTTGTTGCCTAGTTGTTTTTTTCTGTCTCCATGTTTTTCATTTGATCTATCCTACAAGCCCTAGAAAATTATTATTCTCAAAACAACACTGCTCACACTGATCTGTTGCTGAAAAACGTTTAATTACTGACAGAATAAAGTCTAAACACCTTTGATATTCTTTGATATTCTTCTATGACCTGGCTTCTAGTCACTTTCCCAGCTTATGTACCAGTCCTCTGATAAACTTTCTCCATTTTATCCAATCTTTTCTGCTTATTTTTCTCAAACTGTGGCACACATTTTGACCTTTATACTTATGCACCCACCATTCCCATGATTGATATTTTTTGCCTTGCCTCTCCATTAATTTAAGATCTAACCATGCTTTAGGGCCAAGATCAAGTCCTAGTTTCTCGTCAGAGCTTTCCCAGCTGATTTGCTTTCTGCTCAAATTAACTTTATTCTCTCTTTACCACAAGTTACAAGATTGTGGACATATGTGTATGTATGTATACATGCACACTCACATATCTACATGTAAACACACTTTATTATAGTACACTTGTATGGAATTTGTGTTTTGCTATTGTTCTTTTTTAGTTCCTTAGCTAAATTGCACACTTTTGAGGGCAGGAACACCTAGCATAATAACATGTAGTTGGTGCTCAAATGTTTGTCGTTGAAGTAATCCTGTATTTGTTAGCAGTAACAAATACAAATCCTGTATTTGTTAGCAGTAACAAAATCTGTTAGCAGTATTTTTCAGGATTATCCACTTGATTTTTTTTTAAAATATATATTTCTGAATCCACAGTTTCAAGTTGATATTGAGAGATAATTTGATAATTATCAGAGATGTTCCTAGCAGCCATTTTCTGTTGAATGTGTTTTATGAGACTCAAGGTGCCACTTAAACAGGCATCTGCTACTTCATGGTCTTTTCTGCCTTTGGTGGGAATGTTCTTGAAAATCATAAAATCAGCTGTATGCTATTAGAGATAGTTTTAGATAACTCTAGATCGACTGAACATGGGCATTGAGTTTTGCATTTTAAGATGTTCAGTAGTTGTGAAGCAGTTCTGTGAGACAAAGTTTATCAAAATTGTGCTGAAATTTAAGGAATAAAGTATTTTCTAAAGCAAGAATTTAAATTAATCATTATGTGACTGAAAAAGACATGTTCTGACTATAAGTCAGTTTAGCAAGGTTTGAGATTTTCTTCGTGTAAAGAATAATTACTTCATCATACATTTCCTACACCAGTCAAGAGTTAAGCATTTGTGGTTGATCCAGGAATATTGTTGAAGTCTATGTAATTTCCTTCCTTTTTTTTTCTGTATCTTCTAGGATTGTATAAGTGCCCATTTAATAACTTGTTTTTTGTTAATTATACTAAATATAGTTGGGAGGTGGTGTTTGGAGATGTTCATCTCTCATTTATTCTCCATGATGTAAATATTCTACATTATTCTCTACGATATAAATATTCTACATTATAAAATACTCAAGTCTGTTCGGGACGTGAAATTAAAGTAACACATTACAGAAACCACTTTTACTTGAGTAATTCAGCTACCTTTCTGTAGCTAAATTCAACGTATATTTTCAACTCTTGCCATGCTTGGCGTTTTTATAACATTTTCGTCTCTGTCGATCATTTCTTTCTTGAAATACATTTTTCTCCTGGCTTCCTACTTCTCCCTCTACCTTTTTGGCTCTTCCTTTTCAGTTTTTCTTTTTGGCTTATATCTGCTGGTCCCTTAAATGGTGATGTTTCTTAGGGTTTTTTTCTTGGCTCTCTTGATTTCCCTCTCGACATATTCTGTGATATTATTTGTGTGGTCTTGATTAGTATCTAAATGCTCATGATTTTCCTCTTTCTCTCTAGTCCAACTCTCTTCTGAACCATGGATCTATATATTTATTCATTCAGTAAATAAATACTTATAGAGCTCCTGTTGTTTTCCTGGCATTGTTCAAGGTAATGGAATACGGACCTGAACAAGACATTGCATTTTCTTGGAGGAAAACAGATGATAAACACGCTAATCATTTCAGACAGCCCTTACAACTATGAAGGCACTAGATAATGACTTAGACTGGTAGGGATGGGGTTGAGGCAGCAGAACAGCACTGTTTGGACAGGGAGTCAGGGAGCCTTTCTGGGATGTGACATTTTGAATCAGCAGTGTGAACATCTGAGGTGGTTTTTAGCCTCATGCACAGTCTCACTGTGTATGAGAATCACCTGTGGACCTTTAAAAACTATTTAAACTTAGCCTTCACCCCCAAATATTCATATTTAACTCAACTAAAATGGGACTAAGCACTTGAATGTTTAAAAACCTTCCTGTGATGTTAATGCACAGCAGTAGTTGAAAATCACTGATCAAGAGGAGCAGAAATCAAGTTAATGGGAAGAACTAGCATTTGAAGTCTCACTCTTATCAAATTGTGAGCTTCATGAAGTTAATCACGAAGTTGCATCATTTTTTAAGTCATAATTTTTATACCTGGAGTCTAGTATTTCAAACTGAACAGGCATGTCCGAAGCTGAAATTAATATCCCTTATCTCTCCTTTCCTAATAAAACCCTGCTGTTCCTTCTGTATGTCTTATCCCAGAACCAGGGGCTACAAAACAAAATCTAGATAACTTCCTTGATTTCCTCCTCACGTTTCCAGCCAGTCTTCAAGTACTGTTTGACTCTGTTTCCTAAATGTTTCTGTAGTCTCTGCTCTTCTGTTTCTTTTGCCACTGTACACTCTCACCTTTTAAAAATCAACATTCAGAAGCCTCCAGTCCCAACTACTTTCCTGCAGGTGATCCTCACCCCATACCTTCTCCCAGTGTGATACTGAGTTCTTTGTAAACCACAAATCTAATTGAATCACTTACCTGCTTACTTCCCTTTTTTGGCCCCTCATTGCCCTCAGAATAGCATCCAACTCCTCTGACTTGATCCAGCCTTAAATGACTTCTCCATCCTTAATTCTGGCCCACTCCCTCTCATCTATTCTAAGCTTCAACCAAACTGAACTACTTAGAGTTGCTGAACATGAATACATTTCATTTTTGGTTGCTCCTAACTTCTGGTAAAGAGAATACTTGTTTGGGATAATATTCCCTATTCCACACTCCCTGACCCCTGCTTGTTTTTCAGGTATGAGCTTGAATGTCACCTCTGGTAAACCTTTCGTGGGATATGCAGTATTAGGCCAGTAAAACCACGTTTACTTACCCCATTTTATCACTTTAGTACAATCAAAGTACTGTGTTATTGTCACTGTCACCAATGTCCAGCCAACATTTAATTAATGAGCAGACATTTAAATGTTAAGAACTTTAATCTTTAAAATTAATGAATAAATGTTCTAAGTGAAAAGAAACTTTTATGAATTATATATACTTTTTAACATAAATTAACTTTTTCATAGGAGAACTATGCCATTTTTGGGTCAGGACTGGAGATCTCCTGGATGGAGTTGGATTAAGACAGAAGATGGCTGGAAGAATTGTGAATCTTGTAGTCAGAAACTTGAAAGAGAGAATAACCATTGTAACATCAGTCACAGCATGTAAGTTACAGCTGAGCAGAACCATGCCATTTGCCAGTTTAGCATGTATGGCCTTACCTATTTTTCAAGTCCCTGCAAAGCTCCATAACTTTTGAGACTTGCCCACCCAGAAGGCTGGTGTGAAGAAACAAGTTATTTAGCTAAAAAATGAGGCTAGTAGATTGCCTAATATTCATACACAGATGCTTTTTTCTTTTTTTGTAATTTAAAACATTTAATCCTCACAATAATTGGGAGAGAGGTATTATTATTAATCCCACATTATAGCTGAGGAACCTGAGGAAATTAAAATACACAGTTTTGGTGGCATGTATCAGAAATGTAATAATAGTGTCTTACACAAGACAAATCAGTTTTTCTCCCTTGAAAGCCTGAGTTGGCATGATGACTTTGCTCGTAACATTGTCAAGGGGCCAAGCACAGTCTGTCTTGTTGCTCTGCCATCCCAAGAGTGCAGCCTTACCTGCATGGTCCAAAACGGTGTATTACCTTCCACATTTGCACTCAGGCCGAAGGGTAGGTGGGGTTGGTGAGACACAACCTGTGTTTCAGTGGCACAGCCCAAAAGTTACATGCATCACGTTGCCCACACCTTGTTGGCTAGAGCACTAGTGCAAGGGAGGCTGGGGGTTGTGGCCCAGCCGTGTGTCCAGATAAAAACCAGAGACTGCATGAGCACAGAACCAGGGTAGGTGGCTATCGTATGATGACTACAGTGTCTACCACAGTGGTGTTTGAGAATTTGGAGGGCTAGGAAGGTCTTGAGATAGCCTCCTCTAGAATGTCATGGGTCTAGTCATTTATTGTATATTATTTTACATTTGTGTAATTATCAACTGTGTGCTTGATGGGCCATATGTTTTTCTGACAGAAGTTTAGTAACTTTAGACCAGAGACTGGTTTTTGCAGTATTTGAAGCAGAAATTAATTTTCTATTTTTGTTACAGTGAGGATAACACATAATATTTGTTAAACTTATATTGTAGCAGTTCTCTGCCACACTAAGATGTATTTAATGTTGATAGCTGTAAAACTTATTTAAAGCTTGTAATTATGCTGTTGGTATTGCATAATGTTATACAGTTATGAATTCTCTAGGTCATTTTTACTATTTTTTACGGCAATTTTTTTAAAATTTAAAGTTGGTTGGCTGTATCTAGAAATGTTAGGTGTCTCACATTTACTCCCAATAGCCACTATTAAATGTGGATTTTAGGATGGGGAGATATATTACAGAATGTCAATTTAAAAAAAGCTGTAATGCTTGAAGTACAGTGTTACTGCTGCATCTGCGGTGAGGAATTTGTGGGAATTTGTTTTTTTCCCTCATGTATTCTTTTTCCCATCATCTCAAACACATTTTAAATGTCTGAGAATTGTTTTTTTTTTGCGCTGCACACATAAAATTAGAGAATACAGTCGAGATATGTTTTCTTTGCATAACTGGCTACCCCTCTGTCTCCCTTTCCCCTTCCCCCAAACTTACCTACAGATCCACCCCTTTGAATCAATGGCTGCTAACACAAGCGTCCCTGCGCAAAAAGGTTTTATGACAGCAACCCTGGCTACCCTTTGTGGGGCACAGTGAGCGAGAACTAGTCAGCACCACCTTTTACCCCACCTAGTTGCTTTGCAGTACTGGGACCGCCCCGGCTTCCTACTCTGCCATTTCGTTCATCTTTCGTTCATCTTCCTGGGACTTCTGTCCGTTCCTACCAAAATGCAAATCCAAACCTGTGGGTAGAGGCTGTTGGTGACCTGAAACTGCAGCAGATGTTTAATATATCCTTTCTCTGGAAGGAAAAACCGCTTAACTTTGAACCTAAAATTGATTTTAAAAAGATAAGACCATATGTAATCACCATTTAAAATCACTATATAAATGACCTTCTCTTTCCCCCACATGTCTTTGAGAAACATAGTACCCCTAATTCTTTGATTTAAGGTGGGCTTTCAAAACTTAGAAAAAGAACTATAGTAAAAATAATTTAGGTAATCAAGATTCTACGTCACTTTGTTAATTTTCTTTTTTGTGAACGTGCGGGAAAATAGGCCTTTAGTATCCTTCTGCTTACTTTTCAACTCATTTTAGTATTCAAAGTTTAGAGAACATAGGGAAGAAATTAAGCAATTCAACATGGTTGATCTGGGGGAAGCCAGCCAGTTCATACTCTGAATCCTTGATTAAGCTGCTCTTTCAAGCAACATTCATGATATTACTGAGGTTTAAACATAGTTTGATGGACAGAGGATTCATCTTAACCCTGACCTAAGGAAGCCTTTTATTAGGCTGTTGATTCAGAATAGAAGGTAGATCAGCTGGGGTCCAGATTGAAGAGAGGACAGCCAGTTAAGGGTTTCAGTAGACAGGTGAGAAATGTTGAGTGCTGCCTATGGTGATGTCTGCATAGCTGGACAGAGGGTCAGGATCAGTAAAAGAGTGAGTCACAGATTGATTGGACTAGCCAAAAGGGTGGCCCTGAGAAGGACTCTGAGGGTTCAGCTGGGGAAATGGTGTAAGTAAATAATCTGGCTGGGTCTTCTCTCCAGCATAGTGTTCCTGCCACTCAGTTTTATGTTTGACGACAGAAATTGTATGATTCCTATAAAGGAAAGATATTGAAGAAGAGTGTCTAGATACTATATATCTTTAAGAATTTCTAACTTTTTCCATCGGATTTCAGTGTTATTATGGGCACTGTAATTGCCTATAGTTATTTCAGTATAACTATAGGCACTGTTGAGGATATATAAGAAATTGTTCCTTGTCTTTTATGAAGTTGACATTTGACAAGGGAGTGTGTAGTCAAACATAATGCATTCAGCTCAGTCTTGGCAGAGATGCTTCTGGGTTCTTTGCATTGAATTTTCTAAATCTTTTTTATTGCATTATTTTTTATACCTCATAAAACATTATATTTTCTATTCAAATTTGAATGTCTTAACACTTACTTTGGTAATTTGGTTCTCAGTGGGCTTAGCAATGGGGGCCATCGTATTTTAAGGTTCTACCAAAATTATCTTCAACTCTAGTAGTTCCCAGGATATCCCAAGATAATGGAATTCTATAAAAAGCATTTTTAAATTGTGCATCCCCCAAGGAAACAAGATAGAAGAAGCTACATTTTTGGTTCCCTTATGAGAATGTGAACATAGTCTCTGGTTACCATGAGGGATAGAGAATTCAGGGGATCCTTCTAGCCCTTGAAGTGTGTACTGGGCT
This sequence comes from Homo sapiens, assembly GCF_000001405.40. NCBI lineage: Eukaryota > Metazoa > Chordata > Mammalia > Primates > Hominidae > Homo > Homo sapiens. The sequence goes on from NC_000002.12 coordinate 242,098,251, forward strand.
CGAAAGCCACTGTACCTTGGAGAGGAGACATCCTGTATCCATTTAAGTAAATATCCTTGTTAGCACATTGGCATTTTCCCCTTAGGATCTTTAGAGTATTGTTACAGGTTTCAGCAAAAATCCAGATGGCCTTCCTGATACCCTTTCTTTAGTGACTGGAAAGAAAAAGAAAATTAATTTCAGTGTCAGACTCAGCACTGTTTCAAGCAGTATTTGTTAGTGCTTCTTAAATTAATGATTTTCTCTGGATTGTAAACTCTTTTCTCTGACTTTAATATTATCTCTTCCCCAAATTTGTGGGTTTTGTCAATTATAAAGCAACATGTGCTCTTTGTAAATGAAAAACAACAGAAAATTCATGCAGTCCTGAAGCATAGAACGTGAAGGGTGAAGTTCCCCTTTTCTAGCTCAGATCCTTTTCTGCACAGTCACCTCCTGCATAGTCATGCTCACCAGATGTCAGAGTCTGCAAAGAATCGTGGTCATTTTCTCCACCCCAGTCCCTGCTGTTGCCTGGTGGTTTCAGTGTCCACCTGTGGGACTCACAGCCTCTGGCCTTAGTACTGTCCTCTTTGTTCCTAGGATCTGCTTCTCTCCTCTCCTCTTCTCTTCTCTGTCTCAGCCACCCACTCCCATGGTCCAGACTCATGAATTCGGGCATCCCAGTCCTTAAGCGTAATCTTCTCACCTTCCAGATTTCCTGACTACCACCTCAACCGTTGCCTTATTTTTTCTACCCTATCAACCTTCTTTTTATCATGTCTCCTTTTGTCCAGCTTCTATTCCATGATCCATTGTTTCAGTAACACTCTTGCCGCTACCCTAAACTCCATCCCAGTCTTTTTTTAAAAAACACACTCAAACGGCATATTCCCAACCCTGAATGAACCAACACATGAGCAGCTAAGAAATATAAGAAAGAAGATTCACACCAGAGAACACAGTGGGGACATCATCAATTCACTCACTTGCTTTCTGCTGAATTTATTCTCCCATTGCTTGCTCCTCCCTGTTCACCCACTCATTTATTTGCTCTTTTCACTTGCTCACTCATTTATTCTTCCACTATTCTGTAAACTGATGTTTCTTGGTCATCTGCTATGTGCCTGTAGGGCCCCCATGCGGCCCACAGCCCCACTGTGTTTGCTTGGTTGGCCTGCTCTACTCCTCTTTGTGTTATCAATATTTCAAACTCCTTCACTCTCCTCTGATGTTCGGCTCCCTACATACTCCTTCTCCATCTTTTCAAAACAACCGGATCTCTTGTGTCACCAGGAAATCCAGAGCCATCAGACTTTTTCTCAGAACCTTAAGTTGATTTAAAATTTTCATCTTCATTAACTTTATCCTGAATCTTTATTTTTTGTCCAGAACACCTGAGATATTCTGAACAGAGGCTTATTTTTGTTAATTATCTCACAGGGAACAGTAAGTGTGTTGCCCTTTGCCTGTTGATTACCCCCAGGGGTAGAGTCATAGGGATTTTTCCTACATAAGTGGTAGTGGCTTTTCTTTGCTCTTGATGGGAAGGACACAGCTTTCCCCACCCCTCCAGAAAGGGTTTCCTTGGAAATGGCATGGGCCGGAGTCCTACCTCTACTCCTTTGTTGGGTAGATAAAATCTACCCAGGAGCCAGACTTAGAGATGTCTCTCGTCTTATTATTACACATACTGTTACACCTGTTTAGTCCACAATATATTAAGGATTTACTATGTGCTATGGTGTCAGGATACAGCAATAAATGAAACATGAAAACCCATGTCTGATGGAGCTTGCATTCTGGTGAAACAGATAGGCAGTGGACAAGATGAGTTCCACAGTGTAGTAATTGTGATAGTATGTGGGAGATAAGAAATGCTAAGGATGGGTGGTGTTAGAGGAAGATCTACAGAGAGTGGCCTCTAAGAAGCCATCTGTGGAAGCAAACCTTAGGCAATGAGAGCAGGATGAATGGATGTCTGAGGGCAGGGCCTCCCCGGCAGGGAAAGAAAAAGTGCAAAGACCTCAAGGCAGGAGTACATCATCTGGCATATTCAGGGACAGCAGGGTTCCAGCATGGATAAGGGGAGCCCAGAAGCGGGGCCGGTAGGAGACAAGATCCCAGCCTGACTGGGTCCCAGCTGTGAAGTACCTGTTGTCATAGTAAGGACTTGGGCTTTTCTGAGTGAAGTAGGGAGTCAGGGTTTTGAGCAGAGGAGTGATTTGTTCAGGCCTATGCTTTAACAGGATTATTCTGGCTACTGTGTTAAGAACAGACTTCCAAGAGGCAGGACAGAAGCAAGTGGACCAATTCTTAAGAGGCTTGGGTTAACCTCCATGGGAAATGATCATGGCTTGGAGAGAAAGGAGGTGGTGGATGAGGAAGGGCTCAAATCCTGGGTGTATTCTGCAGGTGGAACTGACACATGGAATGTGTATGGTGCAGTAGGAGGGTCGAGGGGTGAGACTAAGACTTTGGCCTGAGCAGCTGGAAGGTAGAGTTCCATTAACTGAAATAGCATCTAAATCTGCATTGCCTTGCACAGGGTCCTTGGGTCTGTGCCTAGGAACAGAACCACAGTGTCACAGGTCATGCACCTCTTTCCCTTTCCAGTGAGGTGGTGTCAGCATGTTCTCCTAATGCATTGCATGTTCATCCTTTTCCTCCACTTGTATTTCCTGGAAGTTGTTCCATGTCAGTGTGCATTGAGTTCCTCATTCATTTTAATGATGGCATTTCATTGTTTAGGTATACCATAACTTATTTGTCCAAGCTTCCACTGACATCATTTTGGCTATTTCCCACTTTTCATTATTTCTGGTAGTATAGCATGGGTCATCTGTGAATATCTCTTTGCATACTTGTGTGAATACTTATGAAATCTAAGTTCCTAATAGAATTGTATATTTAAAATTGTAGTATTGCCACATTACCTTCTGTAATTTTGCACCAGTTTATACTCTGAATAGTAGTGTACACAGATTCCCATTACTTCACACTTCACCCAAGATGTGTGTGTGTCAGTTCAGGTTACACACTGCACAAGGGGAGGGTTTCATCATGAGGGAATAATGGCTGAAATGCATCTGTGTGCCTTGTGTAGGCTGCATGTGTGTCTTCATCTAAAGGTGCTGTCTGCTCCCATGCCATCTGCGTTGTGGGGACAGTGCACAAGGTGTTTACAGCAGCCTTGTCTTTGTAATTACTTTAACTAGTTTGGTGGGCAAAAAACATTAGACATTTTATTTCTTTTCCTTTCCCTTTCCTGTCCTTCCTTTTGTTCGTTCGTTTGTTCTTTTTTTTTTTTTTTTTTCCGAGATGGAGTCTTGCTCTGTCACCCAGGCTGGAGTGCAGTGGCGTGATCTCGGCTCACTGCAACCTGTGCCTCCTGGGTTCAAGCAATTCTCCTGCCTCAGCCTCCTGAGTAGCTGGGACTACAGGCACCCACCACCACACCTGGCTAATTTTTGTATTTTTAGTAGAAACAGGGTTTTGGCATATTGACTAGAATGGTCTTGATCTCCTGACCTCAGGTGATGCACCCGCCTCAGCCTCCCAAAGTGCTGGGATTACATGCGTGAGCCACCGTGCCCAGCCTGTTTCTTTATTAAGTAAGAGAGCTCTTTTAAAAGAAATTATAATTATATTTCCCCTGTTTACACTTATAAAAAACTAAGAAGATAAGAATAGTTAATTTACAAAACACTAGGATGCACAGTGCAACAACAGGAGAAATCAAAGTTTTTTCAACCAACATAGTTCAGTTGGGAAGGGAAAGATTTTTTCAACTGGATAAACATGCAAGGAAAAATGAAACTCTACTACTCACTCTTACTGTGGACATAGCATTAATTTTAGATGGATTGTAGAATGAACTGTAAAAGGCTAAAACTGTAAAGTTTTAAGAAGAAAATAATATTTTCACAATGTAAAGTAGGCAGATTGCTTACCACACAAAAACCACAAGCTGTGAAAGAAAAAAAGATAAACTTTATATTAAAAACTTATACCTAAAGTCATCATTAGAAAGGCAGAGCAACGGCTGGGCGTGGTGGCTCAGGCCTGTAATCCCAACACTTTGGGAGGCCAAGGCGGGCAGATCACCTGAGGTCAGGAGTTCAAGACCAGCCCGGCCAACATGGTGAAAACCTGTCTCTACTAAAAATACAAAAAAAAAAAAAAAATTAGCCGGGCATGGTGACAGGTGCCTGTAATCCCAGCTACTCAGGAAGCTGAGTCAGGAGAATCACTTGAACCTGGGAGGTGGAGGTTGCGGTGAGCAGAGATCCTGTCATTGCACTCTAGCCTGGGCAACAAGAGCAAAACTCCATCTGAAAAAGAAAAAAGAACAAGATTTACTATAAAATGTAAAATCACCACAATCAAGAGAGTGGTATGTGGTATTGGTGAAAAGATAGATACACAGGTCAGTGGAACAGAACAGAGGACCCCAGATAAGTCCATACAGATATGGTTGGTTTATTTTTGACAGTGGTGTAAAGGCACCTCTTAATATATTCCATGGAGAAAGTGTAATCTTGTCAACAAATGGACTAGAAAACTAGATGTGTATATGCAAAAATAAATAAATAAATAAATAACCTGTACAGCTCACATTTTATACAAAAATGAACTCAAAATGGATCATATACCTAAATGTAGAATGTAAAACTGTAGAACTTATGGAAGAAACCCAAAGGAAAGTCTGCATGATCTTGGGCAGAGTTTTTAGATATGATACCAAAAGCACAATCCATAAAAGAAAAAAATCTATAATTTGCATTTTATCAAAATTTTAAAATTCTACTCTCAGAGAACACATTTGTAAGTCACATATCTGACAAAGGGTTAGTATCCAGAATAATAAAGAACACTTAAAACTCAACAATAAGAAAACAGCCCAGTAAAAAATTGGGGAATAGTTTTGGTGAACCTGTACTTCACCAAACAACTTGCATGGATTGCAGAGAAGCCCATGCAAATAAGCAGAGAAAAATAAGCATGTGATGCCCAACATAATTTATTGTTAGGGAAACAAATGCAAGCAATCCGGAAGGTAAACACTGCAGCTAGCCTAAGGCCACAGTACCATTTGGGGCAAGCAGCTGACCAGCTAGAGATATAACAGTATGTTCTGGGGAATGAGACTGCCACAGTGGGCCTAGGTGATTTGGAAGGCTGTGCACCTTCTTCATAAGGTACCAGCACAGGCCTACATCAGTAGCTAAGATGAAAGAACAATCACGAAGCATCCCAGTGCTGGCAAGGACAGTGCCAAGTGCTGGCAGGAATATGCTCTCCAATCCTGCTACTGGGAATGCAGAATGGCACAGCCACTCTGGAAAACAGTGTGGCAGCTTCTTACTGTGTTACACTGCCTTAGGACCTGGCAGTCTCACTTCTAGGTGTTTACCCAAGGTAAGTGAAAATTCATGCTCACACAAAACCTGCATGTGACTGTTAATAGAGTTTTATTCAGTAATTGCCAACACTCAAAATCAGATATCCTTCAACTGGTGAATGAATAAACAAATTGTGGTAACATCTCTACAGCAGAATACCACTCAAAAGTCAAAAGGAACAAACTATTAATTCCCACAACATGGATGAATCTTAAATTCGTTTTGTTTAGTGAAAGAAACCAAACCTAAAAGGCCTCCATACTGTATGATTCTATTTAAAGGATGCTCTAGAAAAAGCACAACCATAAGGAAGAAGAACAAATCAGTGGTTGCCAGGGGTTAAGAGTTGGGGAAAAGGAGTTGATTACAAAGAGAGCGAGAGGCAGTTTGGGGAGTGATGGGACTGTGTTAGATTTGACTGTGCACCTGTCAAAACCCATGGAACTGTGCACCACAAAATTTCACTAAAATCAACAAAGATGTTTGTGTGTGTGTTACTGGGGGGAGTGCCCAAGTGATACAAACTGTGACAGATGAATCAAATGGTATTACAAACTTATCCCATAATCCAGGGGTCCCCAACCCCTAGGCCACGGATCGGTACCTGTCCGTAGCCTGTTAGGACCTGGGCCACAGAGCAGGAGGTGAGCAGAGGGCAGGCAAGCATTACTGCCTGAGCTCTGCCTCCTGTCAGGTCAGCAGCAGCATTAGATTCTCATAGGAGCATGAACCCTATTGTGAACTGTGCATGTGAATGATCTAGGTTGCTCACTCACTCCTTTTGAGACTCTAACTATGATGTTAGTGTGATGATCTGAGGTGGCACAGTTTCATCCTGAAACCATCCCCCCTCCTCGCCCCAGTCTGTGGAAAAACTGTCTTCTAAGAAATTGGTCCTTGGTGCCAAAACGGTTAGGGAATGCTGCCATAACCATAGTGAAATGGATGTGGAATTAGCTGACCTATCAGTAACTTTGGAAAACAGTGTTTTGACAGGATGCTGTAAGGCTAAAGATAAAACCTCTGGTTAGTGCACTTGTTTCTCATAGGGGCATGGGTTAGCAATCTCAAAACTGTACGTATTCTAGGAAGAAGTTACAAATAAGGAAGGATGGTGCTAGAGTTATCCTGTGGTTCTGGATCAGGGTTGGAGGTGTCAGCATGAACTAGGGCTGTTGGTTTTTTCAGAGAGAGAGAAATGTGGGTCTATGCATGTGTGAGTTAGTGTAACACATCTGTTTTCTAAGTCTGTCGACAGAGGGCCTTAGAGCAGTGACACCTGCATCAGTGACCAGAGCCAGCCTGAGATGGTGGATCCTAAGGGCTCCTCAGGGAAGGGGTTGGTTCCAGGGCTGGGGTAGGGCAAATGAAAGGTGAGTGATGGCAGCCTGTCAGATATCAGAAGGGTAGATGTCCGTCAAAAAGTGCTGCATTGGCCAAAGCTGGAGCAGTTCGAGCCACAGGATAGACAACAGTAGTAATGGATTACAACCTAAAAAAGAAAAGAAATAGCCATCCATTTAGGCTGATATCAATACATAAATGAATGCATAAGTGAGGGATAAGGAACAGTTCTTCCTTGTAAAATTCCAGTTAATAAATGTAGAAGGAATAAGGGAAATAGAAAATCACCATGATAATTGTTATAAGCACAGTCCCTTGACAGATGCAGCAAGGTGAAATCTAACAGGTGAAAGAATTAGGAGAAATAGAATTATCTGCCAAGTCTCCCCCCAAATAGCTATTCATTACAAAGGGAACAATACTTTACAGTGGAGAAACCTGGCAGACACAGCCCCAACCAAGAACTCAAAGGTGGCATCATATTGGCAGCAGGTACCTGTGATGTGGTGCTGTGTGAGTGGCACATCATCTGTGGTGGTTTTCCCTAAGCTGAATCAGGAGAAAACAGCAGACAAACCCAATTTGAAGGACATTCTACAAAATAATTGACCAGTACTCTTCAAGGTGATGAGAGGAGACTACAAACTCTTCTGGCATGGGGGGCCATGGAAGTGTGTCAGCTAAGTACAGTGTGGATCCTGGACTGGGCCCAGCAGCAGACAGGCTCTGGTGGGTGGCCTGGCAAAACAGCAAAGCCTGTGGTTGAGCTGGGAGTACCATGCCAGAGTTCCTCTTCTGGTGTTGATCCTTGTTCTATGGCTGCATGAAGGTGGGTGGAAACTTGGGGACACCGTGTGTCCTGCCTCTGAAACTCTTGTGCAAGTCTAAAATCATCTTTAAAAGTCTTCTTAAGTCATCATTAAGAAAATTAATAGGCAAGCCAGAGACATCACGTAGTCTGACTGTGCTGTCAGTCATGTCTGGGGCCTGCGTCAGCACAGGACTCATGATGGTGGCTTACCTCTTAGCTCCCAAGGAGAGGCAGAGTGGTGAGCCTCCCTGGTGATTGACTTAATAGCTATATGGAGCTTTCTATGGTGTCTTGATTGGGTATGTGTTACAGGAGGTACACAGGTCAGGACTCCCTGAACTGTACTTAAAAGTCTATTCTGCTGTATATGAATTATGCCTCAGGAGAGAGAAGAGAACTTATGCTCCATTTGGAATTTATCTTGGAGCATGACGTGAGGAACAAATCTGTTTGTGTCTTTGTGCAGTAGCTGTCCAGTTACTGCAGCAGCACTACTAACTGAAAAGCCCCTTTCCTGCTGTGTTGAGATATCTCTTTTTCCCATACTAAATTTCCATGGGCAATTGGGGCTACAGGGTTTTCTCTCTGTCTTCATGGACTTCCCTCATCACACTGATGTAAATAGAGAGGCTTAATACTGTGTTTTCATGTCAGCTGGGGCTAGAGTCTTCACCATTGTGGTTCTTACTCAGAGTTGTCTGGTTATTTGTGCTTACTGGTTCTTCTTCTCCTTTTATTTTAGATACAGAAGGTCCATGTACAGATTTGTTACATGAAAATATTGCATGAGGCTGGGGTTTGGAGTACAGATCCTGTCACCTAGTTAGTATAGTACCCAATAGGTAGTTGTTTTTAACCCACCCCCACTCCCTCTACCTTCTAGTAGTCCCCAGTGTCTGTTGTTCCCATATTTGTGTCCATGTGTGCTCAATGTTTAGCTCCCATTTATAAGTGAGAACATGTGGTATTTGGTTTTCTGTTCCTGCATTAATTTGCTTAGAATTAAGTCAAGCTCCATCCATGTTGCTGCAAAGGGTGTGATTTTATTCCTTTTTTATGGCTGTGTAGTATTTCATGATGTATAGGTGCCACATTTTCTTTATCCAGTCTACCATTGATGGGCACCTGGGTTGATTCTGTGTCTTTACTATTGTTAATAGCGCAGCAATGAACATGTGAGTGCCTGTGTCTTTTTGGTAGAATGATTTATTTTCTTTTGGATGTATACCCAGTAATGGGGTTGCTGGATAGAATGGTAGTTCTATTTCAAGTTCTTTGAGAAATCTGTAGACCACTTCCCACAATGGCTGGACTGATTTACATTCCTGTCAACAGTGTATAAGCATTCTGTTTTCTCCTCAGCCTTGCCAGCATCTGTTGTCTTTGACTTTTTAGTAATGGCCATTCTGACTAGTGTCAGATGGTGTCTCATTGTGGTTTTGATGCATTTCTCTAATGCTGTGTGGTACTGAGCCTTTTTCATGTTTGTTGGCCACTTATATATCTTCTTTGAGAAGTGCCTGTTCATGTCCTTTGCCCATTTTTTTTTTTTTTGAGACGGAGTCTCACTCTGACGCCCAGGCTGGAGTGCAGTGGCGCAATTTCCGCTCACTCCTTTGCCCATTTGTTAATGGGGTCGTTTGTTTTTTTGCATAAGTTCCCTGTAGATTCTGGATATTAGGCCTTTGTCAGATGCATAGTTTGCAAATAGTTTCTCTCATTCCGTAGGTTGTCTGTATTCTCTGTCAATAGTTTCTCTTGCTGTGCAGAAGCTCTTTCATTTAGTTAAGTTCTACTTGCCAATTTTTGTTTTTGTTGCAATTGTTTTTGGGAACTTAGCCAAAAATTCTTTGCCAAGGCCAACGTCAAGAAGAGTATTTCCTAGGTTATCTTCCAGGATCTTACAGTTTGAGGTCTTACATTGAAATCTTTAATATATTTTGAGTTAATTTTTGTATATGGTGAAAGGTAGGGGTCTGGCTTCAGTCTTCTGTATGTGGCTAGCTAGTTATTCCAACACCATATATTGAATAGGATGGTCTTTTTCCACTGCTGCTTTTGCTGGCCTTGTCAAAGATTGGATGGTTGTAGGTGTGTGGCTTTATTTCTGAGTTTTCTGTTCTGTTCATTGGTCTGTGAGTCTGTTTTTGTACCAGTACAGAAGCTGTTTTGGTTACTGGGGCTGTATAGTATAGTTTGAAGTTGAGTAGTGTGATGCCTCTGGCTTTGTTCTTTTTGCTTAGGATTGCTTTGGCTATTTGGGCTCTCTTTTCATTCCATATGAATTTTAGGATAGTTTCTTCTTGTTCTTAAATGCATTTTATAATTAACTTGTTTAGCTCTAAGAAAAAAACTTGATTTTGTATTGGAATAGCATTAAATTTAATATTTTTTAAAAATGTTTCATCTACTTCTAACTTACTGCAAAGAGTTTTATAAAGTTGCCTGTAATGATTTTTTAATGTTTTTCTTCATTTTTATAAAGGAAACATCCTTGTAACCACACCCAGGTCAAGGAATAGAACTTTATCAATCATCCCAGAAGCGCCCACCACATGTCCCATTTCTATTATAACCTACTTCCTCTCCTCAAAAATAACCACTTCCCAAACTCTTAATGGTAATCATTTCCCTAATCTTTATAGTTTTATCACCAAGTGTATATCCCTAGACACTATAGTTTAGTGTTGTTTTATTCTTAAAATTTGATATGTTTTTAAAGTCTCTTTTAATCTACACATTTTTCTCTCTATCCCTTTCTTTTCCTTATCTTTTACAATGTTTAAGTTTTCTTCTGTTAGCACTTGTAACTTTCTTATTTTTTTTTTTTCTAATCAGATACCTAGTGGTTTGTTTTGGTTGATTATTTTCTCTTGAGAGCCAGCTTTTGGATTTACTTCTTAGTTCTATTCTTTTTCTACTTAATAATATCTGCTTTTATTTGTAATAATTCACCCCTTTCTTTTGGTTCACTTATTCTTTTTCTGGCTTTTTCAGTTATATGTTTAAATAATTTATTTTTATTATTTAAATTTGTGTTGATATAGGTATTTAATGCTATAAAGTTTCCTGTGACAGTTACTTTTTTTCTGAGTCCTATAAATTCTCTATATATTTTCCCAGCCTTTTATAGCTGTATATCTTATATGCAGTATGGTGTTTGATTTTGCTTTGTGAGCCAATCCAAGACTGTTTTCCATTTAATAGGTGAGCCAAGTCCATTTTTTACATCACAGATAACAGGGAACCACCTTGTTCTATTTTATTTGCTTTTACCCTTTTGGTATTTAAGAGGGCTTTCTTCCTCCCTTTTTTTTCCCACTTTTATCCTAATGCCTTTATAGCAAACACTTAGTTTCTTTGGTTGGCTCCCCATAGTACCTGATACTGCAGTTAGCTGATGGACACCCCAGTCCCAGTTGGCTCCTGCACATCTTCTGCCCGCCCCTACCACTTCTCTGGTGGTTGTTCTTTGTCTGCATTGTCCAAGCTGGTAACCATGGCATGCTGCACTTTTATCACCGTCATGTGCCAGCAGCTCCACAGATAAATACAGACCACCTGCAGCTCACCTTTGCATCTGCCTCTAGTCATTTTGGTTTCTGGAGCTTATTCTTTAGTGGGTCATCCCTCAGCTCCTGGTCACTGTACTTCCTGTGTTTGTGTGTACTCATAAAAAATATGTGTGACTTTTACCCTTGATAGTCACTATTTAGATGTTAAATCTTTGGCTTATATTTTTTCCCTTAAATATCTTAAATATGTTACTGAACCTATTCTATTCTGGACCTGTAATCCCTACTACAAAGCTACTCACAAGTCCAGTTTTCATCATTTCTGGACATGCATTCTTAAGGGGGAGGAATTTATAGAACTGGAAGCCATGTTAATATCCTAGTCATGAGGTGGCTGAGATTTAGTCTGTCCAGGTAAGATGGTGCAGGTAGGGAGTGTGGTGGTCCAAGTGGCACACGCAGGAAGTCACAGAATGTGGGAGGCATTGTTTTGTGTACCCTGTGCACAGAGTGTCTGATGCCCTTTGATAGGTTTGCGGCCTCATCTGGTGGACTTTCTGGCACAGCCCTTCCTCGAGGTTGCTGCATCTGAAGCTCTTTAAGACGGCGTTTCCCTTCTGCCAGATTGCACTCTGTGCACAGTGCGGTTGCTTCTCCCTGCGGAATGAGATGGGCCCACATAGGCAGTGGCTCCACCTGGCCTTGGTGCTCTTGCCGCCCTCTGCTCTGCTGCTCCCTTCGTGTAAGAAGGGTGTGTTAAGAGTCCGTAAGTGTGTCGTGTTAGATGTTTAGGAAGGAAATGTTAATTCTGAAAATAGGTTTCACATCTTTTTTTTAACTTATATAAAATTGACTGGACTTTCTCTTCTGTGTGTTGTGTTAGATATTTAGGAAGGAAATGTTAATTCTGAAAATAGGTTTCACATCTTTTTTTTAACTTATATAAAATTGACTGGACTTTCTCTTCTGGATTATCTTCTTATAATTAGAGACTAATAACACACTGATACGAAGTAGCTTTATATCAGGAAAATGGATAAATGTAAACATTTGCCTACCAGGAGAAAATAATACGACCTGATTGGAAAATGTACAGATAAAAAGCTAAGTTTAGTAGGTAGCCATTGATGAACACAGTCTAACTTAAGACAACAATTGGGGATTGTTAGAGCAGAGATTGTAGCTCCCTTCTGGGGAGGAGCTGACCAAAATGTCCTCCAGCTCCTGCTTGACAGAAGAGGTGCAGCCAAATTGATCCAAAGGAAATGTCAGAGGAGGCCAGGGTGGGAATTATCAGCAACTGTGTTTGAGGATTTGTTCCACTTTGTTTTGGTTTTGGTGAAATTATCACAGTCTGCATGTTATATGACCTTGGCACTTAGAGTCATGGCAACTTGTTGCATTTATGCGAGATTTTTTCTCCCTAAAGTCTCTTCTGTTTGATAGCATATATGTACCTTTCATAATCAATATCAAACTGAAGTAGCTTGAAAAGATAGATAATTTTATTCATTTTCTGGGATTCCATAACCACAAACTCGGTGGCTTAAAACCACAGAAATGTATGTCCTCACAATTCTGGAGGCCAGAAATCCAAAATCAAGGGCTCGGCAGGGTTGCTTCCTACTGGCAACTCAGGGAAGTTGAGTTTATGAGTATGTATTATTTTTTATTATGTGTAGTGTAGTACTTTAATAATTATTAAAAATTAAATCATTCACAAATGTTGGTCATTTTTCTTACTGGTAACAAAAGTTTTGTGACATATCTTACAGCAATATAGTTAAGAACTGATGCCCTTGATTAGCAATTTTAAAAACCGGAGGCTTATCCTAGCCTGTCTTATTTTCCTAGACTTGTGTGGAAATGATTTGAAGATGATGGCCCATAACAGCACATTTCTGTAAAGCCTGTGCTTAGAACCCTAGAGTGGTCTGGGAGATGAAGATTAAGACCTTGTTATCCATCTCTTAAGGAAAATACCATCAGAGGAAAATGCAAATCTTATTATAGGTCATCACTAGAATGAGGATTGTAATTTATAGAAATTGGGGTTTAATTATGAGAAATAGTTCCGTTCTTGGCTCTCGTTTACTTCTATTTGGAGATGTTTTGTTGATTCTTCTCTATTCTCTTCTCTTCCTTTTCTTGAATGGAAAGGAACTTGGAAAACTCATGCCCTGTCCTTGGGCTTGTCAGAGGAAACTTGGAATGTCATTGCCTTTTGGGCACATTTGCAAGCAAGGGGGTGACATATGCTGTGGTGCAGCCTGGGTGTGGGGAGTTAAGGGCTGTTAGCTCCATCATTCAGACATGTTTTAAGTTTATGGAAACTCTGTGTTTTATACAAGTGCATTTGTGCCCTGTGTTTTCCGCTTGTGTTGTATAATGTTCTGTTCTTTGTTTTTAACACTTCCCGCCCCCACCCCATCCCTCCGACATGCACCTCAGACAGCATGAACAAGACAAGCTGCTACTTCCTCTCCTCTCTTGCACCCTGTTTATCTTTAATTGCAGCAAAATACACATAACATAAAATTGCCATCCTAACCATTTTTAAATGTACAGTTCAGTGGTGTTAAGTACATTCACATTATTGTGCAACCATTACCACCATCCATCTCTAGAACTTTTACATCTTCCCACACTGAAACTCTGTCCCCATTAAACGCTAACTTTTCATTCTCCAGCACCCCCAGACCTGGTAACTGGCTTTCTATTTTCTGTCTGTATGATTTGACTTTTCTGAGTACCTCATATAAGTCAAATCAGACAGTATGTGTCCTTTTGTGACTGTCTTATCTCAGCGTAACGTCCTCAAGTTTCAGCCCTATTGTAGCATGTGTCAGCATTTCCTTTTTCAGACTGAATAATGTTCCATATTGTGTATAGTGTACACCACATTTTGCTTATCTATTCATCCACTGATGGACATGTGGGTTGCTTCCATGTTTATCTGTTGCAAGTAATACTGCTATGAACGTGGGTATACAAGTATCTTTCATTCTCTGCTTTCAGTTCTTTTGAATATATACCCAGAAGTGGAATTGCTGGATCATATGGTAATTCTGTGTTTAATTTTTTGAAGAACCTCCATACTGTTTCCTATAGTAGCTATATCATCCTCCATTTCCACCAACATTGCATGAAGGATCCAGTTTCCCCACATCCATGTCAACACTTGTTAAACTTTTTTTTTTTAATTTGCCAGTAGCCTCATAATGAGCGTGAGGTAGTATCTCATTGTAGTGTTAATTTGCATTTACCTAACAATTCGTGATGTGGAGCATCTTTTCATGCGCTTATTGGCTGCTGTGTCTCTTCTTTGGAGAAGTGTCTGTTGAAGTTGTTTGACATTTTTTAATCAAGTTGTTGGGCAGGTTCCCTTGTTTTTAAGTCAGAGTAGGTGATGTTTGTCTTGAAGGTTATAAAAAGAGAACATGTTTGCTATGACATGTAGTTGATTGCTATGAAATGTAGTTGACACATGCAGAATAGAAAGATTTATAAATTAAATACTCCTTTATTAACATTTTAATGTGTCAAATTTAAATTTCAGAAGCATTCATCTTTCTTCTCTACTTGTACATTTTTATTTACCTGACAGTGTAAAACCCACAACCAAAAAATAATGGCTTTTTCCCCATTTAAAATACTTTGTAAAAATAGTAGCCTAGTTGTCATTTGTGAGCCCAGGCTTGGTCCTCAAGTCTGACATAGACTCCCCAAGGCCCTAACGCTGAAGTTCTCTGAGCCCTACCACTGCCCAGGCAGGCCCAGGAAGTGTCCCAGCAGTGCCCAAGAAGGTCACCATCACCTGTGGAATCCACAGTGTGGGTAGCCCCCAGGGAGCCACAGCCATGTAGACCCAGATTCACAGGAGGATGCGGTTACTGCAAGCATCTGAACCTGGCCCCACCACCTATGGGCAGAGTTGGTTCCAGCTCAGTGTGTCCATGGGATGTCTTTAGGTTCACCTTGCTTTTCTGTCCCACGCTCATATGTTGGAGCTAAGCTGCATGGAGTGTCGTTCTCCCTGTACATATGAGATTAGTCAGCAATCCTGTCTCCTTCCATATTCTGTCTTTATTTCTGCGACACTATTTCTGGAGAACATCGTATTTGTGCTTTTCCTTTGATATGTTTGTAATTTTCGTTAGAAAAGCCCTTTTAGATTCTAAAGCTTCTACATTCAGTATTTCAATCAATGATAACAAACTGGTGTAAGACTAAATATAAAATACAAACATCAACACATTTCCATAAATTGCTGTTATAATGTCTGCCACAAAAAGTTCAGTTGTTTGTATGTTTTTCAAATGTGCTTTGCTTGTCTTGATGATTTACAACTGTTGGCACTGCTGTTTAAGTCTGTTCTGACAGTGAGAAAGTGACTCATTTGGCAAAGTCAGCTGTTTTTTACTAAAAGTGAATAGTGGTGAGTGGAAAGGGGCTTGTGTACAATTTTCTTGTCAAAGAACGATGACCGGCAAATAAGCAATTTTAGTTCCTTGGATTTGAGCACCACTCTCGCATGCCTCCACCAACCAGCTTGTCTCCACAGAGCTTCCTTCCTCACTTTACACTGAAAATCTGTTATCAGTGTGTGGAAAATAAAAATTTTACACATCTTTAGTTTTGAGGATGTGGATTACTATTTACAGGTGTTTTTTTTTTTCTGTAAGGAAGACATTTTTTTAAAAAGTAAAAGGTGTTCCCATTGTTTAGTTATTGCCTTATGATTTGATTTTCTTGTTTCACAAAGAACAGCTTTTAATTAAACGTATTTAAATAGTAAAAATATACATGTCACTTCACCTGGTTCCAGTTAAATGTGTTAACAGTGTATGTGGTTGGTGCTTAATAAAAACATGTTCAGTGCAGTAATAATTAACTTCAGTTAAACCCTTAAAACATATAGGGAGTAAACAGAAATGTTGAGTGGTTACTCAGCATGGGGTAAGGGATACATCAAGTCATTGGTCAGTATTGGG
This sequence comes from Homo sapiens, assembly GCF_000001405.40. Taxonomy (NCBI): domain Eukaryota; kingdom Metazoa; phylum Chordata; class Mammalia; order Primates; family Hominidae; genus Homo; species Homo sapiens. The sequence goes on from NC_000002.12 coordinate 242,114,299, forward strand.
TATCATCATGTTCTTACCATCTTTTTTCTGGAGTTTTAATAGTTGTTTTTTAAAAAATCTCTGTTTTAATAAGCCATTTTGATGTTTGAAACTACCTTGGATAAGCATATCAAGACCCTTCAGAGATTCTAAAACATGTTCAGCACTTTCTGGTACAATATTCTCAAAGAACCAGGATACATCTTATTTCTCAAAATGAAACAAAAATGTATTAGACATTACCCCTGTGATTTCAAGCCCACAGTCTGTCACTTTGAAGTATTTGTATCCTTTTACAAAAGAAAAGCCAAATGAAGATCTCCCTGAAAAAATATTTTAATAGAATATGTCTTTATTTCAGTATCTTAAATAGCGAAGATGGAGAAATACTCAATAATGAAGAGCATGAATATGCATCCAAAAAAAGAAAAAGGACCATTTTAGAAATGACACAAATACTCAAAGTAAGATCATTCTCATTAATTTTATTTTACTTGTTGATTATGTTGAAATACTAAATTACTCTGACAGTGCTATCTTATGAAATAAAAGGTGATACAAATATGTAAATAACAGCCCAGTATCCAGCATTGCCTACATATTTAGTGATCAAACTTTTTGCAGCCCAACGTTTCAGTGGGTAAGATGTGCAAAAACAAAATAAGAGATAGCAAAACCCACAAAACAGCCCATGAATCTGAATGCTTGAATTATGGTCATGAATTCAGCTCAATCTTGAGCAGTGAGGCCAAACTGAGAGGTGTCCTGACTTGAGTTTCGAAGTCATTGAAGATTCACAGCAGGAGACAGACATTCAGAGCTGGAGTTTAGGATGTTAGATGGCAGCAGGGGAAGGCTGGAGGTGGGACCTATCTGTGAGAGGGCATAGAGTTCTATCATGCAGCATATCTGTGAGTTACCAAGACACCTGTTAATGTATAGTAGGCTCCCTTACCTCGGGATAGACCTCCAGTGGATGCCTGAAACTGTGGATACTACCAAACCTTATGGATACTATGTTTTTTTTTCTGTATATACACACTTATAATAAAGTTTAATTTATAAATTAGGTGCAGTAAGAGATTAACGAGAATAATAATAAAATGAAACAGTTATAGCAAGATGGCCACCATCACTGCTCTTGCACTTTGGGGCTATTATGAAGTACAGTAAGGGTTCTTTAAACACAAGCACTGTGATATCTCAACAGGTGATCCGATAACCAAGACGGCTACTGAGTGACCAAGGGGCGGGTAGTGTAGGACTCGCTTGACAAAGGGAGGATTTGCATCCCAGGCAGGACAGAGCCGGACGGTGTGAGATTTCATGACACCACCCAGAATGGCACACAATTTAAAGCTTATGAATGGTTTATTTCTGGAATTTTCCACTTAATGTTTTCAAACCAAAGCTGACTGTGGGTAATTGAAACTGTAGAAGATGAAACTGTGAATACGGGGGGACTACTTTATGAAGAAGATAGGGTCACATGGAGAATACAGTTAGTGTGATTCTTGAAACTTTTAAGATTTATCTGAAAAATTTGTTTCTATGGAGTACTATACACAGCAACAGAAGAATAGAACTTTTTATTAGGGTACATAGGAATGTAGTAATGTAATTGCATTTTATAATCATTTATGTCTTCATATGGCTTCAGTCATTAATAATACTAATTTTCTTCTAAGTTACTAGGACTTGGTACTGTCTGAAATCATTGTTCATATCTTAAACTGATTTAAGAAACAAAGCAATTCTGTTTGCATTCAACCAAGTAAAAGCATTTCTTGTCAATATAGTAAGTCAGATAATTTTGTTAACATGTCCAATTATTTAAATTCCTTTAAAATCTTCATTTTGAAATGATTTGCCAGATTTTAAAAACAAAGGTAATTTTTATTCTAGGTTTTTATCATGAAAAATGGATCTATGTCCATAAAGAAAGCACAAAAGAAGTAAGTATTCTATTATAAATAAGAGAGTATCTTGGATTGTTTCTGTTGAATATGGAGTCACATTAAATAAATGTATTAATAAAGTTGCATAAAACACATTTCTTTTGCAATGTCAGATCTATGGTTCACATTCTGACAGATAATAGCATATGAGGAGCTTTTGAGGCAGTGATTCGCCACTGTGTGTGCTTGCATGTGCATGTGGTATGTGGCTGTGTATTTGTGCACACATTGGTGTGTGTTGTGTGTATGGTGTATGTGTGTTGTATGTATGGTGTGTATGTATGGTTGTGCATGTATTTGTGCACACATTGGTCTGTGGGATGTATGGTGTGTGGTGGCATGTGGTATATGTGTGCAGTGTGTGGTTCCTGCCTACCTGTACATATCTGAGTCAACAGCAGGGCTATTTAAACCAAGCATGGACTCCTGCGGTCATACGCATTTTCTCTGTGTTAGCATGAACCCCTGATGCTGATGGGAATGTGTCCTCCCTGTGGCATGTTTTGGAGGGCAGGGCATCTGTGAGCCCTCTAATTCCACATAAAGAGTGGCTAACATGAAATTAGTAATTGGGTTGGGTTTGTGCAGAGCCATGTGAACTCTTTCCCTGCCTTTCTTTTGCCAAGTTGGGCTAAAGCTTTTTCATGAGCCATAAAACAAACCAGAGAGCTTCAAGCTGTTTCCTGTTTCTTTACTAGGATCCGGGAAGTTGAGTTCCTTTTATAGTCCTAGAAACTCTGCATTTGCTTTATTTTGCAACAATTGGGGAAAATAATTTAGGGAATTACTGTCTATCGTATGTTATTTCAGGGTAAGTTAAATATTCCAGAAATGTTTGTAGATGCTCTGAAACTAGTCCAGCTTCCAAGAAACTGAAGGATTAGATTCTGAGAAAGAAAACTTAATCTGTTTGTTTATGGTTAGTGGGTATAGAATGAATCAGATCCTTAATATACACTCGAATACACCATTAGACGATTATTTGACAGAATCTAACCTAGTTTGTAAAAAACAAAATTTAGTGCTCATGAAAGACCATTAAATATTTCATCTGCTCTGTTGCCATACTGATTACAGAACAGAGGATCCCATCCAAGCTAGCATATACAGGAAAGGAGGATCTTATTGTGAGGCTGTGGGGATGTTCCCTGGAATCCTAGGAACCAGGACCTAACAAGGCTGAGAGGGACCAGAACTAGGACTGGGTGCTGGTGTCCCTGCACCACGTCATGTCTCCACACCCTCACCTGGTATAGAGCAAGTGCCTGCTGCTTGTCCATGCTGGCTGGTGTCTCACTGCTTCCGAGGTTACATGCTGTGGTTCTAGGTCCAGACATGCTCTTTGTGGTCTGCTCTGTGAATCAGATTTAATTTCCTTTTGTGAGATGGGTGGTGACCTTGGAAAGTGTCTGCTACACCATCGTGTGGAATATCAGCTGTGATGGATTTCAGATTATAATCTATATCAAAATGAGTGTTTCCTTTCCCCAGAGTTCCCAGGAAAATGTTTTCCACATAGCAGGCACTCAGTCAACATATTTGGATGTTTTAAATGAGTATATTTAGTTGAGTTGTGCACCCGTCAGGGCGATTGGGGTTGGCGCACAGAAGCACATGAGCCTCTGAGTGTATCGGCTGTTGGAGACAAAGGTGCTATGACTCCAGCTGCTTTCTCTAGGACATCTCAAGTCACCTGTTTGGAATTTGAGACCAGTCATCTCATGTTTTCTATTATTGTTTTCTAGCTTACTTATCTCTACAACTTTGACCTGAAAATCTGTAGATTTTAAATATTTCAAATATGGAGGATGAAGATGGAGTTTAAAATGACTTCTGAAACCTAATGTGCTAATCTATACAAACCAATACAGGATAAGGGTATATCATGGAAGAAAAACATCTAAGAGAATAGCAGCAGTGTTTACAGTACTGAAAATAAATTGTTTCATTTTCTTCCTTCAGTTCTTGGACCTGTGGGTCTAAGCACCAGTTTTTTTGGTGTTTTGGGTTCTTGGCATCCGTGCTCCCAGCCTGAAAGCTGCCCGTGGTCACATCCAGCACTTGCCTTCAGCCCTCTCCATCCCAATGCTGGTTTTCAGAAGCACCTTCTTGCTACCGAAGCGCCTCTCTCAGCCCTGACCCTTGTGGTTGAGCATGCTTCCAGCCTGGGCAGTGCATGGCTGCTCTGGAGAGAAATCCCATGTTATACTTCAAACTCGGGCAGTGCATGCCTCCCCTGCAGAGAAATCCCATGTTACACTTCAAACTCGGGCAGTGCATGCCTCCCCTGCAGAGAAATCCTGTGTTTCAACTAGATATTTGTAACACCTACATCCTTACAATGCAGTTAATCAGATGATTTATGTATTTTTAGTTGCGTAGCCTAGAATGAATCCAGTTTTTTTATGATCTTAGCTTTAACGTCGTCCACACCCCAGTTTGTCCCCAACAAAACAAACCAGCAAGATATTTAATAAATATTTGTCTTTGTCATTACTTCAGCAGGTTGTAAAAAATGTCAGTTAACGGTGTCTCAGGTATACATAAACAGCTTAAATTATTAGCATTGCTACAATTTTACTATACTCTCATCTAAATCTAAAACCAGTCTTCAAAATAAAAACAAATTGTCCTTTGCCAAAATTTTTTTAATCGCACAATTAATTGACATTAACTGCCAATTCTTTTTGGCTAATTGACTAATTTTAACTTCTGTGTTGCTCTTCCAGAGGCATGGCTATTGCACCTTGGGAGAAACCTTTAATCGGTTAGACTTCTCAAGTGCAATTCAAGATACCCGAAGGTTCAATTATGTGGTCAAAGTAAGTGTTCTATTTCAAAAACTACTTTGATGACTCTTTTGAACAACTATATTTTGAAGATTGTAAGTGTACAACGTTTAAGATGCTTTTGGCAGCTTGAAGGTGTGCCTGTTTGCTGTGTATTAATCGAAAAACAGAAGGGAACAAGTTCAGGAGAAAACAGTGAGATTGGAGGATTTCTCCAGTATTGGTGGCAGAGGTTGCAGAGCCTCAGTGGGAGCAAACACTCATCTGCCCTGTGGCTCTGTGGTTGCTGAGGATGCCACAAGGTGGTCCCTTAGGGGTCGTACCATGTACCTACATACTGTGTCAGTGATAGAACGGTTGTGGGATCTTTACCTGATGATCTCACGAATGTTTTCTGCTTCGTGTTTTTCACAAGGAATGAGGCTTGTGTCACAGAGGAAGAAGTAGCTAATAGAAAACAGGAATTTCATACAAAATAGAATTCCACAAAAGCCTTATTGCATTAATGATACCCTTTTGGAAGAAATTTTTATCTTGGGCCACACTCAAAAAGAAAGGATCTTAGCCATATATTCCATTTATTGTTTGCTTTTGTCCAAAGATTAATTACTATGTGGTTTATGCAACTTCATTCTATTATGGATAAAATAGAAGCTATAGTTTATGAAGCTATTAATTTTGTGTTTCTAATGGTTCTGTGAGACATTGGAAAAATGTTTCTTTTAATTGCTTTTAGGCATTTGAAAGTGCTACTGGGAGGACAGAAAATTTAGGGAGTTTAATTATAAGCTTTAGATAATGTTATTTGTTCAGTTTGGTTCTGAGCAGAACTTCCGGGGCTGCTGGCCAGGCACCTAGTGTAGGGTCAACACTCCCTGTCCCACCTGGTGGACGCTCATGAGCAACAGCTGCCAACTTGGCAGGTTGTTTTCTCTGGTTGGAGGCCACTGAGTGACTGGCAGGTTGCTGGGCCTCGTGTAGCTGCGGGGGGGAGGGGGGGTCAGGAAGGGGATGGAGTACCAGGGGAACACGGCCACAGAGTGAACTTCCACATTCCTCCACACGAACATGCTGACGCCACGGGAGGCCTCACTGAACGCAGGCCTGGGGGCCGAGTACTTGGTCTGGGCAGGGGGTTCCTGGCAGGGGCTCACACCTCCTCGCCCCCTCCTCAGCCAAGGTGGCTTGGGCCCAGAGAAGGGGAGGTTGGAGAGGAGCAGAAGGCCAGGCCTCAAGTTTTTTTTTTTGTTTGTTTTGTTTTTTGTTTTTGAAATGTAGTTTGACTCTTGTCACCCAGGCTGGAGTGCAGTGGCACGATCTCAGTGGCCTTCATACCTGGCTACTTTTTTGTATTTTTACTGGAGGTGGGGTTTTGCCATGTTGGCCAGGCTGGTCTTGACCTCCCGACCTCAGGTGATCCACCCACCTCGGCCTCCCAAAATGGGATTACAGGCATGAGCCACCGCTCCCAACTTCATTCATTTTTACTTGAAAAACTCCCTTAAGCATTTTTTTTTTTTTTTTTTTTTGAGACGGAGTCTCGCTCTGTCGCCCAGGCTGGAGTGCAGTGGCGGGATCTCGGCTCACTGCAAGCTCCGCCTCCCGGGTTCACGCCATTCTCCTGCCTCAGCCTCCCAAGTAGCTGGGACTACAGGCGCCCGCCACTACGCCCGGCTAATTTTTTGTATTTTTAGTAGAGACGGGGTTTCACCGTTTTAGCCGGGATGGTCTCGATCTCCTGACCTCGTGATCCGCAGCATTTTTTTAAGGTAGACCTAGTGGTCCTGAATGCCCTCAGCTTTGTTTGTCGAGGAAACACGTTATTTCTTCTTTCTTTCTAAAGGACAGCTTTGTCAGACATAGTATTAGTTGCTGGCAGTTTTTTTCTTTCAGCACTTTGAATGTATTATTCGATTCTGTCCTGACCTGCAAAGTTTCTTTAACTTTTGACTATTTGATTATATTGTGACTTGGTGAGTATCTATTTGGTTTGAACCTCTTTAGGAATCTTTAAGCTTCATGGATTTAGATGTCTAAATCTTTCCCATGATTTAGGCAGTTTTCAGCCATTCTTTAAATGAGCTTTCTTCTCCTTTCTCTACTTTCCTTCTCAAACTCCCATAACCTGACAATGGTTTGCCTAATGGTGTCTTGTTGGCTTTCTTTTCTCTGTCTCTTTTTTTTTCTTTTTTTTTTTTTGAGACAGAGTCGTGCTCTGTCACCCAGGCTGGAGTGCAATGTGTGGTCTCGGCTCACATTGCACTCCAACCTCCGCCTCCTGGGTTCAAGCGATTCTCCTGCCTCAGCCTCCCAAGTAGCTGGGACTACAGGTGTGTGCCACCACACCAGGCTAATTTTTGTATTTTTAGTAGAGATGGGGTTTTGTCATGTTGGCCAGGCTGGTCTTGAACTCCTGACCTCTTAATCTGCCTGCCTCGGCCTCCCAAAGTGTTGGGATTACAGGCTTGAGCCACCACGCCCAGCCTTCTTTTCTCTTTTTTATTCTTTTTTTCTTTGTCCTCTGACTGGATAATTTCAGAAGATCTATATTCAAGTTTACAGATTCTCTCTCCTGTTGAAGTTTACTATTGTGTTATATCACCCAGTCTGGTCTTGAACTCCTGGGCTCAAGTGATCCTCCCACCTTGGCCTCCCAAAGTGCTGAGTTTACAAGCATGAGCCACTGCATCCGGTCAGTCCCAGCACTTTGGGAAGCTGACGTGGGAGGATCACTTGAGCTCAGGAGTTTGAGACCAGCCTGGGCAACATACTGAGAACTTGTCTCTATATTAAAAAAAAAAAAAAAAAGGTCTTTGGGAGGCCAAAGCGGGAGGATCACCTGAGGTCAGGAGTTCGAGACCAGCCTGGCCAACATGGCAAAACCCCATCTCTACTAAAAATACAAAAATTAGACAGGTGTGGTGGCACACGCCTGTAGTGGTGGTGCATGCCTATAGTCCCAGCTACTCAAGAGGCTGAGGCAGGAGAATCACTTGAACTGGGAGATGGAGGTTGCAGTGAGCTGAGATCGCACCAGTGCACTCCAGCCTGGGCAACAGAGTGAGACTCCATCTTATAAAAGGAAAAAAGAAAGAAAAGAAAAATTCCGTATCTGAGTGTTTACTCCTGAGTTTTTGAGATTGTTATTAAGATCGTGCTCTACTGTGATGATTTGGGTTTGTTTGATAATCACAAAAAAGCATATTCTTTTGGGTGTTCAGCCACACTCCTTTGGTGTCACAACTGCACATTGGTTTCACAGCTGCAGGACAAATTCGAGCATCTTAAAATGATTCAACAGGAGGAGATAAGGAAGCTCGAGGAAGAGAAAAAACAACTGGAAGGAGAAATCATAGATTTTTATAAAATGAAAGCTGCCTCTGAAGCACTGCAGACTCAGCTGAGCACTGATACAAAGAAAGACAAACATCGTAAGAAGCAATAGTTTCTCTTACTATTCTGAGAGCCTTATCATTCTACATCCCATCTTCCTGTGAGATTGTCTTTGTAGCATTTAACTCTAATTGCAGTTCTCTTTTTAAAAATTGGCTTGCTTATTGTATATTTTCCCCAACTAAAGCGTGAACTCCTAGTAGGGCGTGATGGCTCATGCCTGTAATCTCAGCACTGTAGGAGGCCGAGGTGGGTCGACTACCTGAGGTCAGGAGTTCGAGACCAGCCTGACCAAGATGATGAAACGCTATCTCTACTAAAAATACAAAAATTAGCTAGGCGTGGTGGCTGGGACCTGTAATCCCAGCTACTTGGGAGGCTGAGGCAGGAGAATCACTTGAACCCTGGAGGTGGAGGTTGCAGTGAGCCGAGATCTCACCATTACACTCCAGCCTGGGCGACAAGAGCAAAACTCCATCTCAAAAAAAAAGGGTGAACTTGAAGGCAGGTCCTGTGTCCATCTTTTCAGATTCTGTATCCCAGCACTTGGGACATAGACAAACACGAAGATGACAATCAATATTTGCCAAAATGAAAAAACAAACATGTAACATCATGTAAAAGAAGCTGGTTAGCTGGAGAAATTTCTTTACCATAGTCTTGCTTGTGGATCCAGTAGTGACTTTTACATTTTATATCTAAATAGAAGCTGGAGGCTTTGTTGGGTACTCATAGGCATAAAATATTATGTTATTTATTATAGAGTTAAATGCTACAAAGACAAATCTAATTAATAGGCCTATTTTCCTTTTTAAGTTCTACTCATAATTTCTTCATAGTTTTTATGATAAAAGGTTGGATTTTGATTAGAACTCCCATGCTTTTGTGTCAGAATTAAAACTGGTATTAGAATAAATAATTCAAAAGCTAGAGAAAGAGTACAATGAGAAGCCATGAGTTGCATTTGAATTATAATATTATGTCTTACAGATTTGGGGTATATGCTAAAGTTACCAAAGTTGTAGAAAATAAGGCCGGGCATTGTGGCTCACATCTGTAATTCCAGCACTTTGGGAGGCCGAGGTAGACGGATCTTTTGAGGTCAGGAGTTCGAGACCAGCCTGGCCAACATGGTGAAACTCCGTCTGTACTAATAGTACAAAAATTAGCCAGGTGTGATGGTGTGCACCTGTAGTCCTTGCTACTCAGAAAGCTGAGGCAGGAGAATCGCTTGTACCCAGGAGGCAGAGGTTGCAGTGAGCAGAGATTGTGCCACTGCACTCCAGCCTGGGTGACAGAGTGCTATGAGTCACCACACCTGGTATGAGCCACCGTGCCTGGCCCACAATGACTTTTACACATGTTGTTAAATCATCTTACAGATTTTATAATTTGGGGGAAGAACAGTTTTACTAAATGGTCTTTTAATGGAAACTCTACAAGAACCAGAATCTTTGCTTTGTTCACTTATGTATCCATTCCTAGGCCTAGAAAAATGTCTGACACATAGCGGCAATTATTCATTGAATAAATGGACCCAGCGATAGTACATTAGCTATGCTATATGCATACATTAAAGATGTAGATTATTGACTTTCAAAAGATAATTAATGTAACTTCTTACTGCTGAATATGTTTGTGAGTTATATTGCTGAGGGACCTTTATCTTCTCATTCTTTCATCTTAACCCAGTGTTATAAAATTGAAATCACCAATATTATTCCATATCTAAAATTAATATCTACCTTGTAAAAAATATCACTCTGCTGCATTTGACAATAGACTTTTTAGGTAATAATGATGCAATCCATAGGGTTTTTTGGGGGCACAGAGGGATTCATGCTAACAGAACATTTTATTTTCTATTTTCCCAGAGCTGTAAAACATGAAATTGGGGTAGTATAAGGCATATTTTTACTCTTTTTATAATTTTTTCTAAAAAAAATTAGTGTTTGTTCCCTATATAACTTTTAACTTTATAGGTAAATATTTGTCTCTTTCAGCTCCAGTTTTATGTGAAATAGAGTTTTCAGATTTATGTAGCATGGAAAGTTTTAATATGTCAGAGTTACTGATTTTTGCCATTTTCTCAATTATTTCTTTTTTATCTTTAGTTGATTTTTTTGTAGTGACACATTTTGTTTCTAGTCTCATTTCCTTTTGTTTATATTCTATGTATATTTCGTTTTTGGTTACTATGAGAATTACATATAACATCCTAGAGTTATAACATTTTAATTTGAATTTATTTCAACTTAAGTTCAATCACATACCAGAATTCTACTGCTATACATATAGCTCTACTCTTTTTATGTTATTGATGTAACAAATTATATCTTTATTCATTGTATACCAGCTAACAGATTTACAATTACATTTTATGCATTTGCCTTTTAAATTATGTAGAAAATAAAAAGCAGAGTTAGAAACCAAAATTACAATAGGACTGTTTTTATGTTTGTTTATGTATTTACCTTTACAGAGAGCTTTGTATATTCATACAGCTTGCTTATTTACTTATATAGTTATTGCCTAGAGTTCATTTATTTCAACCTGAAGGACTTAACACTTCTTGAATGGCAAATTCAGGGATAAATGGATTTTTTTTCAGTTTTAAAAAAAATCCGGAAATGTCTTAATTTCTCCCTCATTTTTGAAGGATAAGTTTTCCAGCTATAGATTTCTCAATTGACAGGTTTCTTCATTATTTTAAATATATAATCCACTGCCTACTGGCCTTCAAGGTTTCTGCCGAGAAATCAGCTGCTAATGTTTTCTGGATCCCTATCTGTGAGAGTTGCTCTTCTCTCTGAGTTTTCAACATTCTCCCATTATCTTTTGTTTGTTTTTGAGACAAATAATTGTACATATTCATGGGATACAGAGTGATATTTTGATACATGTATACAATGTCCAATGATCAAATAAGGATAATTAGCATATCCATCACCTCAAATATTTGTCATTTATTTGTATTGTGAACAGTCAGCATTCTTTCTTCTAGTTTTTAAATTTATAAACATTTAAATTTTATTACAGAAATTTAAATTTTTTGATTCTGAAAAAGTCATATATGTATGCAACATCGTTTTATCATTTATTTATATATTTATGCATCTTTCCTTTTAGTTTTGACAGATATTTTCTATTTTATCATTATTTCAAAAGAACTCTTACCTGTATTTATTTATCAATTATATTTCCCTTGTTTTTTCCTAGTATATTAATTTATTTACTTATCTTCTAAAAATCCTCCATATAATCTGTTTATTTTGTTTCCTTTCTATAATTTCTTCAATGATTAGTTCTGTTCTGTTTTCCATTAAAATATTTAAATCTCGTATGAATTTTTGTCAGATTAGAAATTTAGGGCATTTCTTAATTTCTCTATATTCTAGCTTTTGACTTTTTTTTTTCTGACCTAAGAGGTATTTAGAGCACATTTTAGATTTTTTATTTTGACTAATCATTTAAAATGTATACTAATCTTCAATTTAAATAAAAAACTGGTCTATAGTGACAAAAATTACAAATGAGCCTAACTAATAAATTATCAGCTGTGTTTATATGTATAGGCATGCACAGATTTTGGTAAATATGTACATAGTATATTGGTGAGCTTATTTTTGTCGTTCTTAACTCATTGTGTAGTCTAAACGTTGGGGAAAAAATAAAATACAATAATCAGATGGTGTGAGTAAGAAAATTGTTCTGATGTTTGTAAACCAAGCAACGGTTTTAACTGCTCCCCTCTTCCCGATTGACTTCTAAAAGGGATTGATCCATATTGGGTCCTGTCGTATATGTCACGGTGCAACTGTTTTAACTGCTCCCCTCTTCCCGATTGACTTCTAAAAGGGATTAATCCATATTGGGTCCTATCATATATGTCACGGTATAACATCTCCAGCTATAAAATGGAAATTTGAGAATAACTTTGCTGCTACTCAGATACATTTTATTTCAAAAACATACACTAAGGTGTTGCTGTTGGATCTTTCCAAAAACATATTCACACAGAACTTTCAATCACACTGAGCCATATTTGAACAATCTTTCAAGGTCAGCTCTGGCATAAGCATAAGCTAACATTATACCATTTAACTCAGAAATTTCTTTAGTATTTGATTAATGGGTTTATGTTTGATATGTAATGTAATTTTCTAATGCTAAATCAAGTGGTAATTTTGTTAGTCAAGTTGATTTAGTGGCTTGGGAAGAAAGCTTTTAATGTTCCCCTAATTTTTCTTACCTTTGACATGATCCTTCACATGTCTTATTTGCTTAGTGATTTTTCTTTTTTTTTTTTTTTTTTTGAGACAGGGTCTTACTCTACCACCCAGGCTTGAGTGCAGTGGTGCGATCACAGCTCATTGCAGCCTTGACCTCCCAGACTCAAGCTATTCTTCCACCTCAGCCTCCCAAGTAGCTGGTACTACAGGCACATGCCACCAAACTTGGCTAATTTTTGTATTTTTTGTAGAGACAGAGTTTTGCCAAATTCTCAGGCTGGTCTGGAATTTCTGGGCTCAAGTAATCCTGCCTTGGCCTCCCAACATGCTGATATTACAGACATAAGCCACAGTACCCGGCCAGTTTTCTTTTTTAAAAAATCTATTGGTTATTAATTTGAAGCCTTCCTTTTCATAGCTGTGCTCCTTAATTGGGAGCAAACATGAATGGACCACAACTTAGCCAATTTTCTATATACGATCTTTGCCATCCTAATTTAAAGGAATATTAATTCTTTCTTTTCCTCTTTCATTCCACAAACCTGTATTGACTACATCTAAGTTCTAAATGGTGCACTGGATGTTGAAAAAGTTGATGATGAGCAAGAACAAAATTCCTGCTTTCAGGAGACTTACAGTTCAATATGGGAAATATAATTTGTTAAAATATAAAAGTGCAATTGTGTTACATGCTGTACGAAGTACATGTTGACATGTGAGTATATAATAAATGGGCTGGAGGCCAGAGGATTGCCAAAGAGAATGGGCCTCCTGCTGAGATGAAAAGTTGAGCAGGGATTAGTTGGCGAAAGTGGAGGGACGACTCTTTCTAGGCAGGAGGAAGAACATGTACAGAGTCTCTGAGGTGTGATGCGACAAAGTCTATATAAAAAACTGAAGAAAGGTCTAATGTGGCTTAAATACAGAAGCTAGTAGGAGAGGAGTTGAAAGGAGGCTGGAGAAGTAGAAAGTGTCTGCATTCTGCAGGAACTTATATTGTATAAAAAGAATTTCTCTTTATTCTAAGTGCAATGTGAAGCCAATGAAGTGCCTTAAACAGGTGATGTGATTTGATTGAATTTATTACTTCACTTAACAAATATTCATTACATGCCCACTGTTTGTCAGATATTGCTGTAGCCCCTGGTGATACAGTAGGGAATAAAACAGGCAAAAATCCCTGTCCTCTTGCAGCTTATAATGGACTGCAATGTTTAATATGTCAGAGGAGGTCCACGGAGGAGTGACTTCTAAGCAAGAATCTGAAAAAAATGAGGCTATCTAAGGAGGGAACAAATGGTTCAAAAGCCCTATAATTGCAAGCAGGCATGATGAAGCAATTGCAGTTGTCCTGACTCTCAACACCGTGGAACTCAAAGGAGATGGAAAGATTCTTTCTCTCCCTCATATATTTTCTCTCTTTCTGTCTATATATATAGAATATGAGACATTTCCCTAATCATTATGTGTAATTACAATTACATATATATATGTATGTAATATATAAACATATATATGTAATTGTAATTACACATAATGATTAGGGAAATGTCTCATATTCTTCTACTCAGAAATAAGCAATATAGCAATTACTGTTTTTTACATTTTACAGTTACAGTTTCAGAGAAAGTTTGATATTTATCTAAAATTTTTCAATGTATGAACTTTTTCATTTGGCAAACCATAATTGTACATATTCTTGGGATACAGAGTGATATTTCTTTACATGTATAGAATGTGTAGTGATCAAATCAGGGTAATTTCCACTAATTTAAAATGCCACCTTTATGTTATTGTAATTTATATATATACTATATATATATACACACACACATATATATATACATGTCCACATACAGTGTGTGTGTGCACATGTACACACATGCATATGTGTATGTAATGCCCAGTATAAGCAATGTGCACAAATAAAATTAGCTAACAGAGATAGTATAGAGTGAGAGGAGAGGCAGATTAATCTTTGAGGAAAAGCACAATTTTATGGCTGAATGGAGAAAGCTGAGGTGGTTTCTAAGATGGAGAATAAGACAAAAAATGTAAGTACGTTGTTTGACTGAATTCAAGAAAGAAGGGTAAAAGAGAAGAAAGTAGTGGTCTTATCATTAAATGCCACAGAGAGGTAAAGATAAAAACAACATATTGTTTTGGGTTTAGTAATTTAAGGGTTACCAAATTCCGTTTTGGAGGAGGAACAGATTCCATGTCCACTAGAATGGAATGAACGAGAAATGGAGGAGGAAAATAGGTAGTTTTTCAAAAGTTTTCAAAAATATGAAAAGAAGAAATGAAATGGTACTTGGAAGAGATTGTTGAAATGGGAGAGACTATGGTGGCTTGTTTAGAAGCAGTTGAGATAGATCCAATTGAGATAGAGATATTGACTATATAAACAAAAGAATGACAAATTAATAGTGTAATGGATAACTTGACTTTGGCAAATATTGTGAATTTTTGTGAAAGTACAACTAAAAGGCAATGTCACTCCAATAATCACCAGAATAATCAATTTGCTTATTGCTGTCCCTTTAAATATAGTTCTCTGGTATCAACTAACATGTTTTTAACTAATGATGCTTCTTAAAGAAAAGGGAAAAGACCTTTTTCTTTCTTTCAGTCTTCAATGATTCACTGCTTCATCTCGCTCCACCAAAGATAAATGAAATCTACATCTCTTATACATTAACAATGCATGACAATTTATAAATAGCTAAATTTTTGGAGCTAACTTTAAGTACCTGAATGGAATTTAATCAACCCACTAATCTTCTCACTTCTCAGTTATTTATCAAGTTTATGTCAAGGGACAAGGAAAAGTTATCCAAATATTGTTTAAAACAATCATCATTAATTAGTAACACTTATCCAGGGGGGTTTTTAACCTTTCCCCCACTCAAGGATTATTCTAACGTCAGAGTAGAATAAAAAATAAGTGCAGCGATGCTGACTCTTCCAAGCTTAACATTTCTCACAAGTCAATTAGCTTTGTACTGGGAGGAGGGCGTGAAGGGCTGCTTGCGGTAGTTGTGTAGCAGCAGCACAATGGCCGCAGACAAGGAAAACAGTTTCTAGGAATTCCTCGTATATAATTTTATATTTTTGACAAGATTAATGACCCATGCTCCCTTCCTCTCCATTTCTTTTTTTGGAATTCTGTTGGTATGTAGTTACTATATTTTATTAAAGGAAATTAGCCTTATCTCTTATTATATTTTATTAAAGAAAATTATTATATTATTCCTTTATATTCTTATTAAAGGATTTTATTATTATTATTATTAAAGGAAATTAGCCTTATCTCTTATTATATTTTTTATGACCTTCAAAGTAGTGTCTCTGCTTAAAAGTGTACCCTGGCCGGGCGTGGTGGCTCACACCTGTAATTCCAGCACTTTGGGAGGCCGAGGCGGGTGGATCACGAGGTCAGGAGATCGAGACCATCCTGGCTAACACGGTGAAACCCCGTCTGTACTAAAAATACAAAAAATTAGCAGGGCATAGTGGCGGGCGCCTGTAGTCCCAGCTACTCAGGAGGCTCAGGCAGGAGAATGGCGTGAACCCGGGAGACGGAGCTTGCGGTGAGCTGAGATCGCACCGCTGCACTCCAGCCTGGGCGACAGAGCAGGACCCCGTCTCAAAAAAAAAAAAAAAAAGTGTACCCTGAAGCACACATCAAGCGACATGTAGAGTTCATAAATTCTGGCCAAATGGTCATACCTCAAACCTCATCAGCACTAAGGCTCTTTACTTGCACTGACAAATATGAACGCTGGGGAATTTGGAAATGATATATAATATATAATATTATATATATAATAGATATATAATATATAATATATATAATATATATATAATAGATATATGTAATAGATATACAATATATATTATATATAATAGATATATATTATATATAATAGATATATAATATTATATATAATAGATATATAATATATAACTTTCCATGTGATTTTCCTCTTAATTTTTTTCTAGCTGATCCATATGAATTCCTCTTATTAAGAAAAATAAAGCATCCAGGATTCAATGAAGAACTGACTATCACCTTGTTAATCATTCAGAAACATGTTGCAGACTTAAGCCATTTTTGATATAGATACTGAAACAATTACTTGCTAAGAGCAAACTTGAAGGTATGGATAAGGCCCTGAGTCATCTTCCTGAGCTGAATGATAGTTAAGCTGAATGTACGTATAAAATACGATTTTCTAACCACTTACTCACCAACAAGGAAAACTTTTAAGTAGAGCAGAACCTGAATAGACAAGACATTTCTTTCTTTTGGTAGAAAATGATTTACCATCACTGTCTAGTTAATTGTAGACTAGGTAATTTTAACTTTGTGATTTATTGCCGGAGACATTTTCTTCTGTACTGTAAAGTGTGTGTCAAAAAAAAATAGCGATTTTGGAGGATTAGGGGAGTTTGATAAATTGCCTGCAATTCTGGCAGTATGAACTGCATATTAATTTCTCTCTTTCAAGAACATTTTTATTTATTAATTCCTTACAAAAACTCCCTAAACTTTGGAACAGCTCTCAATTGCCTGTATTCTTTTTTTTCTTATTATGGTACTCTTCTAGAGATTTGGCTTGCATCTATGAATTAAGCCAGGACATCTTCAGAAATTGTCTGATTAAAAACACCACCAATGGAGTTTCATTTAATTTGTATTGCTCTGACTAGTGAAACACACACATCTATGTTGCTGAGGATATTTTACTGCAGTTTGAGTTGTAATAATAGCTCTGTTTAAGATCCGTCAGTCACTTGAATCTTCTCTAAGGCTTTGTATGTTAGAAGTTAATTTGCTTTCTTACAAGGCCACATTCTATCTTGTAACTAAACAACTGAATTTTATGTCTTAGCGTAGATGGTTTATTACTTTCTGGTTTTTCTTTAGTAAGAATCCTATAAAAACACTAGTATTTTTCTCTGAGTTTAAAATTCAACACATGCCTACTGATATGGTTAGGCTTTGTATCCCCACCTGAATCTCATCTTGAATTGTAATCCCCATAGCCCTCATAATCCCCACAGGTCAAGGGAGAGACCAGGTGGAGGTAATTGAATCATGGGGGCAGTTTCCCCTGTGCTGTTCTTGTGATAGTGAGTTCTCACGAGATTTGATGGTTTTATAAGGGATTCTTTCCCCTTTGCTCGGCACTTCTTCATGCTGCCTTGCGAAGAAGCTGGCTTGCTTCCTCTTTGTCTTCCGCCATGATTGTAGATTTCCTGAGGCCTTCCAAGCTGTGCTGAACTGTGAGCCAATTAAACTTCTTTCCTTTATAAATTACCCAGTCTTGGGCAGTTCTTTATAGCAGTATGAAAACAGACAAATACACCTACTATGTAAAACTTAAAATACAACAAAACAAAACAATATCTCACTAACATAGGAGCTAATATTTTGGTGTACTTTGTTTAGTATTTTATATTAAAAATATGTACATATATATTTATATATAATTAAGAACATGTATGTACAATCGTGCATACATCATGTACATACATCTACTTAAGAAAATAGCTATGTAATATACCATTACTCAACTAGATTATAATTTTTTCTCCATTTTTTATTGTAATTTATCATTTTCTACTTTTTTGTTTTCTCATTTATTGCATAATATTTAATTATGCAAAAAATACATTAAATACATTGAAAATATATAGTGTAGCTATAAGAATAAAGAACGATGGTAAAACAAATGCTAATACCCACTACCTGACTTAAAGAATATGATACTATTTTTTTCCAATTGAAATCCCCTCAACTACTCAGAATTACTGCTATCCCTTTTATCCTTTCATTAATTTTCTTCTAGTTTTCTCACATGTGAATCTATTTCTAAATACATTTCTTTATTTTGCAAGTTTTTGGACTTCATATAAATGTAACCATATTGTATATATTCTTCTTCAGCTTCTTACTTTTTCACTAAACAATATGTTTTGCTGATACTTACATTCATATGTACAGTAATAGTTGATTTATTTTAATGGCTATATATTATTCCATTGTTAGAATACACCAGGATTTATTTTTACTTATTTTTTTTGCTGGAAAATTGGGTGTCTTTTTTATTTTTTGATATAACAAACAATGTTGTAATCATTTTGTATTTACTTCCTAGTCCACTCCTGTAAGTTTCTCTTGAGTACATACTAGCAATGAAGATGCTGAGTCACTGCATATACATACTCACAAGTTTATTCTATAATGTAATATTCTATAAAGTAGCTGTATCAGTTTATACTTTAACCAGTAATGGACAAGATTTTATGTTACTTCCCATCTTTGTTAATTATTACTTTTAGACTCTAACTTTTATCAGGCTCATGGATGTAAAAAGTATCTCAGGGTGGTTTTAATTTGCATTTATCTGCTCATCTATGAAGATGAGCTTCTTTTCATATAATTATGAGTCATTATTTTTGTTTTGCCTTCTTTTGTTTATGCATTTTGCTTGTTCTATGTCTTATTTTTCCTGTTGATTTTTGGGAGTTCATATATATTCTAAATGTATATTTATTCACTCATATATATGTTGCAAATATTACAGTTTATGATTTGTCACCTTATGATATCATCCAAATAGAGAAGCTTTATATTTTGATGTAGTCATATGTTCATTTTTCCTCCTTAATGTTTGTTTTTCTTGGTTCTATGACCTACCAAATGTAACAAAAATTCTCATTTATTTTTAATCTAAATGTTTTAAGTATTTTCCTGGAATTCACCTTGAATTGATTTCTATTGGAGATAGATATCCAATCTAATTTGCCTCATATGGATAACCACTTGTTCTATTACTGCTGTAACAAATTTCTACAAACTAAGTGACCTAAAATAACACAAACTTGTCATCTTACACTGTACACAAGTCAGAAATCAGGCATGAATTTTAGTGAACTAAAATCAAGTTGTCGACAGGCATGTTTCTTTATGGCGGCTAGGGTAGAATCCATATCCTGGCCTTTTCTATCTTCTAGAGAACATCAGCATTCCTTTTCTCATTGCCTCTCCTCTCTCTTTTTAAAGCTGGCAATGTCACATTTCTCTGACCATTCTTTCATTGTCACATCTCTCTCTGGACTCAGCTAAGAAAGGTTCTCCATTTTTAAGAACTCATGTGATTAGACTGGGCCCATCTGGATAACCCAGGAAGTTCTCTCCATCTCGGTTTGCATCCTTAATCACATCTGATAAGCCTTTATTGCATTCAGTGTAACATATTCACAGGTTCCAGGGTTAGGCATGGGCATCTTTGAGGGCCATTATTCTCCCTACCACATTATTTGCCTAGCATCTTTCATTACATTGTCCATCTATTTACTTACTGATTTCTAATGACATCCAAATCAGTTACAACATTTTATGTAAGCATTGTTTTTATTTTTATGTTATTCCACTAGTCTGTTTTTCTACTCATGAATTATGGTACATGAGTTTATTTTTGCAACTTTAAGCTCAATAACATGTTTTAAGATTTCCTCAACTTTCTTTTTCCACTTCTTCAGAAGTTGACTCTTTTGGCCCTTTGGTCTTCTATACACATTTTAGAAATGCTTTGTTGAGGACTAAGAGGAATGCTAAGATTTTGATAGGAATTTCATTGAATTTTGAGTATATTGGCATGCTACAATGGTTAGTGTTTTATACATGAAAATAATATATCCCTTCCTCTTTTCCTAGTATCATGAGATGTTTGTTAGGCAGACATGAATATTGAGTTGTATCAAATGTGTTTTTCTGCATTATTGTGGTGGTGATGTGATTTAGCTCCTTTAATTAGTTAATGTAATGAATTACATTTGTAGATTGCTCTAACTATTGAAACAAGCTTGAATTTCTGGAATAAGCCCAATGTGATATTTATTCAACAAATATTCATTGAGTATACCTAGTATGTAACATGCTTTAAGAATACACCAGTGAACCAAACAAATATCTGACATTACAGAACTTAACATTCCAGTATTTGGAGACAGACAATAAAAAAGTGAACATGTATATTTACAGTTTGTCAAGGAATGATAAATGAAGACTCTTAAAGTAGATGGGGAATTGGGAGTGAAGTCTGTAATTTAAATAGGGTGGGCAGGAAAGCTTCACAGAGAGTGGGACATTTAAGAATAGACTTGAAGGACAGGCAAGAGCAATCTCTATGTTTATATGGGAGAAAAGGTTCCAGGCAGATGCAGTAACAATGGCAAATATCCTGAAGTAGGATCATGCTGGAGTTTTTGTGGAGCAGCAAGGAGGCTAGTGTGACTGCCACAGAATCACCCAAGGGAAGATGAGAAGATCAGACCAGACCAGCACTTGGGCATCTAATGGGAAAAGTTTCTCAAGCCATCATAAAAATTTCACTTTTACTATAAATACTACGAGAAACCATGGGATGTTTTACAGTAAGAAAGGTGGCATAATATGTTACATGTTTTAAACAAACTCTATAGCTTCTGAGTTGAAATAGATTGTAGGGGCTCATGGCAGAAGCAGAGGGAACATTTAGGAGACTACTGTAAAGAATATCATGAAAAGAACAAACAACGCTATGTAACATGCTTAAATGGACTGAAGAAGATGTATAAAATCAAAATGATGTTACCTTCACACCTTGAATCAGTACGATAAACCCCCCTCCCCAGTCACAAAAGAAAAACTAAACACAAAAACCAGGCTTTGGTTGCTCAGACAATTTTACAGGTGAGTTCTAGCAAACATGCAAAGAACGTTTAATTGCACTGTTACAGAAATTCTTCTGGAGACAAGAAAATACGACACATCACCCAACCAATTTCATAATAACAGTGTCAATGTATAATAACAGAAAAAGTGGATCTCCGAAGAAATAAATTTATTTGGAAATAAACAAGTTTTATAATCTGAGATATTTGTGCTATGATCAATCATAGGTGCATCCCAAGAGGTTGAGGTAAGGAAAATATGTAAAGACAAAAAGAAGTCTATGCAAGCTGTTTTGAAACAAACATCACTGGTCACAGGGCCTGATGCAGGAGCTGGTGTTAACTTACTGGCAGAAACAGCCATTGCTAGGCAAGTGTTCTTGTGAGGGTGGCTTATCTGAAATGCTGCAGTCTTGAGGAATTTTTTATGATAGGTCCTATTATAGAGACACCTACAGGATGAGCTGGACAAACAAGAGTGTGCTGGGTGGGCAGAAATTTCTTGTGAGTTTATAGAAAGTCCTTGTGATAGTGCTTATCGTGGACACACACACAAGATCCCCTTTTTCATGACCCGGCTCCACTTTGCTTTGGGTCTGATGTAAGTGACTTTGCCTTGTCATTGGCAACTTTCACTGTAGTATAATCTGCACATTAAAGTTACCTAACAATAGTACAAAGAAAGAAAATTAAAGGTATATCTCTTTCAAAAATATAAACCCCAAAATTGTTAGGAAATTGTAGTGAGTATAAAAGATAATTCATTATAATAGACATCTCAAGCTTCACAGAATTCTGACCTTTGCTACACTCTCATCCACAATCTTTTCTCCTAGTAAATGGCAGCTCCTTCTGTTAAGTTGCTGAGGCTTCTTATTGCTTTTTTCTTCGAATAACAGTCAGAACTGAACAACTGTAATCATCCTAGTCCATACAATTGTTATATTTTCATTTAAAGAAGATCAATGTGTGATTCTTTTTTATATATTTCTGGACAATTCTTTATATTTTAATAGTAGTCAGAATTTGATCAGGAAAACAGAGGACATCCTATGTATTATAATGATAAAAGTTTAATATTAATTAGGGCCTTATGCTATTATTGGAAGAGCTTGGTGAATAGATATTAGAAAAGCAGCTAGACAAAATCAGAAGAGGTCTGTTTTATATCAGAGATCTTAGCCTGACAGTCTAGAGTGTGGGCACAGAACCCAAGCTTATAGGAATTTCTGAAAGGTCTGTAAATCTTATCCAGATGGACAGTGGGAGCTCATAAAGAATTCTGCAAGCCATCACATCTGTCAAACCTGCTATGTCTAATCCTTAAGCCTGCTTTATGTGAAGACCTCCTCTTCACTCCTCACTTCCAGCTCTCATGAGTTTCTTTCATAGGCAAACCCAAACCTGGAACAATGTGCCTGAAGACTTCGGGTGAGACAGTACCCAGACTTAAATAGGAGGGGAGCCATGGTGGAAGTGGCCATCCAGCACAATTTTCTTGGTCTTTACTCATAGTTTTGATTCCTTAAAAAAATTAACCACATTAAAATATGTGTTTCATAATCTACATCTAATAATACAAATATTTAAAGTCTTTTCAAGTTTGAATACGCTACCCATGTTGCTGCTACCCCCATTTTGTGTGTGTGATTTTTGTGTGTGTGTGTTAGAAGCTCATGACCTTTGAAACCTGCTCTTATGAGCTTGCTTTGATGATTTATTTGTCCAGAGAGGATTTTTTTTCCTACCTAGCATTTTGGACTGCTATCAACCTGAGACCACTTTGAATTAAATTCTCAGCTTGCAAATTTGGAAGCCACACAGATTGTGTGAGTTCAGGCTGAAACCTGTTTGAGAGCTGGATTCTGGCTATAAACTCCACAGGGAACATTTTCTCTCTCCACTCAGAGCTGAGACCATAGGGAAATTTATTTGCTAGCTCTCTTTGAAGGTTTATTTTATTTATTTTTTTAATTTCTAGTACACGTGCTCACTGAAGGTGTAATACTTATGTGAGAATCTCAGAATCAGTTGTGTTCTTTGTATGACCCTGGTTTTGTTTCCTCCTGCTCTCTTACTTTCAGTGTGTCTCAGTATGTCTGCTCAATATGTCATCTTAAATTTCAACTGAGGGTGGATCTTCTTCCCAGCTCACTCACATGGTTCTTAGCTAGATTCAGTTTCTCTCCATTTGTAGGACTGAGGACCTCAGTTCTTCACTTAGGGTTGGCTACAGGTAATCATCAATTTCTTGTAACAGGACTTACACTGGGCCACTGACAGCATGCCAGTTGGCTTCATTCAAATGAGAGGGCAGGAGAAAGAGAGAGAGGGAGAGGGCACAAGATGAAATTCACAGTATCTTATAATCTGATCTCAGAAGTGGCATCTCATTACTTTTGTTCTATTCTATTCAATAGAAACAAGTACCTGGGACCAGCTTACACTATAGGAAAGAGATTATATAAGGGTATAAATACCAAGAGGTAGAGATCATCAAGAGCCATTCTGGTAGCAGCCACAATATCTTATCCAGAATATTTCTTATTCAGGCCTTCAAATGTGCTGTCTTTTCTGGTCTAATGGAAATGAACCTTCCTTCCATACAATTTTTTCTCCTAAATTGTACTCTGGCTCTCTTATCACATACAAACGTCTATGTTAGGTATTTGTGTCTGTCTTGATTCTCGGTAGGCTTTTAAACTCCGTGAATGTTGGACTGTGATGTAGACATCATTTCACCGCACACTCTGTAACCACCAAACCTTAGCAGCTTATTCAGTAAGCACATACTTGGCTCTTAATGAGTATTGCTTAAATTGATGAATTGAATTAGTATTTTACCTTCTCTGTTGCTTAGCTAAGCAGAAGAATTTGTCATTTTTTTAATTTAGTGACTGGTTCTATTAAAAGTTACCTTTGTCTATATCATTTTGTTATACTAAAGCACAAATGTATAAGGTCAAAAAACATTCTCAAGATTTTGTTTAAACCACAGCCCTCAGTTGTGTATATTTATCTCTTGTTTTCATATGCAGGATTTCTCCTGAAATGGGCAACAATTACAAGAGTTTTTTTCCTCTTCTGAACTAAGAAAATAAATATTTAATTCACAAGTTTAGAAAAGTGAACCTGAAAAATCACAGGGCTAGGTGGGTTATGAGGCCCACTGGTACATGATAGTGTTGAATGTGGATTAGAATGAACTCCGTGGATTAGAATCTCAGACCATAGGCAAACATTTACTTGTTTTAGAATAAGCACATTTGAGTCTGCAATAAGTATTACTATTTTTAAGTTGAAAATGTAATTGGTTTCTAATAATAACCATATTGGCTAGCATTATTTCAATCGTGTTTAATGTTTTCCAATGTCATTTCATGTCAGATATCTCTCTTGATTCTTAGTAACAATTTGGACAAGACAGCAAATGCTATTGTCGAAGTTTTCTAAAGAAGAATCTGAAGTGAAATGACATCAAGAGACCTATCAAGACCTGTATCCAGGAAAAGGTAAATCTGAGCTGAAATTGTAGCCTTTGTAAATTACCTACGTGACATACCAGATAGTGTTCATGATCCATTTAGTACTCTGTTCTAAAAACGAGACAATATCCATTTATTCACTTGTTCATTTATTTAGTGTTTGTTCAGCCCTTACTGCATATTCCAGGCACTATTCTGACTGTGGCAGGAGTGAACAAACAGGCATGGTTCTTACTTGCATGTAATTACAGTCTTATAGTGAAAACAAGTGTTAAACAACAACATCTCCCAATTATTTTAAAATTATAAACTTGATTCGATACTATGTGGCCATATAATTGTTCCTAATTTGGTTGGAGAAGGGAGGCAGTTAGGGAAGCCTTCCCTGAGTTAGTGCCATTTAACCTGATTTATGATAGATGATAAGTAATTTGTCAGGGGAAAAATACTCCAGGAATAAAGAACAGGTACAAAGGTCAGGTTCTGGGAAGAGCTTGTCTTGGTCCAGGAACTAAAAAATGTTAGAGTGGCTGGATCTGGGAAAGAAACAAAGAGTTATTAAATGAGGCAGCAGGCTTCAGCAGGTGCCACATTGCTCAGGGCCTTGTAGGCCATGCTAAGGATTTGGGATGTTAATGTCAGTACAAACAATTGAGTCATAAGCAGAAAGTAAAAGCATGATTCCATCAAATGTTATTCTCTAAACAGTAATTTTATAAATACAGGTTAAATGTGTGTGGTCCCAGCTACTCAGGAGGTCCCAGCTACTCAGTATTCCTTTTCAACAAATATTAGGTGCCTACTATTAGCCAGGTACAGCCCTTAGCTACTTTGAATGAAGCATATATTACAAACTGGCAGAATTTCTTAAACAAAGAATCTAAAGTTGTTTATACACCATAATCTCGGTATTTTATAAATTTCTTGAAATTATTTTTATTTACACTGCTTTGCAGAATTTTAACTGGCTTTGAAATAAACAATGACAATAGTCCTCCATGTTACTAGTTTCAAATTTTCCCAATACCTACTAAGACATTACTTAATCCACAGATTTACTGTCAATAGTTTGTATCAAATTGTGATAACATATTTGAAGTTAATATTTCAAATTAAAGCAAAATCACAAATTTATACTTTATATTATGAATGAGATTCACAAAAGGAGCATGATAATATATTCTGTTGTCATCGCATACAAAATAATAACATATAGAGTATGAATCAATAATTTTTCAAATACAAAGCTATTACAATTAGGAATACAAAGAAATCATAATTAGGAATACTTCTACAATATTAACACACAATAGTGGTAACACTTGCAAAATGATGGTGGTGTTTTTTGTTTTTTGTTTTTTTTCCCCGACAGAGTCTTGCTCTTGTTGCCCAGGCTGGAGTGCAATGGCGTGATTTTGGCTCACTGTAAACTCCACCTCCTGGGTTCAAGTGATTCTCCTGCCTCAGCCTCCCTAGTAGCTGGTATTACAGGTGCCTGCCACCACACCCAGCTAATTTTTGTATTCTTAGTAGAGATGGGGGTTTCACCATGTTGGCCAGCCTGGTCCCGAACTCCTGACCTTAGGTGATCCACCAGCATCGGCCTCCCAAAGTGCTGGGATTACAGGTGTGAGCCACTGCGTCCAGCCAGTGGTGGGTCTCATATCTCAATGTGGACTTTTACTAACTCCCGATGCCTCAGTTTCCTCATCAGTTGAAAGGAATGAATGAAAGATTTGTGTTTTTCATATTACCAGGTAGATGATAAGGAGATTTTAATTTTCTTTTTTTTTTTAACTTTTATTTTAAGTTTAGGGGCATTTGTTACATAGGTAAACTGGTGTCACAGGGGGTTATTGTACAGATTATTTCATCACCCAGGTATTAAACCTAGTACCCAATAGTTATCTTTTCTGTTTCTCTTCCTTTTCTCACCCTCCACCCTCAAGTAGACCCCAGTGTCTGTTTTATTCTTTGTGTTCATGAGTTCTCATCATTTAGCTCCCACTTATAACTGAGAGTATGCTGTATTTGGTTTTCTGTTCCTGCATTAGTTTGCTAAGGATAATAGAAGGTCCATCCATATTCCAGCAAAAGACATGATATCATTTTTTAATGGCGGCATAGTATTCCATGGTGTATATGTACCACATTTTCTTTATCCAATCTGTCATTGATGGGCACTTAGGTTGATCCCATACTTTTGCTATTGTGAACAGTGCTGCAATGAACATTTGTATGCATGTGTCTTTATGGCAGAATGGTTTATATTCATCTGGGTATATACCCAGTAGTGGGATTACTGGGTCGAATGGTAGCTCTGCTTTTAGCTCTTTGAGGAATCACTATTCTTTGCACAATGATTGAACTGATTTGCACACCCACCAACAGTGTATAAGCATTCCCTTTTCTCCATAGCCTCACTAGCATCTGTTATTTTTTGACTTTTTAATGATAGCTATTCTGACTGGTGTGAGGTGGTATCTCATTATGGTTTTGATTTGCATTTCTCTAATGATCAGTGATGTTGAACTTTTTTTTTGTATGTTTGTTGGCTGCATGCATGTATTCTTTTGAAAAGTGTTCATTCCCTTTGCCCAATTTTAATGGGGTTGTTTTTCTTTTGTAAATTTCTTTACATTCGAAATGTTTTTATTATTAAGTTGAGCTGCCTCATTCTTAGTATGGTTTTTCACTTTAAAAAGCATAAAGGTGGACATGGTGGCATATGCTAGTAATCCCAACTACTGGGGAGAGTAATACAGGAGGGTTGCTTGAGCCCAGGAGTTCAAGGCTATAATGTGCTATGATCATGACTGTGAACAACCACTGTACTGCAGCCTGGGCAGAGTGACATAGTGAAACCATATCTCTAAAAAAAGAGAAAATGTAATTTAAATCTTTAAATACATATGTATATGTGTGTATATATGTATATATATTGCATATATCAAAAATGGTTTGTAGTTTCCATTCACAGCACATAGTAAAATGTCTTAACCTCCTCCCTCCTCCCTATGTGTGTTTTTCTAAGTGTGTGTCTTTCTTACCTTAATTTTTCTCTTAGTGTCTCATAGTCTTCTTAGGTCTCCCTCTTTCTTCTGTCTTTCACACACACACACACACACACACACACACGCATGCATACACACATGTACCTTGAAAAATAGCTTTTCTTTTTCTTAAAACTTCCCAAAGCTTTCATAAAATTAGCCCTCAGGCACTCTTACGTATCTCATCCACTCTTCTTCCTCTCTCCCCTTCCTGAAGCCATTTGTAACTTACTCTATTACACTAGGAAGGGGAAGCAAATATTCATATTATTTTCTTGTTATATCCTTAGCATTACTAGACCTTTGTGGTTTCTATGGATGAGGGACATAATATTTATTAATTTATTCTAAACTTCAGTCACTCATAATATACCCTTTTATTCCTCCTTCTTCTGTGATATTGGGAGTGTATAGTTGTCATTGTGACAAACCCTTTGCTGTCAGTATCTATAGTGGATGGGGAGAAAAGGAGGGCTTTGCCAATCATCGTCTCCAGTGCATTTCCCACTGTCAGCGTCATTGTCTAATGCTGTTTGCATCCACACAGCCTAAGGGAACCGTTTAAGTGAGTGACTCCCTCCCTTCACTTCAGCCCATCACTTGAGCATTTCTCTCCCTTGAAAAAAGACAAGTGGTGCTTCTAAGACTTGAGTAATTCTGAATATAATTGAGGACTAGATGTTCCTGTTTTATATCCTACAGGGCTGGCATCTCTAATGCTGAAACTACAACAAAGTGCAGTGGTAGTCACTGAGTGTTCAGCCATGCTGGGTCATCAAAATAAAAGGAGATCGTCTTCCCATTCCTATCAATGGCCTCATCTCTACCAGATATATAACTGGAAAAACAATGCATTTGCTTAGACATCCACAGTGAGCCACACTTGTTCGGTGTTGTGGGAAAATGATGCAGAAGCATCCTTGTTTATTAAGGATCCAATTTTGATAGGCTGAGGCATATTTTTCCTCCCAAGTCTGCACATGGTCATGCATTAAATATTAATGAGCATCTTCTCTCTATCAGGCTTTGGGGGATATGTTCACCTCTTGGGAGGTGAACATGATACATAAGATCCTTTCTCTCATGTAGCATTCTCTCCATTCTTTTTTTTTTTTTTTTTTTTTTTTCATAGGGACTAGCTCTGTCACCTAGGCTAGAGTGCAGTGGTGCAAACATGACTCACTGCAGCCTTGACCTCATGGACTCAAGTGATCCTCAAGTGATCCTCTTGCCTCCACAACATCCAGCTAACTTTTAAAAAATTTTTTGAAGAGAAGGTTTTGCCATGTTGCCTCAGCCTCCTGAAGTGGTGGGATTACAGGTGTGAGCCGCTGCACCTGGCCACGTTTTCTTTCCATTCTTATGGAAGGCAGTAGTCAGCAAAACAGTTAATCAATTGAGAATATATTAGGTTGTTATAGGAACCATGAAAAAATAAAATAGAGTGTGTAAAGAAGGCTTGATGGCCAGGAAGCTTTTACAGGGAAGTGACATTTGAGCTGAGACCAAATACTTAAAGAAGCCAGTTCTTTGAAGAGTTGATGGGAAAGTATTCCAAGAAGTGGGAATGGCAAGGGGAAAGGACTTAAGGTGTAACCTCAGAATGATTAAGGAGGAGCATGGTACAAGAGGATGTCAGAAACATAGCCAGGAAAGAGAGCTATGCTTAAGTATTAGGATTTTATTCTTTGCAAAGGAAAAAGCCCATTGAAACTTTAAAGCAAGGACCTAAGAGTTAACATAATTTTTTTAAGGTACCTTAAAAATTTTGCTGAATGAAGAATTCATTGAAGTGAGTCAGGAATGTATGATTTTGGACAACTGACACAATGCCTGAGGCATAGTTTCTTCATATGGAAATTGGAGACAATGATCATATCTACCTTAGCAGATTATATAATGAATTATTTTCCTAGGGCTCCTGTAATAAAGTACCACAAACTGGGTAACTTAAGCAACAGAGATTTATTGCCTCACAATTCTAGAGGTGAGAAGTCCAGATCAAGAAGCTGGCAGGGCTAGGCTGCCTGAAAAGGTGCTAAGGAAGGAACTGTTCCAGTCCTCTTTCTCTCCTTCCAGTAGTTCCTTGGCTTGTGACAGCACAGTGTCAATTCTCATATGGCATCCTCCCCGTGTGCCTCTCACTATGTCCAAATCTCCCTTTTATTTAAGGACAGAGTCACAGTGGATTAGAACACCCCCATAACATGAAGATTGCATGAAATTATATACATAAATAATTCAACAACATAGCTTCCAAATAGAAAACACTCAGCCTTTGTCATCTCATCATTATTTGTTTACACCTTTGTATTATTGGTATAGCTCTAGTCTTTTGAAAGGTGCAGTTACTCATCTTTGTGTTTTCCACTCCTTTATAGCTAAGTATAAGGTGCTTTTGCAAAATCCAGTACTGCATATTTGAGAAATGCTTTTTATTCCTACACATACTGCATATACTGTTACACAATTCGATTTTGTAGGTCTAATGAAGTTGGTCTTTCTATGAGTTCCTATGGCTAAAAATAGTCACAATTGTGTACTCCAGTAAATTGTTAGAATGAAGGAAAATAGTTTGAGTGAAATTATCAATCTGGTTTTTCTGACTTCAGCTGTGTGTCATGTTTGGTTAGTCAAGAGAAACATCTAATGTGAGGCCCCTGGAGGACAGCTGATAAGTAAGCATACCAAGTAGAATGGCTACTGGGAAAAGTGTGCCAGCTAGAGAGAGAGAAAAGAGAGAGTTAATTTACCATTTGCTCAAGTAAGGAATGATCCACAAATTCAACAAAATCTAAGTAGTCTTAAAGGACATGTCATTGACAGATTTATCTTCTAGTCTCCCACTTTGTCTAACACTGCTTCAAAACAAAGCACTTTACTGAACCCAGTGGTCTCATTACTCTGGAGGTTTATAAGGTTAAAAATACCTGGAGTTTTGGGAGCAGCAATAGCACTGAAGTGGGATATTAGTAGTGATGCGTGTGTTTACAGCACCTGTGAACACACAGAGACTGAAGCTTGAAGGCTGATGACCCT
The DNA here is from genome assembly GCF_000001405.40 of Homo sapiens. NCBI lineage: Eukaryota > Metazoa > Chordata > Mammalia > Primates > Hominidae > Homo > Homo sapiens. Next base: position 242,144,954 of record NC_000002.12, read on the forward strand.
GAATTAGGGGAAAAGATAAAACTTTTTATTAGATTTTTTTAATGTCGAGAAGAAAATTATTTATCTCCACATTTCTTGAATATTATCCTCTTACAATTACGTCGATGATTCTCACCCCAGTTATATATTAAAATTACCTGGAGATATATAAAAACTATCAATGTTCTACTCTTCTACAGATTAAATCATCATCACTGAGGGTGGCCCTCCAGCAACCAGGTTTGAGAACCACTTTAGACCAGAATTTTTCTCTGTGCCATTCAGTAATGGCAATGATAACTGTAGGATACGCAAATTGCAGAAAGACAACGGCAAATGATTTAACTTATCCCCAAACAGCTGAACTATCTTAAGCCTCATGGCTACTTTAGAGTGACCAAATCCATGTAGCCGCCAGAAGTTGTATCATGCACCTATTTCAAGGGACACATAGAATTTACCTATATATACCTACCTCAAGGGTCATGTCGGTTTACCATTCCCCTAAACAACATCTTAATAGTATAAACTGCTGAACTGCTGTCTGCCTAATATTTATTGAGGCTATACTTCTTCTTTTCTGTATTAAAGGCCACTGCTTTTCCCAGCTTGCTCTTTGTTCTCCATCATCTGTTGTGGGTCACTTGTGCTTTCTGTTTTTAACACCCGTGTTGCTGAAGTCATTTCTCCAATTCATGATCCATGAAACTACTTCAGCAGTGAAAATGGCACCCCTCAGGTTCAAGTCAACATTTTTATATGTCCCTCTAGGTCAAGATCCAAGCTATGGAAGAAATCAGGATATGTCAATTTTCTAGAGCAGCCAAGTTTTCTGAAAGTCTACCTAGCCATGTAGTTATGTAGCCTCACTCTCACTTAAACAAAGAAAATTAAAAAGCACACCAGAAAAGACTTTTCTTGTTAAAAACACATGTTTATTGTAGAAAATATAGTAAGGAAAAAGAAGAAAATATAAGGCAACTAGAATTTCTCTAGTTAGAGATAACTATTATTTATTTGAGTGTGTGTATATATCTATATATATATATATATATTGACATTCAGCTCTTATGTACTAGATACACACATCTACTGTTTCATAAGCTTTTTTCACAGAATAGATTATAATCAGTTATGTTTGTTATCACCACAACATTTTCTTCTTGAAGACCTTCTGGAATGAGGCATTTGCTTTTCTATCTAGAGACCCTATCCTTTCAAAAGGTCCTTTATCTGTGGAAAGAGCTATTCTGGCCACAGTTACTGCCAAGAAACAAGGTGTTAGAAAAGGCCTAAAGTTAAGTGCAGAACTGCTGTGTTTTGATGAATATTCTGTTGTTTTGAGAGGAGGTAGAAGCATTCTCAGCTTCAGGATATTTGCTCACTACTCATTAGTCTTTCTGAGAAGTAGCAAACTTCAAAGGTTAAATATGAAGAGATGAATTGTGTAATGCCTAGATGTCAGTAGCGGAGAAGGTATCTGAGCAAATTCAGAATTTTATCCCTGTCTCCATGGGCCTAGTGTGAAGAACAGTCATTTGTGTAAGTGGGTCTTTGTGTATATGGTAGTGAATCAGGTCACTGAGTCAGAAACTTAGAGCTGTAAGGAAAGTGAGGTGCTCTCCAGTCCAGTGTTCTGGAATTTCTTCTGCAGTGGCCCCCAACAGCAGGTGGCAGCCTCGTCCATGATTGTATTCTTAAATGACATGGTATTACTCTTTCTATTTGCAATCCATTTCACTGATGGATAGTTCTAGAGATCTGAAATATTGAGATTTAGCTCAGTGTTGTTTATATGAAGATAAATTCCGCTTTCCAACAACTCTCTTGTATGTGTCTAACGTCTGCTGCATGGAATGTCACAGATTATGCTTCATACTTGTCTTCCTGAGTCTTCTTTATCCCGAACACCCTGAGTTTTCGAATGGTTGACATGCCAGCTGGCTTTCTGCAGATGTACTTCTCGTGTGTAAATTTCCTTCTCTGTGAGGTATTCATATTGAACATGACCTCCAAGTGTGTTTGGGTCTGTGCAGAAGACAATAGGACTGTGATTTCTGATGATTAAAACCTGGATTGTATGTTACTGTGATCAGACCCTGAGACTGCGTTAGCAAGTTTTATAGCATCTGAGTCGCTCTGTTGGAGGAAAGTGCATGTGATGGGCATTTGCTTGCTTCCCCACCAGATTCTCTACCTTCACCCTTCCTGCAAGATTCCCTAGGAAGCTGACTTCTGCTGAATGCGACACTCAGGTTCTCTGCTTCCTAGATTCTAGTTGAGTTTGGTCCATGGGAGGCCTTGGCAGAAATTTTGAGAGTAAGAGCAAATAATTACTTAACCATTAGAAAAAAATATCATGAATGTGTCCTTCTGTCCATGGCCTCAGTTCCTGTTGGGGAGCCTCGGTGCCAATCCCTCGGTGCATCACCATTTCTAATTAGTTCCTGTTTTACTCTGCTTTTGCGTGTGTGTGTGTGTGTGTCTGTGTGTGTGTGTGTTGTTATAAAGGAATACCAGAGGCTGAATAATTTTAAAGAAGAGAGGTTTATTTGGTTCACAGTTCTGAAGGTGTGCAAGAAGCATGGTGCCACCATTTGCTTCTGGTGAGGGCTTTAGGCTGTTTCCACTCATGGCAGAAGGGGAAGGGAAGCTGGCATGTGCAGAGATCACATGGCGAGAGAGAGGGGTTTGTGCCAGGCTCTTGTTAACAACCAGCTCTTGTGGGAATTAAGAGAGCTAGAACTAGGTGGGCGCAGTGGCTCACACCTGTAATCCCAGCACTTTGGGAGGCCAAGGCAGGTGGATCACCTGAGGTCAGGAGTTTGAGACCAGCCTGGCCAACATGGTGAAACCCCGTCTCTACTAAAAATACCAAAAATTAGCTGGGCATAGTGGTGGGCACCTGTAATCCTAGCTACTCTGGAGGCTGACACAGGAGAATGGGTTGAACCCGTGAGGTGGATGTTGCAGTGAGCCAAGATCGCACCACTACACTCCAACCTGGGCAGCAAGAGTGAAACTACATCTCAAAAAGAAAAAAAAGAGCGAGCAAGAACTCACTTGGATGGCACCAAGACATTCGTGAGAGGTCCACACTCAGGACCAAAACACCTCCCATTAGGCCCCACCTCCAACAATGGGGATCACATTTCAACATGAGTTTGGAGTGGTCAAATATCCAAACCCTAGCAGTTCCCTTAACCCTGGAAAGAGACCCTTCATTAAACTCTTTCTGCTTAATCCTTTGAGAGTGCAACAATTTCCTGCTAGGACCCTGACAGATAGAGGGACCATACAGATCACTAAAATGCTGAGGAATTTTTCAAATGAACTGCACCCAACAGACCTCCCTGATTCTGAATATATCAAACTTTTATTTTTTATTTTATTTTATTTTATTTTTTGAGACGGAATCTCGCTCTGTCGCCCAGGCTGGAGTGCAGTGGTGCAATCTCAGCTCCCTGCAACCTCCACCTCCTGGGTTCAAGCGATTCTCCTGCCTTAGCCTCCCGAGTAGCTGGGACTACAGGCATCCACCAGCAGGCCCGGCTAATTTTTTATTTTTAGTAGAGGTGGGGTTTCACCATGTTGACCGGGCTGGTCTTCAACTCCTGACTTCATGATCCGCCCACCTTGGCTTCCCTAAGTGCTTGGATTACAGGCGTGAGCCGCTGCACCCAGCCAAACTTTAAAAAAAAAACCCAAATAGTACTTTGAAATTCACCCGCAGGGAGTTATTCAAATTGGTTGTCAGCCAGTTATTTCAGGTTGTTGAGATCATCTGGCTCTTGATTTTATTAATCATCTTAGCCTTCCCTTTCAACAATTTGCCGACTTTGTGCAAATTTTATTAATATGTGATCTCTGTCTTTATCCATGGAGAGACAGTATAGTATCATGAGGAAAAATATACTTTGGAGTAGGCAGAAATTAGGTTTGAATTACTAGCCACGAGGCTTTGGGAACATTACTTAAACTCTATAAGCTTCAATTTCTTTATCTATAAGGTAGGTATAAAACCTGAAAGTTTTGGCATGAGTTTAGTAAAACTGTCTGTGAAGCCCTTGTGGACTGCTTGGTCCATGTAGGCATTTGATAAACGGTGGCTTTATATAGAGGAGGGAAATGCAAGCTATCTCAAAAAGAAATCAGGGAAATAAGAATGCCATCTGAAATCTGTCATATGAGAATGAAAGGAGCATAGACAGGTTTTGAGTATGGGGTGAGGAGTAGGGGAGGGGAGGAGATAAGTGAACTGCCCCTCAGACTTCCAGGGAGGAGAAAAATGATGTCACTGGCAACTGCAGTTATTTGGAAAGATAGCAATCAAGCATTTCTTTCAGAGCCCTGTTCATCTTTCAGTGGCTTTGCTTCTCCAGATGCTTTTGCTCCTTCAATTATCTCTGCCTTCTCCCACCTCCTCTCCAACCATCTCTTCCCTTCCTTAATTCACAATTTTTCTCCCTCTTTTCAAGGCATAGTGCTTTGATTTATAAATTAGTTCTATGTTTCTGTTTTCTAATTTATTAGTTTCTGCTTTCTTATTTATTTATTTTGAGATGGAGTGTCACTCTGTTGCCCCAGCTGGAGTGCAGTGGCATGATCTTGGCTCACTGCAACCTCTGCCTCTCAGGTTCAAGAGATTCTCCTGCCTCAGCCTCCCAAGTAGCTCGAATTACAGGAGTGCACAACCAAGCCTGGCTAGTTTTTGTATTTGTAGGAGAGACAAGATTTCACCATGTTGGCCAGGCTGGTCTGGAACTCCTGACCTCAGGTGATCTGCCTGCCTCAGCCTCCCAAAGTGCTGGGATTACAGATGTGAGTCACCATGCCTAGCCTGCTTTCATATTTATTAATACATTAATTCCACTTTCCTAAGGATAGTTGTTGTTCAACCTTTACTAGCTTTTTTGTTGTTCATACTAATACATTTATTTTTATTGTGCTATAGCTATTTCCCACATGTGATTTTTTTTTTTTTTTTTTTTTTGAGATAGGATCTTGCTCTGTTGCTGAGGCTGGAGTGCAGTGATATGATCATGGCTTGCTGAAGCCCTGAACTCCTGAGGTTGGGTGATTCTCCCACCTTAGCCTCCCAAGTAGATGGGATTACAAGAAGTACCACTATACCTGGCTATTTAAAATTTTTTTTGGCGTGTGTGGAGATGGAGTCTCCCTATGTTGTCCAGGCTGGTTGCGAACTCCTGGTCTCAAGTGATCCTGCCACCTTGGCTTCCCAAAATGCTGGGATTACACATGTGTAATATTTTTATTGTCACTATTTTCCACATATTCTGGAAATTTTATTTGGATTTCTTTTTTTTTTTTTTGACAGAGTCTTGCTGTGTCACCTAGGCTGGAGTGCAGTGGTGCAATCTCAGCTCACTGCAACCTCCACCTTCTGGGTTCAAGGAATTCTCCTGCCTCAGCCTCCTAAGTAGCTGGGATTACAGGCATGAGCCACCAGGCCCAGCTAATTTTTGTATTTTTAGTAGAGACAGGGTGTCGCCATGTTGACGAGGCTGGTCTTGAACTGCTGACCTCAAGTGACCTGCCCACCTTGGCCTCCCAAAGTACTGGAATTACAGGCATGAGCCACTGTACCCGGCCTGAATTTCTTTTTGACATAGAATTATTTAAGAGAAAGCTTTTAAATTTCCATGCTGTAATTTCTAGTTTTGTTGTGTCATAATCAGAGAATATAATCTGTAGCATTTCTACATTCTCTACTTTGCTTAGATGTTTTTAGGGTGGGGTGTGTAATATGTACTGAATTTTGTAAACATTTTATGGACATACAAATTTCAGTGTTTACTTTTTCAGGCTATAGGCTTTGCTACATAATTTTTGTGTATTTTGTGGTCCTCATATAGATTTTTTAATTATCTTTTTGCTGTGATAGAGATTAGAAGGGTAAATTAATGTCTCATTTGCCATCATTTTTCTTTCTGTATCTCTTTTCATTTCCTGATGCTTTGGTTTTATGAAATCTTTATGTATAAAAATTGTGCACACATATCTTTATGCACAGTGTTTTGGATTTTACCCTTCATAATGAGCTTTTTTCTCTCCTTTGAATTTGACCTGGCCTGGTGTTAACAGCCCAGGTGTAAAATTCCAGTGAGAAAGAAGTCTGATGAAGAGTCAGTAGGATCTTTGTGTTGCTGAGAACTGCTCAGTAACACGGACAGCTCCCTGAACTCCAGGAAACATCCTGATTTAGTGTTTTGAGTATTGTGAAGCACAGTTAGAGCAGAAACATGGAGAATCACCTTAAATGGCAAATTGGCTTCTGGTCTTGCATAAGACTTCATTGAGGCCTAATGGGCTATGCAGGTCTACTGTCCAAAGTACAGAGGTTATTCCTAGTGTCTTTAATATTACTGTCCCTTTAGGCAAGATTATCCTTATGATAAGGGAGAGTGAATTAAGCTATTTTGGCTGAGGCATATTTTTATAAATTCATCCAATTAGCTTCCCTTGTTGTAGTTTTGGCTCACCAAACATTGTTCTCATTATAATTTAGCATCCCATATAATTTCATCTGCAGGGAGAGTCTGTACTAGGCATGGCGATGCTTACATGTCAGCCTGTGTGACTGCAAGAGTCTCAGTACAATTTGATAACATGGCACTCAGATTCTAGACATTATTCTCTGTGTGCTTAGAGAGTGTGATGACATAACCTTCAGAAAGATTCATCCTTTCTCACATATTGATAAATCAACTTTTACATCTACAAAGTTGAGAGCCAGAAATTAAAACCTTATTAATTCACTAAGGCATCCCTATGACGGCAGTCTTCCAACTAGCTCCATTCTGGGGCACTCTGACATCATTATACACTTTCCAATGAAAGCAGGGAGTGTATGTGATTAAAGGGAGAGCCCTGTGGCACTCCTGAAAAATCTCCCCTCCCAGTTCACATTGACTTATTAACCAACACTCAGGATCATGTGAAACTCTAGAACTGGATCTGGGTGCCTGGCAGGATGACATGGTGTGAGGCTCAAGCAGCACTGTGGGAATTCAAGCATCTGTTTATTTCTGAGAGAAAAAGTGTAAAGCAAAATAATATCTTTTAACAAACGTTTGTATTTGACTAAAGAGGAAGCAAGCACTTAATGTATGAATTTGCTAATTGCTCTTCTGAGCTGAGAATATCTGTGTTGGATATTAGTCATTATCCATATTTGGCACAGAATAATCCCGAGGGTTAAATGACATTGTTCCTACAGTGGGCACCTGAAGACTGGCTATAAAAGCAATCCTGGCCAGGGGCGGTGGCTCACGCCTGTAATCCCAGCACTTTGGGAGGCCAACGTGGGTGGATCATGAGGTCAGGAGTTTGAGACCAGCCTGGCCAACATAGTGAAACCTCATCTCTACTAAAAATACAAAAAAATTAGCTAGGCACGGTGGCAGACACCTGTAATCCCAGCTACTTGGGCGGCTGAGGCAGGAGAATCACTTGAACCTGGGAGGCAGAAGTTGCAGTGAGTCGAGATTGCACCAATGCACTCCAGCCCAGGTGACAGTGTGAGACTCTGTCCAAAAAAAAAAAAAAAAAAGAAAGAAAGAAAAGAAAAAAAAAGAAGAAAAAAAGAGAAAGAAAAAAAAGGAAAAATAAATAAATAAATAAATAAAAGCAACTCTAACACTACTGAGGCTATTGACAGTGGCACTTTGCTCTTCTGTTAGAACCTTGGGAAAATTTTTTCCCCCTGAATACAGTATAATAAACTTGGTTCTTATTTCTCTTTCTCTCCCCCTCCTTTTTTCTTCCCTCCCCACTACCACATGCACACACACAAATAGACAGATTTGTTTATATTTGACTTTCTAAAAACCTGTTACTAGAAAGGCACATTAATACATTTCTCCTGTGCTGATAGTAATCAGGCAACTCTGGTTTCTATTGGAGGCAATTTCTTACGTATTAAATGCCAGAAAAAGGGCATCTTTCCGTTTTTGTAGAGAGCCTTTCTTTATGAAGACTAATGACCACATTAGTTAGTCAGTCAGTCAATAATACTTACCAAATGTCAGTAGAGCCGAAGTGAACACCAACAGAAAATCACATTTTACAAATGCAATTTACTTGGTATCCTAACATGCCATGTCATAATAATTATTGAGGTTTTTCTTCTCTGCTGCATTGGTCTAATGAAAGTGGCTAGAAAAATATGGGTGCCCATGTAGCCTCCTGGAAGCACCTGTATGACTTTTCTAGAAGCGAGGTTCCTGGATAAAGATGAATTTTTAAAAGCTGGAATGAATGAGCAGCAATAGCAGAAGGAGAAAAGTGAGTGAGGGCTCTCCAAGAAGCCATCTGGCAGGCTAAGGGTTCTGAGGGAAGCTCTGGTTTCAGAAGCAACTCAGGAATTACTTCTGTCATATTAGGATGGGATGGTAGGAGATTGGGAACTCTAGGGACTAGAAGTCATTTAATTTCCTGTCTACAATCCTTAGAAGAGGTTTTGAGACTTGCAACCTAGGACCTTAACTAGTCATCTTCCCTCATCATTGATAGAATTCTTTATTATACATGTTAATATCAGATTAGTCAGGATGGGCTGGATTATGCTGTGTTAACAGCCATTCTCTAAATCTCTGTGGCTCAACAGGGAGCTCTGCCTGTCATGGTCACTTGGGACCCAGGCTTTGGGTATAAGGCTACAGCACATGGAAAATGTATGAATGTCTCTCAGATTGTTAAAGCTTCAGCTGGAAGTGACATGTCATTCTGCTCACAGTTCATTGGCTAAATGAGTCACATGGCTCTCTCTAACTTCAAGGATGGTATGAAATTGCAATCCTACCATGTCTCTAGAAGGAGAACCAGCCCTAATCACAATGCTACATGTTTATAGCTTGCCTCATAGAGTTTACTGTATTCTCCTGGTATAATTTTCTTACATGCTCAACTGGAGAGGAAGCTCTTAAATAGAAAAAAAATCACAGTACATTTCCTTTAAAAGATCTATTTTACAACTCTGGCATGATGGAGCACAATGGAGTCCTTAGTAATGGACTCCATCTCTTCCATCAGATAAAATCTTGAGAACTGAAGTTAAAATCTGAATAATGAAACCAAAGGAAAAACAAATTAAATGAATTTTAAGACACTTGAGATAAGAACAACTGTGGCATCAGCATAATTCAATTTAATAATGTATTAATTATTTTGCAGAAAAGTGAAAACAAATTGATAGCCAAATCAATGCAGCATTAAGCCACCATTTGGTCTAATTTCTTGCTGAATTGACAAAACAAAACACTAGTTTAGTTATATAAACATGGCTGATGTTTATACAAACAACAGAATTTGCCGGTAGCATTATCACTGGAAAATAAGATGTGTACTTAATTCTTGTATGTTCTGAGCCCATCTAGGAAGAACATAAAAGATGAAGAACAAAGCAATCACAGGATGTTATCATGAAAATATCACCTTTGGCTGGAGTAAAGTTTTGGCTAAATGTGGCACTAGTATTTATTACAGCTCACCTTTTTATAATGAAGGGCTATGGACTGAACATTCTTATTATTTCCCATTTTCTTACCACTCTATCCCAACACACATGCACATGCATGCACACACGCACACACACTGGCACCCACACCCATGCATGTGGGACACACAGAGCAGCCTAGGCAATTTCAATTGTTGGCAGCTTTGCTTTTATTAGGTATTAGTCTACCGACTTGCTTTCTCTTTAGAGAGACTAAGTGAAACCAAACTCATTTCCACCCAGTTAGCCTGCTGGAACCTGTAACAGTTACTGTAATGTTAAAAGCAGTAAAACAAAATAAAAGCCAGTCAGTTCACTTACTCCCGAAGTCCGCAGTTTGGTGTTCAGCTTTAAAACATATGCTCTGGGTGTCCTGTGGTGGCTACCAGAGGCTTTGGTGAGTCATTGTCAACCCAGTGGCTAGAGAAGTGCTGGAATGCCCCTCTTAAATACAGAGCCAGTTTGTCCTTCAGAATGGCTGCTTGAACGAATTTATTGCTCAACTCAAAAGGCCGTTTTTTATAACCCACTGCAGTTGTGCTTCATGTGTTTCTCCACCTATCCTGTAAAGTGTATTGTGAAATTAATTTTGTAGATTTCCTCACACTGCAGTGACTAGGGAAATCACCCATTCGTTATTATCTAATGAGGAGAAAGTGGAAACATCTAGAAGCACTGCTCCCATCCTCCTCCCCAGCCCACACAGACACCTACCTCAGGCCCTCCCTGTCCCAGGTGAGCAGAGGGCCCCACCTTTGGAGGTTGCCTCCCTTCCACCTTCACCAATCCTATGACCAGATTATCCCCAAGGAAATGTCAATCTCCAGGCAGCAAGGGAATCATATAAAGATAAGATCATTGAGAGATTTTTTTCCTCCATGATTGGCAGTTTATATTTTCTTGGGTCTACAAATCTGACAGTATTTATTAAATTTTCTAGTTTGATACTGACCTCTGTCTGATGCTGGGCTGTCACCATGCCCAAGACTGAGGGGACCCACAGTCTAGCTAGAAGGCATGGATCAATTCCAACTGCCCTACCCCTAGCCTGTGGGCAGGAGAAAGCTCTCAGGCTCTGGCAGAGGAGTCCCAGGGGCAGGATGCATGATCTTCCACTGTGCCTCCCAGCCATGCTGAGCAGCAAAGCAGACCATGAGCACGTCTCCCTTAAATTCATTTGCTTGATTTGTCCTTGAGTGTCCTTGGATGGGTTTGTTCCCTCCTTGTGCAGTATGTCTTGGTCATCCTGATTCCTGGGCTTGGCTCCCAGGTTGATTCTTTCCCTGACACAAAACAGGCACTATGGGCAAAGACACCTGCAGCCTTGGAGAGACCAGTGATGCTGGATGTTTCCTGTTAGCACTCAGGAAAGCTCAGAGCCTTTGATGAGCATCTTTTGATCCATTAGTTAAAACCACGCTGGGTTCTTTATAGTGGTTAGTTAGCTCTGGGCTATGGGATTGTGGAAGACATTTATTTCTTCTTTGGATTCACCTGGATTTTCTGCAACGGACATGTATCGATAAAATACACGGTGCTTTTAAGAAATTGCCCCATCATCATGTTGCTGTTGTTGTTATTGATATTGTTGTTTCTGATGGATAGAGATCTAGGCCTGACACTCCAAGCAGTGTGAACAGCATTTACCTTGATAAGCATTCTTACATCTTAACTCTCGGGAATTTTAAATAGAAGTGTTCCGTGTGATTAAATTAACAGGTTTAGAGATGAGTGTCCTGGTTATTTCCTTTGTTCTCCTCCTGGTAGCTGCCTGCACTCACAGCATGTTGGGAATGGTGATTATAAATGTAACCATGCTCTCTTCTTGTAAGTGGAGAGCCCAGGTACCTCTTATCCAGCATGTGACCCTCTTTCTACCTCAGGATAGTCATACTCTTAGGCTTCCTGGATTTATTCAGGGCCAAGGAGTGGTCAAGGTCCTTTTTGTTTTGCCCTATTCCCTTTGGAAAACATTTAGTTTATGCCCATGTTACAGATTGCAAAATACAGGCACATATTCTCACTAATGTGGTCTGCATGTCCCTTTGCAAGGATCATGAGGTCAGGAGATGGAGACCATCCTGGCTAACACAGTGAAACACAGTCTCTACTAAAAAATACAAAAAAAAAAAAAATTAGCCGGGCGTGGTGGTAGGTGCCTGTAGTCTCAGCTACTTGGGAGCCTGAGGCAGGAGAATGGCGTGAACCCAGGAGGCAGAGCTTGCAGTGAGCCTAGATCACACCACTGCACTCCAGCCTGGGCAACAGAGCGAGATTCTGACTCAAAAAAAAAAAAAAAGAAAAGAAAAGAAAAGAAAAGAAAAGGAGCCTCTTTGCCTCTTTACCCTAATCTGGGCAAGCCTTGCAACCTGATTTGCCAAAAAAATATGAAGGAAGCAATGTGATGTGATTTTCCAGGCTAGAATGTAAGAAGCCTTGGAGCTTCTGCTTTTACTGTCTTCAGATGCTGCCTGAAACCACTGTAAGAAGCTCTAACCTACTGGAGGATAAGGGGTGAGCCCAAGAGCATCAAGGCTCCCATCAACAGCCAGTCCTGTGAGTGAGGCCATCTTGGACCTGCCAGCTCAGTAAACCCTTTTGCTGAACACAGCCCAAGGAAGGAACCCTTGCAAAATGAAATCATGTGGTCAGTTTGCGGGGTGGTTATTACACAGCAGTAGATGATTGAAAAGGCCCAGTGTCTTCCTGGGGACTGAAACACCCACCTCCTGTTCATGTTGATACACGGTGAGCAGCATATGGATGTGGGAGTGGTGTTGGTTGCAGGTGAGGTAGAGAAGCAGTGAACAGAGCACGAAGACCTGATGTTCCAGGGTCGGGAGTTTAGACTTGATCCTAAGAGCGGCCATAGGCGGATTTAGGCAAGAGAGTAACATGGTCAGATTTTCATTTTAGAAAGTTACTCTGACATCCATGTGGAAAATGAACTTGAAGGTCACAAGGCTGATGGAGCCAGGAAGACCATTTGGGAGGTGATTGTAGTAATCTACTTAAGAGTTCATTACGAGCTGGGGAATGGGGAGGTGTTAGAGAAGAGAAAATGGATTTGAAAAGCTGAGGGATGTTAAAAAGGCAAAACTGGGCCAGGGATGGCGGCTCACGCCTGTAATCCCAGCACTTTGGGAGGCCAAGGTGGGCAGATCATGAGGTCAAGAGATTGAGATCATCTGGGCCAATATGGTGAAATCCCCTCTCTACTAAAAATACAAAAATTATCTGGATGTAGTGGCACACACCTATAATCCCAGCTACTTGGGAAGCTGAGGCAGGAGAATCGCTTGAACCCAGGCAGCGGAGGTTGCAGTGAGCTGAGATTGCACCACCACACACCAGCCTGGTGACAGAGCAAGACTCCGTCTAAAAAAAAAAACAACAACAACAACAAAAAAACGGAAAATTGTTGGGACTTGTAATTAATTGGGTGAGGAAACTGAGTGGCACATGGTCTCAGCTCTACACATGGAGAGCCCTGGGGACATAGGGAGAGCACATTTGGAAGGAAAGATGATGATTTTAGTTCTTAAAATTTTGTTTGTGGAGGAGGCATTCAGACAGAGAATTCTTTTGGGCAGTTTTGTGTAGAGAACTACATCTAAGGAGGTCAGAAGTGAACTTCAATAAAATTGAGGTGACCAATGATCATCAGTTTTAAAGAGGACTTATTTTCTTTTTTCTGTTAAAGGGAACACACCTATGAGTCAGAAAGCCAGACTTTTATTTTTTCTCGCCAAAGGTTATTGTACAACCTACAGAAGAGAGTGTAAACACTGGTCTTTAAGATGAATTGTAAAGCTCTAAAGAGAATAAGAAAAATTGTGTTTCATGATTTATGATGGATAACATTTTAGAGTTGATTTCATAAGAGAATTCATTAAGCCAATAGACAACCATGGCATTTTAACTGTAGTGTTTAAGTATCTTTAGCTCTGATTTTTTAATTAGCAGAAGCAAATAAAGAGAGCTTCGTTTTAACCATGAGAAATCTCTCTTCTGTATTTCATGTGACTAAATTTGTCCAGATGCTGAAGTTCAAATAATCACAGTGATTGCCAATATAATGGTTAATTTCCTGAGAAGTAAGTTCATGCTTTGCCACAGTTTGCTCCCCTGTAAGATCAGACAGAAAAATAAGAATAAAACCGACTAATAGCTATTGATTGCCTCTGGAACAGCTATCAATATAAAGAGCCAGACAAAACACATAATAAAGAATTGTGTTAGTGCCAGAGAGACTTTAGAGATCATTTGCCCATCTCTTTACCTTCTCCCACTTCTTTCTGTCCCTCCACCCCACCAGCTCTGGTACAGACACACAGGATATTAGTAAAGGATAGTATTTGTTGAGAGCCTTTTGCGTGTCAGGCACTGCTTCTAAACGTTGTATAATACCAGCTCATTCAATCTTCAAATCAATGCTATACAGTAGGTACTCTTCTTCTTTTTTTTTTTTTTTTAAATTTTACAGCTGAGGGACTGAGGTATGGAGAGGTTAGGTAACTTGTTCAAGGACACCAAGCCAGTCAGGCTGCCACTGGACCTAAGACAAGGTAACCTGGCTCTGAGACCAACCCCACAGAGAAGTATGTGGATGCTGACAACACTGTAGGAAGTTACAAGGAGCAAAAGAATAGCAGCCTCAGCCCTGAATTCCACTGTAAGCTTCCCTCTAATCTTCCCTGCCTCACTCTCAATCAAATAAAGAGCTGATCAGGAAGCAACTATGCACGGTCTCCACAGTCTCTTATCTTAACCCAGACTCTCCTTTCTATTGATAGCAGGTCTGTAGATAATAATTCTTTCAACCAATTGACAATCAGAAAATCTTTGAATCTATCTATGACCTGTAAGCCCCATTACTTTGAATTTTCCTCCTTCCAGACCAAACCAATGCAGACCAAACCAATGCAGAACTCCTATGTGCTGATGGTGGTCTTACATTTCCCTAAGTTTCTGCCGACTAAACTGTGCACACGTTCTCAGGACCTCCTGAAGCTGCGTCACAGGCACTAATCAAAGAACACAACCAAGGTGAGTCTCAATCATTTCAAGAAATCTATTTGCAAGGTTAAGGACACACCTGAGAAAAGAACAGAGAACCACAGGAAAAACTGTGGTCCGTGCTTTTCCCAAAGGTTGTCTGGGGACCTCAGTAAGTAAAGGGGAAAAGTGCGGGTATTGGGGAAAGGGGAAGAAGTGGAAAAAATGGGTGTGGGTAAATCAGAGGCAAATGGTTGCATTCTTCTGTCTTTGGTCAGCGTTCACTGAATACACATTTTGCATGCGATGGAGGTAGAGGCAGGGATGTAGCTTTTTTGTCTTTGTGTAATAGCTATCTTATTTAGGAACCAGATGGGAAGCAGGTTTGCATAAACCAGTTCCCAGCTTGGCTTTTCCCTTTGGCTTAGTGAGTCTGGGGTCCCAGGATTTATTTTCCGTTCTCACAGGTTGTGGTCCTCACATTTGGCTCAAAATATTCAAATTTTTTCCAGAGTTTGGCCTTTTCTTCAGCACTGGGAATTGTGATCCAAAGCTTTTCCTGATGAAGCACAAAGTTGGAGAAAAAAAAGCAAACTAAACAACAACAATGAAACAGAACAGAGTTAATCTGCTGTAGCTCAAGAGAGGATGTACCTGCCCCCACCCCGCATCCCTGGGCTCGGGTTTGCCTTGCTGACCTCTGCTGCCACCTGGTGCCACACAGAGAAACTGAGGAGAAACCACATCAGTCTCCTTCAGCCTCAGCTTCACATCTGTGGGTCAAGTAACCC
The DNA here is from genome assembly GCF_000001405.40 of Homo sapiens. NCBI lineage: Eukaryota > Metazoa > Chordata > Mammalia > Primates > Hominidae > Homo > Homo sapiens. Next base: position 242,160,239 of record NC_000002.12, read on the forward strand.
TTTCAGAAGCTGAATAATGTGGGAAAGCTTTCCTCTCAGGAAAATGCACACATCCAACTTTGAGAAGATGCCCTTGGGGGTGCTTCAAGGATCCTAGATAAAGAACCCCCTTTCCCGAACATCCAAGAACCTAAGTTTTTTTTTTTTTTTTTGAGAAAGTCTCGCTCTCTCTCCCAGTCTGGAGTGCAGTGGCGTGATCTTGGCTCACTGCAAGCTCCACCTCCCAGGTTCACGCCATTCTCCTGCCTCAGCCTCCCGAGTAGCTGGGGCTACAGGCACCTGCCACCAAACCCGGCTAATTTTTTTGTATTTTTAGTAGAGACGGGGTTTCACCGTGTTAGCCAGGATCGTCTTGATCTCCTGACCTTGTGATCCACCCGCCTCGGCCTCCCAAATTGCTGGGATTACAGATGTGAGCCACCGCACCTGGTCCAAGAACCCAAGTTTTAGATCTAGAGTGATGTCAGCATGACATTGATTTCCTGAGGCCCAGGGTCGAAGGAGCTGAGGACAGCAGAGGGGTGAAGGAACTCAGCTACAGACAGCAGCAGCTGATGCACAGGGCTCCCAGCGCCTGAAGTCACCCGGAATTGGGAAGTGCTCAGAAGCTTACAAAGCTGCCTCGAGGTGGGAACATGACATAAATCCAAGAGCAGATCCCTGATCCTATAAAAATGTACTAGATGCAGTGGGGGCATTTTAAATGAGCAGAGAAGGACAGACAGATAAACAGAAGGACAAACAGTATTGGGATTGGGATAAATGCTCAGCTTTTGCCCAAATCTTAGTGACTTAAGCATCACTTATTTGCTCACGATTCTGTGGCTGGACCATTTGGTTTGGCTCACAGGGCAGGGACTGTGCTGGTCTTACCTGAGCAGACCTGCATGTCTGCGGTCAACTGGGTTGGCAGAGACAGAGTGACTGTCTTCCTCCAGGAAGCAGCAGGTTAACTGGTTGGCAGAGACAGAGGGACAGAGGGACTGTCTTCCTCCAGGAAGCAGCAGGTTAACTGGTTGGCAGAGACAGAGGGACAGAGGGGCTGTCTTCCTCCAGGAAGCAGCAGGTTAACTGGTTGGCAGAGACAGAGGGACTGAGGGACTGTCTTCCTCCAGGAAGCAGCAGGTTAACTGGTTGGCAGAGACAGAGGGACAGAGGGACTGTCTTCCTCCAGGAAGCAGCAGGTTAACTGGTTGGCAGAGACAGAGGGACTGAGGGACTGTCTTCCTCCAGGAAGCAGCAGGTTAACTGGTTGGCAGAGACAGAGGGACAGAGGGACTGTCTTCCTCCAGGAAGCAGCAGGTTAACTGGTTGGCAGAGACAGAGGGACTGAGGGACTGTCTTCCTCCAGGAAGCAGCAGGTTAACTGGTTGGCAGAGACAGAGGGACTGAGGGACTGTCTCCCCCCAGGAAGCAGCAGGTTGGCTCTGTTTCCTTCGTGGGGCAGCTGGTCTCCAGGGCAGCAAGAGAGACCAAGCCCCAGTGCACATTCTACAGCCTCTGTGCACATCAGACTTGTTAATATCCCATTGGCCAGTGTAAGTCACATGGCCAAGCCCAGATTAAGGAGTGGAAAGATGGAGGCTATCTCCTCCTGGGAGAGGAGGCCAAGGAGGTGGGAGTATTATGTGGCCACTTATGTTTGCAATCTACCATACTTAGCACTTTGAGAAAAGAATTAACTGAGAAACTTGCTTCAAATAGGGCATTCAGTAAAATGAAGCCCCAATTGAAGTAAAATGCATATATAAAAAATGAAACTGTGACCGATTTTAAGGACAGTATTGGCAAATATTTCTGTGCTCTTGGAGGAGAAGACCCTTATTGGCATGACATGTCAGAAACCACAATGAAAGAATTATTTTAACTTGCATTCATAAAAATTAAAATTATTCATTAAAAACATCGTGAATGAAATTAAAAGTCAAAATGTAAGCCAGAAAATTATTTACAATGTATGTGTCAGGAAAAGACAATACCCTTCAAACTTTGAGAGTTTACATCAGAAAGAAAACAGCAAATGACATGATCCAAACTTGATAAAGGACATGAAAAAGAGCCAGCACTTAGTATGTTTTCTGAATGAATAAGTAGCCAACAGCACATGAAAATGCGTGTAATCCATTTGTAAGCAGAGAAATGCAAACTAAAACAGTAAAGTGTCATTTTCATTTCCTGGATTGGCAAAGGGTTTTATGTATTTTACTGATAGTGCTCAATATTAGCAGTAAACAACAAATGGTGAGTAAATATGAGCTTCGGAACCTCAGGGAAATGATCTCCTTATTTCAACCTGTAGATTCCTTCCTACAACCAGTGTCTACAGAGCACCTACTATGTGCCAGGCACAGCCTAAGTCCTGAAGGTGTAGTCTCCACTGAGAAGGTGATATTTGCACAAAGACCTGAAAGACAGGAGTGAACTGTGTGGATAACTGTGGGTACCCCTACAGGCAGAGGAGTAGCAATGTGGGTCCCAAGGTGGGACCACATCAGACATGTTCGAGGACTAGCTGAGGGAGAGAGGTGGGAGGTCAGAGGAGATGGGGGCCGGCTCTGCTGGCCGTCACGAGCACTCTGGGTGCAGAGGGCGAGAGGTGGGAGGTCAGAGGAGATGGGGGCCGGCTTTGCTGGCCAACACGAGCACTCTGGGTGCTGAGGGCGAGAGGTGGGAGGTCAGAGGAGATGGGGGCTGGCTCTGCTGGCCGTCACGAGCACTCTGGGTGCAGAGGGCGAGAGGTGGGAGGTCAGAGGAGATGGGGGCCGGCTTTGCTGGCCAACACGAGCACTCTGGGTGCTGAGGGCAAGAGGTGGGGAGGAGGTCAGAGGAGATGGGGGCTGGCTCTGCCGGCCAACACGAGCACTCTGGGTTTTCCTCCAAATGCTATGAGAGCAGAGGAGTAACCTGGTCTGACTTGGGTGTGAGCAGATCTCTCTGGTTGTTGTTCTGGAAAAAACTGAGGTGCCCACGTGAAAGCAGAGATCGGTTAGGAGGCTGCTGCAGCAATTCAGGCAAAAATGGGTGGCGGGCCTCGGGTGTAGTGGAGGAGAAGCGATCGGATTTTGGATATTTGTAGCTCCCCCAATACGATTTCCTGGAGAAGGAGATGACTTCAGTCTTCTGGCCTGAGTAGCTGAAAGGATGAAGCTGTCCTTCGTGGAGGTGGGGAATCCACAGAGAAGCGGGTAGGGAGAGAGTATCAGGAGCTCAGTGTTAGCCATGGATGTTCGAGGGGAGGTATTGAGCAGCTGATAGAGACACAGGCCTGTGGTCCCAGGAAAAGGTCTGGGGGTCACTAGCCCATGGATGGAGTCACAGGCTGCATAGACTGCAGGAAAGCGAAGGTGGAGAGAGAAGAGCAGAGTACCAGGATGGACCATTGAGCACCCTGGTGTTGAGAGCAAGTGGCCTCTAGTCAGAGTTGGGTCAGGGCCACTGTGAGTGGGCTGCCCCCAACATGAGTCGGCTGTCTAGGACTAGTTTATCTCTGCTTCTCACTTTACTGGTATTATGGGGCAGCTCCTGCTGTCTTCCAATTTGGTGTTTGTAAAATGAGACATAAAAAGCAGGTGACAAGGATACCAGGAAGTGCACAGGTCTGAGTGGAGTATGGGGCTGTCTCCAGGGGAGAGGTGGCTGTTTGGAGGGAAGGGTGACAATGGATAATCAGGGTCCATGGGCATCCCTGCTTGTTTTGGAGCCATGGACACTCAAATAATGTGATTTTATGAGGCTATTGGAGAAAAAATTGGCCACAGGGCCAAGAGGGCTGGGAGGACCCCAGCTCTCCGACTGGTGTTTGCTTCTCTGCCATCAGGGTCGGGAGGCCATGCCAAGCATTGTGATTTGCAGAGTCCATGAGACAGGAACACTCCCACCACAGTGACCTGCCTCTGCACACAGCCAGAATGTAGCTGACTCCTTTCTTCTCCCACTTGCATGCTTCCAAGCCTTCAAAACATACTCATCTCCATGTTCTGTGAATTAGCAATTTTTAAAAAAATAAAAAAATAAACAAACTCATCTCTGAAGGTCCAGGTGATTTTTATGTTTTACAGAAAGTTTTGTGAAGAGATGACAGAAAGGGTTATATCACATCCACACAGCAATAACTCCTCAAAAGCAACTTTTGGCCGGGTGTGGTGGCTCATGCCTGCAATCCCAGCACTTTCAGGGGCCGAGGCGGGAGGATCGCTTGTGCTTAGGAGTTTGAGACTAGCCTGGGCAACATAGCAAGTCCCTGTCTCTACTTAAAAAAGAAAAAAAAAATGAGCCAGATGTGGTGGCACGCAGCTGTAGTCCCAGCTACATGGAAGACTGAGGTGGTAGGATCACTTGAGCCAGGAGGTTGAGGCTACAGTGAGCCATGATCACACCACTGCACTCCACCCTGGGTGACAGAGTGAGACCCTGTCTCAAACTTTTTTAAAAGGCCAGGCATGGTGGCTCATACCCATAATCCCAGTACTTTGGGAGGCCAAGGTGGGTGGATCACTTGAGCCCAGGAATTTGAGACCAGCCTGGGCAACATGGTGAAACCCCATCTCTACTAAAAGTCAAAAAAATTAGGTAGGTGTGTTGGTATACATTTGTAGTCTTGGCTCCTTGGAAGGCTGATGTGGGAGGATTGCTTAAGCCTAGGAGGTCGAGGCTACAGTGAGCCATGATTGCACCGTTGCATTCCAGCCTGGGCAAGAGTGAAACCCTGTCTCTCTCTGTCTCTGTCTGTCTCTCTCTCTCTCTGTCTCTTTCTCTCTCTCTGTGTCTCTCTCTCTCTCTCTCACACACACACACACACAACTTATAAGCATCTCTTGTTTCTCCTAAAATTACCCTTCTAGCATTAGCTGTCCCATTAAAATTCTAATAGGCTTTTTTGTGGACATCTGCAAATTAATTATAAAATTTATATGGAAATGCAAAGGGCCAAGTAAGGGCCCTTAAAAGGGACAAAAATGGGAGAAATTACTAGATACCATGGCTCACCATAAAAGCTGCCTTGATTAAGACAGTGTGGCAGTGGTCAGCAAACAGTGGTCTGCCCCTGGGCCAACTCTGCCCACCATCTGTTTCTGTATGGCCCATGAAGCAAGAATGATTTTTACATTTTTAAATGGTTGAAAATAATTGATTGGTGGGGACAATGCTGGTGGAGTCTGAAGTTGTCATGCAGTGACTCACTCAAGGTTAGGCAGATTTGGTGATATATGACACAGAGATGCAAAGAAATGCTGTAGCTGACACACACAGGGTGGCTCTGGGAGATGCAGAAGGAGCATGTCACCCAAAATAGAGCCAGATAGACATCTTTAAGGAAGGAGCAAAGGGGCTGCATCTTAAAGAATGAAGAAGGGATTTGTCATGAGAGATGGGGCAGGAAGTTCTTGAGAGGCAGAGGGAGAGCATGAGAATGCTGGGAAGGGAGGAGAGATTCTCACACATCTGGGAAGCTGACAATTCATCAGCATGTCCGGAAGGAAAATAAGGAGGAGGAGCAGAAATAGATGAGGCTGGATATAGAAGCAGGGCTGAAGCTGTGTTGATCGTGGTAAAGAGTTGTGATTCTATCCAGAAGGCAATAGGTAGCATTCTAAACAGAGATCTCTTAAAACAAGAGTCAGCAAATATTTTCTGCAAAGGGCTAAATGTTAAATATTTTAAGTTTTCCAAGCCATATGGTCTCTCTCTTAATGACTCAGGTCTTCCATTATACCATGAAAGTAACCAGAGACGTTTTTTAACACATGTATTGGCTGTGTCCCATTACAACTTTACTTACAAACGCAGACTGTGTCAGACCTGGTCCATGCATGGTAGTTTGCCACACCCTGTTTTAGAAAGCTCAGGTTTATGATGTGATGGAGAATGCCTACAAGAGCTCTTGTTTTAAATGGTAGAGTGAATATACACTGGAATTCTATCCTGCTTGACCCAAGCTCTTGATAGCGAAAGGTAGAAAAGATAGATAGTAAATAGATAGATAGATGATAGGCAGGTAGATAGATAGATGATAGATAAAGAAAATACATAGCTGTTCCAGAAAACAGAAATGGATAATTTCATGAACCAAAAGCAGAGTAATATACTTTAGAAAGGAAGCAGGCTGGAAGACCCACAGTTGCAAAGCAAATAGAATTTCCAACTGCCTCTTGTAGCCCCTTCCTGGAAGTAGTCACAGCCCAGGGTGTTCAACTTCTTCCTCTGTTTTTTGTTTGTTTGTTGTTTGCTTTTCTGTGGGGTTTTTGTTGTTGTTGTTTGCTTTTTAAAAAAAATCCCTTTCCCTGCTTTTTTGTCACAGCAGCCTTTGTCACTTCAAACACCGCAAGTGTTCTTTAAAAAAAATTATATCAACCTTTCAACTAAAATGCAACATGTCTGAAACTTGGTATCTGGAGAGGTGAGAGGGACAAAGGAGCCGTTGTTACTGCACGTTTTCATTCTCCAAACTTCACCTTGCACACAGTAACAGACAATGCACAAAGCTACTTCCTTATGGACGGAAATTCTGAAATCCTTTTATGCCTGGCCTTTCCATCCTTCAACTTCCCCTCTCCCATGCTGTGAGTGATTGTATTGGACATTTTTGTTTTAATCTCAGTGACAGGGGAACACAGATAGCTCTAATATAGCTGTGACCCAGATGCTTCTGTTTCTAGCATGTATTAATTTTGCAGCAAACATTACATCCATAATTTTTCACTGTCCTTTGAAAATAATTAGGCAATATCTCATCTGAGGTAGGATGTTTCTAGGGGTTGTGTTCTGAGTGAGAAAAACTAATCTGTTCTCTTTCCACTGCATTCTAGGAACAGTAAGAGGACCTTGTGCATGAATAATTTGTTTCCACACTGCAGAGTGGGTAATAAGCAGATTAGTAAAAACAATTCTGCTTCACTTCAATAACAGCCTCCTCCAACTCATTTTTTCTCAACAAACTTATTTTTGCAGCAGAAGAATCCCAGACTTCTTAGAGAACCCAGTGACTTTTTGCACCTTAAATCTGTGAAATCCTCATGCTTTCTTCTGCCGTATCCATCGTTCAAACAAACATGAGGCAAAGCTAGACACATTCCTGAAGGAACCCAAGAAATTCCTCTCTTTCTCTCTCTGGAATGAAATGAATTCTCTAGACCACCAGTTCTAACCTTCAAAAACCAAACCTGTTTGTGAGATCTCCTTCAAATACTACTGTAGACCCCAGTGTTTATTCATTAAATTTTTTAAATATTTGTTTTATTTGGAATCAAAGTATTTGTAATTTTAGTATTTGTATTAATATAAGGGAGAAATGTTTAAATCTGTCTATGCCATATGTGCCTTCGGCTTATTGCCCAATTAATTGTAGCCTCAGGCTAAACTTTGGTTTCTGTCTTTAATTTTTGTCGGAAGAAATATAACCGGTCTCAAAACATCTGCTTTTATTGTAGGGACTCGTGCTGCCATCTCCATTCCTCTCTCTTTTCTTGCAATCTGGGTGGAAGTTCTTTAATATGAACATTTCAACCACCTTCACTCTACCATGTCCACTATCAGCACATTCAAACGTATCCAGCCAAGGGTATCATCTTAGGCCAGGGATTTTTTAGGAATCTATTTTGCTGTGATGCACCTGGTACCCCTTTGACTCACTTTATCACCCCAGGGTTCTTTTCATTTTAGAAGCCCAAGAGGGCAGAAAAAGAAGTAGGTGAGCAATTAAACTCTCCAAGTCAGGAGCGTCTCCCCTTGTGTTAAGCAATGTTGTAGAACATCGTATTTAGCAAGCTCCTAGCAGATGAGCCACGTGGCTGCTGAGCACACACGCCTGCTTGCTGCTGTGAGCTCAGACACCATCATTATGTCTTTTTCACCTCTGGAGGGAATTGTAAGCGCCACTTAATAACCTGTAAATCGTAGAGAGTTAAAGGTGTTTCCCTAAAACACTGATGACAGAATGAAAGGTAAGGAGTGTTAGCCACAGGTCAAAAGTGCAGGAAAGTCTCTCTATGTGGGTTGTTGAAGAAATGCAGGTCTTTTTTCTTTTGGAAGTCTCCCTAGAATGGGGTCAAGGACTCTGCCCATTCTAGGATGAAAAACTGGGATATTAGACACCCTCAGATATTTATCCCAAGCTTTCATTTTGGGCTCTTAATTAGTTCATCCATCACAATCGCAAATGCTAAGCAGGGCAGTTGAATCTGTCTACAGTCCAAATCAGCACCTTCTTTTAAAGTTGAGTTTCTTATTATTCTCACCTGATATACCTTATTTATCCCACACCCACCCCAATAACATATCGTGCTCACTGTTATCTTTAAGAAAACACTTGAATTTAACTCAGCCTGGAGCTCTCTTCACATGTCTTGTCCAGATCCAGTTCGGACTCATTCTTCAGCCGTGCATCAGTCAATGGGGGCTAGGTTAAACTGTGGTGACAAACAACCTCCAAATTTCAGTGGCTCAAAAATCTTCTTCCTCATTTATTTACATTTCATCATGGGTCAGGTGAGAGGTAGCTCTGTGCTGTGTCATCCTAACACAGGAATCCAGACGGAAGGAGGGACGATCAATAAGATCCCCATTGCTATAGAAAAGAGAAAAAAGTATGTGGAATAGCACTCTGTTTCTTGGAGATTTCTCCTGAAAAAGTCACATGTTATTTCTTCTCACCTCCATTGGCAAAAAAAAAAAGTCATGTGGCCATGTGAAAATGTAAGTAGGCGGGATGGAACAGTCAGAATGCATTCATAAAATATGAACTGAAAATATCTGGAGAACAGCACCTATGACTACAACGAATGCCAACATGCATCCCTAACAACCCAGTGCTGTCACCCTCCAAACTTTTTATGTCTTGCAAAGTATTAGAACTTCTTATCTGAAGCCATACCACTCAGAGGGAATGCAAAATACATATTGACATCTCCTTTAGGATGTCCTTAGAGAATTCATGGAAAAGAAGTTAAATAATTTAAAAGTGCTTTTGGGTACAGCTATTTAGCACTAGAGGGTAAGATTAGACATAGATTGTAAAGATAATAATAGGGTTAGGGATAGGATTAGGATCTGGGTCAGAGTCAGGGCCAGAAGTATGGTTAGAGGTGGGGTCATGGTCAGGGTCGAGATCAAAGTCAGGGTCAAAGTAAGGGTCAGAATTAGGGACCAGGATAGGGATCAGGATTTAGGTTCAGTGTCAAAGTCTTGGGACAAGGTTAGGGTTAGAATTAGAACCAGAGCTTTGTTCTCCTCAGGACCCACCCGAGGGTGGGTCACCATGGCTTTGGAGCACCTGGTAGTGTGGCGTGTCCACAGTGAAGACCAGAGTTTCATTGTCCTTAAGACTGACCTGGGAGACGTGGCTGCAGGCCATTGAGGAAGGTGAGGCAACAGCTTCCTGTCTGCTCCCCGTGTGCTGAGGAGGGAGCTCTGCCATGGGCTTTACTTTCACATGTTATATTCCACAAGTCTTGTTTTACAAAAGCATCCCTTCCTTGAGGCTTCGGCTGCTCATCGCTGCTCATCATCATAGCGTGCCATAACATATAGTAAGATTTGGGTTTGTTTCTGGGGAGATATCTTGGTATAGAGAAAGGAGAAATGCTTAGAGCCACCATCAGGACAGTTGGGATGAAAGTTGGGTATAGGCAGAGGCTGGAGGAAACGTGCATCCACTGTAAACACTTTTATTCATGTTTTAATTACTCATTTTTCTTACAGTGTTAAATTAGTAAAGATAGTATTGAAAAATTGAAAAGTAGGCATATTAAAATTTGCAACACTATTTAAGCCTAGATATATTATTTGTACCTCATCAACATTTTTTATTTTGTTGAGAAAGTTTAAGGTTAATTGACAGCATATTTCTAATAGTAGATAGAATAACATCCCTTTTATAAACATTGACATCCTACATTACATGTGTGAACCCTGAAAATCAGAGACAGCTCTCAGATTTTTTAGAAAGTTTATTTTGCCAATCTTGAGGATGTGCGCCTGTGATGCCTCCTCAGGAGATCCTGACAACATGGGCCCAAGGTGGTCGGGGCACAGCTTGGTTTTATACACTTTAGGGAGACACGAGAGATCAATCAATACGTGTAAGATGTACATTGGTTCAGTCCAGAAAGGTGAGAAGGCCAGACAGGGGGCTTCCAGGTCACAGGTAGGTAAGAGACAAATGGTTTCATTCTTTTGCATTGCTGATTACCCTTTCCACGTGAGGCAATCAGGTATGCATTTATCTCGGTGATCAGACGGGTGTCTTTGGATAGAATGGGAGGCGGGTTTGCCCTAAGCAGTTCCCAGCTTGACTTTTCCCTTTAGCTTAGTGATTTTGAGTCCCCAAGATTTATTTTCCCTTCGTAAGTGTTCCTATGAGTATTAATTATTCATTGTGTCTTTTATTACACAAATAAGGCACAGATTTTTAAGAAATCATCAACTTCATGGCTACCTATATAGACATAATTACATAGAAGCTCAACTAAATTTGCAAACATTCCAGAGTTTGGGTTTCCAATAATTCTTTGTGATTCTTTAAAAGGTAAAGTATTTTTTCCCATAAAACATAGCAACATGTAAAATCACCCGTAGAATGTCCTGCCATTTTTGTTTTTCTAGTTTCCTCATTTTCTGCAAAGCCTCGCTGAGGAAATTGACTTTGAATATCCTTTTAGACTCTTTTGTTTTAGAAAGCATTGTGGTAAAACATTGAATCATCATGGTCATAAGTTCCGTTCACATTCTTTCTTTCTTTGAATATTTTTTCCCAGTGGCCAATATTTGATTCTGTTGTATCACGGCTAAAAGGTAGGCATGGCAACAAAATAAAGACAAGAAGTCTTTGGAATAAGTGATCCCATCACAATGAATCAATTTGCCATTGGAACATGTTTTTACAAAGTCACTCTTTTGAAAATATTCAGCTATGACTTGAAACAGAGTCTGTATGGTTAATATTTTTCCTGGTCTAAGGTGAACAGCATTTTAGAGAATGAACCCAGGACACAACCACAGCACAAGAAAAAAATATAATAATTAAGTTTACACATATTGTTACTACTGTAACAGAAAACATGTAAAGGACATTTGTTTTGATTTATATATCAGTCTGCACTGTTTAATTTTTTGTGTCATAATTGCTCTTATTTTAAAAAACAGGACTAGTTAACAGTGTCAATTACTAGTAATTCATGGTATAAATAATGAAACAAGGAAGTGTTAAAAAAACAGTGTTTTAAATAAAGTTTTATTTTACGTCTTTTTTTTACTTACACGGAAATTGTCAAAAAAAGCAGAGATTTCCCATGTAGCCGCAACCTAGTTTCCTCTCTTATTAACATCTTCTATCAGTGTGTTTCACATGGCTTATTAATATCTTACATAATTTGCCGCAGTTAATGAACCAATACTGATAGACTGTTATTAACTAAAGTTCATATTTCATTTGGATTCCCTTAGTTCTATCTTACTCTGACCCAGGATCCCATCCAGGATCCCGCACGACATGTAGTCATCACATAGGCTCTTCCTGGCTGTGACAGTGTGTCAGGCTTTCCATCTCATGATGACCTTCATAGCACTGAGGAGGATTGGTCAGGAATTTTGTAGAATGCCGCCCATTGTCACTTCATGTTCTCAAGGTGAACTGTCAGCTTTGATGTTCACTTGGATCATTTGGCAGAGCTACTGTTTGTCAGATTTCTCCACTGTGAAGTTATTTTTCCTCCTTGTCCGTACTGCATGTGTTCTTTTGGAGCAAGTCACTATGCAGAGCCCACACTTACGGAGTGAGGAGTTGGCTCCACCTTCTTGATGGCTGAGTGTCTACATCAGTTATTTGGAATTCTTTTGCAAAGGAGATTTCTATGCAACTCCATTTGCTTATTCACCTAGGTATACAAATATAGACACCTAGATAATTACTTTAAGCTTTAGTTATTATTCGACACTATAGCATTATGTTGCACAATTCCTTCCTGTGTTGGCCATCGGTAGCTGTTTTTATTGGCTTTTATTTTTGTTTGATATATTTTAATTTTTTTAGTACTTACTTTCTGATACTTCCAGATTATCCTGGCTCCTATATTTACTGTCCCAGTTCTAGTATCAGACATTTCTTCAAAGAGCCTGATTCCTTTCAGAATGGTGGGAAAACTTACATGTGGCTGCTGAATGCACATTGTATCTTGTCCCTCATTAGCAATGCTAGGAAGCATATGTGCGTGTCTAACCTACCTACACACACCTAATTATAAAGTTTTCTATGTAGAACTGTGTGTATCTATATTAAACTAAGCATAAGTTTACGTTGATGTCTCCACCTCTGATCTACTATCACAGGAATCATTCTAGCCTTCTCGTCTTGCTAATTTGTAACCTCCCACTTCAACAGTGAGAAAGCTGGTTCCCACCATCTGCGACTTATGTAAGTCATTGTTTTACTCCAGATACAGACACTGTGGTTTTACAATTGTTCACAATTACTTCTGTTGGAAAGAACTTTATAAAATGGAATCCAATAATGAAGTATAGTTCATGTGCCTTCAGCCTACAGATTCTATTCATTTTCAAAGTTTTTACCTAGATTTGTGTCTTAGTCCATTTTGTGCTTCTGTAACAGAATACCTGAGGCTGCGTAATTTATAAGTAAAACAGTTTCATTTGGTTCACAATACTGGTGGCTGGAATGTGTGAGATTGGGCAGTTGCATCTGGCGGGGCCTCAGTCTTTTTCACCTCATGGTGGAAAGTGGAAGGGGAGCAAGGGGTGCACCAGAGATCACATAGCAGAAGTGAAAGCAAGAGGGAAGCCAAGGAAGCCAGGCTCTTTTTAATTACCTGCTCCTGCAGGAATTATCTATTCCTGTGAGAACAGAACTCACTCACCCCCATGGAGGACATTAATCTATTCATGAGGGATCCGTCCCCATGACCCAAACACCGTCCACTAGGCCCCACCGCCCCACACTGACGCAGTGGGAGTCAAATTTCAACATGAGTTTTTGTGGGGACAAACCACATCCAAACCATCGTAATTTGTAGCATAAATTCTTTTTCACATGATGTATTCTGTCCTGGGATACTCCACATCCTGAGTAATTTGATTTAATTTGAATAGAGTTTGCTTTAACCATTTGGCTGTAAAATTCTGCATATTTCGACAAATGCATTGTGGCAGATATCCCGCTATTAAAGTATCATATGGAATGCCTCAAACCCCCACCCCATGGAGCCAATGGCTTCCCATCTGTGTAGTTTGCCTTCCCCAGTGTCTCATTAAATGAGGTCACACTGTGTGTATCCTCCTCAGACTGTCTTCTTCCACTTAGCAATGTGCATGCAAGATTCACTCATGTCTTTGTGTGTGTTGATATCTTGTTCCTTTCTATGGCTAAATAGTATTCCATTACATGAATGTAGCACAATTTGGTTATGCATTTTGGGGAGTAGAACCTTCCTCTTCTAACTTTGTTCCAGGGTTGGAGACCTTCAAATTAACTGACAATAGATACATTAGTAGGAGAGACAATACTTGGCTTCTTGTTCCCCAAGTATCATTGTGAGACAAAATTCATCAGATGGCAGGATCCAGTTTACAAAGAGGTAAAAATAGCCCAGAAACAAGAAACAAGACTAGAATCTGATAACTCTCAATGGCTATAGTTTTCCTTTAAAAAAATTTTTTTTGAGACAGGGTCTGGCTCTGTCGCCCAGGCTGGAGTGCAAAGGTGCAATGTCAGCTCACTGCAACCTCTACCTCCTGGGTGCAAACGATCCTCCCTCCTCAGCCTCCTGATTACCTGGGACTACAGGCACATGCCGTCATGCCCATCTAATTTTTGTATTTTTGGTAGAGACGGGGTTTCTACCAAAATATTAGATTTTTTCTGTGGCAGACAACATTTATTTATTTATTTATTTAGAGACAGAGTCTTGCTCTGTCGCCCAGGCTGGAGTGCAGCGGTGCGATCTCGGCTCACTGCAAGCTCTGTCTCCTGGGTTCACGCCATTCTCCTGCCTCAGCCTCCCGAGTAGCTGGGACTACAGGTGCCTGCCATCACGCCCGGCTAATTTTTTATATTTTTAATAGAGATGGAGATTCACCGAGTTAGCCAGGATGGTCTGGATCTCCTGACCTTGTGATCCACCTGCCTCAGCCTCCTAAAGTGCTGGGATTATAGGCATGAGCCACTGTGCCTGGCACAACATTTAAAGTAATAATTGGAATTATGACTCATTACTCTATAGTGGCACATAGCATGGATAAGGAGGACATTGACAAACTTCCAGGAATTTTATATAATTTCTGAAAACATAACATTTTACCCATACAAATATAACACAGGGAAGGTTAGGTATCTCTTTTTATTTGTATCTTCTGTATGGTTTTCCTTATAAAAAATGCAACCTACTTTACTTGCGAAACATGCCCTACTTTTCTTGCATGCTTTGCATAGAGTTGTTTCTAGTTATTCTATTATTTCTAGTAGTTTTATTTACATATATTGATTATAATTTTAATACTTAGTAATCTTTTATTTTCCAGAGAAAACTAGGAAGTAGACAGTTATAAACTGTCATATATTAGCATTCTATAGTAGGTTAGAAAATGTATGAATATACCATCTCCCAACATCTAGAGGGATGTGTTTCCTCATAATACAATTCCTCAGTGTGGCAGAAAAAAACATGTTTATTAACGGGCCAAAATATCTTTAGTCTCTCTGTAAAAACAGGAAGCCAAAAGTATATAAACTTGAATTATTTATGTTCAGTAATTAATGTTTTAGTATTGTATCTTATTTATAAATGGTCTAGATATTTAATGCAAATCTTTTACTTAGCTTAACTTTAAGGTTAAAAATTACCAAAAGTACTTTGGAAACTATTCTTAGGCAGATTTACTGTAAACAAATTATTTTTGAAATAATGTTTTTCGCTTTTCACAAGACGGCACCGAAAGCGAAGGAAGCTCCTGCTCCTCCTAAAGCCGAAGCCAAAGTGAAGGTTTTAAAGGCCAAGAAGGCAGTGTTGAAAGGTGTCCGCAGCCACACGCAAAAAAGAAGATCCGCATGTCACCCACCTTCAGGCGGCCCAAGACACTGCGACTCCGGAGGCAGCCCAGATATCCTCGGAAGAGCACCCCCAGGAGAAACAAGCTTGGCCACTATGCTATCATCAAGTTTCCGCTGACCACTGAGTCGGCCGGAAGAAGATAGAAGAAAACAACACGCTTGTGTTCACTGTGGATGTTAAAGCCAACAAGCACCAGATCAGACAGGCTGTGAAGAAGCTCTATGACAGTGATGTGGCCAAGGTCACCACCCTGATTTGTCCTGATAAAGAGAACAAGGCATATGTTCGACTTGCTCCTGATTATGATGCTTTCGATGTTGTAACAAAATTGGGATCATCTAAACTGAGTCCAGCTGGCTAACTCTAAATATATGTGTATTTTTTCAGCATAAAAAAATAATGTTTTTCATAAGAATGACAACTTAATTAGAATCAAATCTATAAGCTTTAAGATTTTACATTTCTAGTAAGTATAATATTAGCTTATTTGACTAGAACTCAAGCAGAATAGGAATTTATGCTTGTTTTATATTCAATAATGATAATTTTGAAGATATAGTTGTTTTATTACACCAAAAATACTATATTAATCTTATTTAACTAAGTTTTATCCAAATCATGTTAACTTAAGAAACATTTGATCAGTTCCTATATTTCTAGGAGTTTGGTGAATATTTATTTATAAATGCTTATTTTTTTCCAAGCCAAGTTAGAATAGAGCACTTTTAGAGGATTTCATAAATGAATTTTGCAATGCTCTCTGGAGTTAAGAAAATATCACATATACATAACATACATTAATAGATATACAAACACAAATAGAGATTTCATAGCTTTCATCCTGAAATTTCAGCCTTGAATCAGGCATAAATATTCTGATGGTTAATTTCAGACATCTACTTGATCCGATTGAGAGACACACATAGCTGGTCAAACACGATTTCAGCCATGAATCAGGCATAAATATTCTGACGGTTAATTGTAGACATCTACTTGACTGGATTAAGAGACACACATAGCTGGTCAAACAAGATTTCAGCCATGAATCAGGCATAAATATTCTGATGGTTAATTGTAGACATCTACTTGACTGGATTAAGAGACACACATAGCTGGTCAAACACGATTTCAGCCATGAATCAGGCATAAATATTCTGATGGTTAACTTTAGGCATCTACTTGATTGGATTGAGAGACACACATAGCTGATCAAACACAATTTCAGCCATGAATCAGGCATAAATATTCTGACAGTTAATTTTAGACATCTACTTGAGTGGATTAAGAGACACACATAGCTGGTCAAACACGATTTCTGGGCATATCTATGAGGGTGTTTCTGGAAGACACTGAGATAACCATGACCCAATGTGGATGGGCACTGATATGGTTTGGCTGTGTCCCCACCCAGATCTCATCTTGAATTGTAGTTCCTGTAATACCTACATGTCGTGGGAGGGACCCAATGGGAGGTGACTGAATCATGGTGGTGGTTACCGCCATGCTGTTCTCATGACAGTGAGTGAGTTCTCATGATCTGATGGTTTTATAAGGGGCTTTTCCCCTTTGGCTCAGCACTTCTTGTTGCTGCCATGTGAAGAGGGATAGCTTTGCTTCCCCTTCTGCCATGATTGTGAGGCCCCTGCAGCCATGTGGAACTGTCAGCCCATTAAACCCCTTTGTTCTTTATAAATTGCTCAGACTCAGGTATTTCTTCATAGCTGTATAAAAATGGATGAATACAGGCACCATCCAATTGGTTGAGAGCCCAGATAGAATAACAAGGAAGAGGAAAGGTGAATTATCTCCTTCTGAAGTGGAAACATCCTTCTTCTCCTGCCCTTGACATCAGAACTTCAGGGTCTCAGACCTTTGGCCTCACAATCAGAGTTACACCATTGGCTTCCCTGATTCTGAGTCCTTTGTATCTGGAGTGAGCCATGCTACCAGCTTTCCTGGTTCTCCAACTTGGAGACAGGCTATTGTGGAACTTCTCAGCCTCCATAATTATGTGAACCAGTTCCCCTAATGAATCTTCTCTCATCTATCTACATATATCCTATTGATTCTGCCTTTCTGGAGACCCCTGCCTAATGTGATTACAATAACTACAAAATTCACTACTTTATATAGAAGACTTGGTTTTTGTCTTTGCCCCATTTTATATTTGTATTATAACTATGTATCTGGAAAATGGAACAAGTTTTTTCTTCTTCATATGAGGGCTAAGGCTTTTTTCTCACCAATATTTTTGGAGATTTTAAAGATTTTCTTTTTTTTTGACATAGAATCTTATGGAGACTGAGAAATAATTTTTTTTCTATTTTATTCTTCAGCCCCAGGTGTTTGCTTTTGCAGATTCTTGAGCACATTGAGAGCTTCCAAGGCATGGAGTGGGGTGCCTGAAGTTTCAGTGATTATAGGGAGTTGAGAGACTCAACTGGGAAAGGAAAGGTCTAAAAGGAGGCAATTTGGAAAATAAAAATTTTCTCAAAGGAGCCATTAAAGTTGTAAATAATTCTTAGTAAAGTCATGCAAACAGGAAAAGAAGTAGAATTAGTTCCATATTGGTGGAACACATAGTCAGCAGAGGTTGGAGAAGGGAGAATTTAGTGAACTGAGAAGTTCCCATGAAAGCAGCAAGATCAAGATCACAGAGACACCTTGAAACAAAAAGCCAGGAATAACTTCCAACCCAAGAGGAGAACAGAGAGGCCTCAAAACCAAAGCTAGGATAAGAAACTTGTAGCCCAAGAGTTATCTTCCAGACAAAGAAGCCTGAGATTCCAACGCAGCTTCAGAGAGTACTCACTCAAAATGTTACTGAAACTGTAGGCTTTTTAATGACTTAGCCATGCCTGCAAAAGGCATTCCCTAAGGTGGCACAGAAGACGGAGCCCCCATATCCAAAGATAGCCAAGGAGAAAGAAAGACCCCTGTTGCCAGAGCCAGTGGGAAAAGGTAACAGAAAAGGAGACAAGGGTCCTAATGGGATGAGATCCTTTCGGATTTAGGCTTTTACAAACTCCTGAGAACTGGCAGGTTGACAGCCATAAATGGGGTACCAAACTTTCTACTCATTGGATTACAAGTTCTCAGGCATCCAGAATGATTAACAAAATGACAATTTCTAGGGCTTCTGTGGGAGAGTATGGAAAGGTCTTTTTGAACCTTTTAATGCTGTCAATGGAAGAATGATGAGGTTCATAAATTTGGAAAGGAGACATTTCTTCATTTTTATGCTTATTTTTATTTTTTTTTGAGACAGAGTTTCACTCTTGTTGCCCAGGCTGGAGTGCAATGGTATGATCTTGGTTCACTGCAACCTCCACCTCCTGGGTTGAAGCGATTCTCCTGCCTCAGCCTCCTGATTAGCTGGGATTACAGATGCCCACCACCACACCTGGCTAATTTTTTGCAGTTTTGGTAGAGACAGGGTTTCATCATGTTGGCCAGGCTGGTCTGAAACTCCTGACCTCAGGTGATCCACCCACCTCGGCCTCCCAAAGTGCTGGGATTACAGGCATGAGCCACCCACCCAGTGAGAGATTTATTTTCTATAAAGGGTTGTAGCCTGCAGGGTTGTCCTTCTGACAGGCTGGGAAGCATAGCCTCCAGCCAGAAGCCAGAAACAGATGCTTCAAGGAGGAGGTAAAGGAAATAGCAATTTATGCTGAGTGGAATGGCCAAATAGATTTATTTAATAAGCTCTAGGAGGAGTCATGAATATTTATGGAAGGAGAAATGCATGCACGCACAATTGAGTTTCTTGCTTCTTCATGGGTCCCATGTACAAAAAATGGCAGTGTTAGCATGATCCCAGGGTGGAGTTTTCAGCCCTCTGACATTAAAAGGTGAAGCAGAGGAAATGAAAACTCGCTCTGTGCATCCTCTGTACGCTGGCCAGAACCTCTCCATCGTGGGTGGTCTCTTATCAGGCAAGAAAGGAGAGGTTGATATCAGTGGTGGAGGCTTTGAAAGGGCTGGTTTCTGTTAAATCCTTAGGGAAGAAAGCCTCATCATGGTTAGCAAAGGAGGGGGTATAACGATGTGTATCTTAACCCCATCATCGCATCCTAGCAAAGCTGAGAACTCAGTTTTGAAAGTTACTCTGGGGTCCCCTCAGCCAAGAGTGGGTCTGTTCAGTCAGTTGGGAGCTTAGAATTTAATTTTCATTTATCAATGCTAATGCGAAAGAGTACGCTGTCTTCATGGCAGCTGAATTTGCAAGAAACTCCTTGGATGGGGTTAATGCCAGCTGTATTTTACTGGGAGCTCTGCTTTAATTGGATAAAGTAAGTTCTGGTAAGATTTCTTCATCTTCAGTATCTCAAATGTTTTCATTTAAATAATCTTTATAACAACTTTTGATGTCTGAGTGGATTCCCACACAGTCATCTATTGTAAGGCTTTCTGATTCCTTTTTTTTCCTTTGGTCATTATGAATAGGGCTTCTGTAAATAACTGCATGGTAGCTTTTGATGGGAAATAACATCAAAGTAGTTGTCAAAATACTTAGGAATGTTATTTTTGGATTGTAAGGTGAGACTTGTTTAGCTTTGGAAAAAAATGCCCAACTTGTAATAGGGGAGGAAAAATAATTTTCTGTTTTTGGAATTCTTAGATGGAACGCTCTGTAAAAAGTGACAGATTAAAATGAGAAAAACAGAAAAGTTTAAAAACATGTATATCTTATGGTTACATGGGATATACTCAGGGAAAAATGAGTAAATCTCCAACAGGTGGCTTTCAATTCAAGCATAAATACTATCTTCAACTTAAAGAAAGAAGATTTGAGGTGCAGTAGTGGGAAGTTAACCAGCAAAAGCACATTAGACAGGGGTAAGGTTCATTATACAGAGTTAAGTCCATGCATTCTTCATTGATAAGACTCTTCAGTGATTTAGTTATCCTTCTCTTCTTGGTGTCGAGAGAGGTAGCTTTTAAATGGTGATTTCCTTTATAGGTGTAAATTTTCCTTACACAAGTAACTTTTACTCTGTTTTCACAACTTCCTTTGTTAGCATTTTTTTTTTCAAAATAATTAGCTTGGAATAATTTTTAAGCCAAAGGGACATATTTTGGGGTTGCATATTCTGGTTTCCTACCATTATATTTTGGGGTGGCATAGTTTGGTCTTATACACTGTGTTCTACTGGCAATGAAAAGAGTTCTTGTTTTTCCTCCAGCAATTTGTCATTTGTTAAAGAGCTTAGCAGTTCTAAGAGATATAGACCAGCTGTGCTATCTTTTTGTGGTTTTCAGTTCTCTAGTATGTTGAGCATCTTTTTGTAGGTGTACTTGCCATCTGTAGATCTTCTTTGATGAGGCGTCTGTTCAGATCTGTGTGCATTTTTAATTGGGCTGTTTAACTTATTGTTTAGTTTTAACAATTTTTTATATATTTTGAATACAAATTCTCAGATCTGTATTTTGCAAATATTTTCTTCAATATGTGGCTTGTCTTTTTGTTCTCTTAACAAGGTCTCTTCCAGAGTATAAACTGTAAATATTAAGAAATCCACATTGTCATTTCTTCTGTGTATATCAACCTTCTGTGTCATTTGTTAAAATTCATTACCAAACGCAAAGGCACATAGCTTTTCCTCTATAGTTTCTTCTAGAAATTGTATAGTTTTGCATTTTTAGTGTAATGATGATTTTGAGTGATTATTTGTGTAAGTTGTAAAGTTTTCGTCTACATGCATATCATTTCTTATGGTTTCCAATTAATCATTCCCTCACTATTTTTGGGAAAGACACAGGATAGTGGGCTCTGTTAGAGTAGATAGCTAGCTAGACATGAACAGGAGGGGGAGCTCCTGGAAAAGGGAAAGTCTGTGAAGGCTCACGTGGAGGGACCACCAAAAATGCATATATTAGTAGCATCTCTAGTGCTGGAGTGGATGGGCACTTGTCAATTGTGGTTAGGAGGGAGAAGAGGTACCTACGCAGAAACACCCTAGAACTTCTCTTGAGATGCCCCAATCATCATTCACTCTGCAATAAAAATGTCAGAATATTGCTAGCTACATGCTGATAAGAAGGAGAAAGGGGACATTCTTAAGAGAAACCTGGCACCATAAGTACAGATTAGGGCAGAGAAAGACATTCAAAAGAGGCAGCTGCAGTAGATACAAACGTGACCGCTGTCAGCCTGCCTGGTATGGCGGGAAGGAGGCTGGTGCCAGAGTGGATTCGGGTTGATCACCACACATGTACCTCAATCAACAGTGAGGAGGTCCCACAAGGCTAAGTGGGGCAAGTCGGGGACCTAAGGCAGTAGCAGGAAAACCAAAGAAAACAGGCGGAGACTTGAGACAGAGGCAGGAATGTGAAGAAGTCCAAAATAAAAATCCCTGCACAGGACTCTTAGGCTGTTATCATGCACTATCAGCCTACTCCTCCCTATTTTTGTACAATAAGCTCTTTACACTGTATTTCTTTTCAATGAAGTTATCTTCCATCTTTGTACTGCCTCTTGGTGAAAAGCTGTCTTCCAAGTTAATAACTGGGACATCAGCTCTCCGCAGTAATAGCTCCTTTTCAGTTTTAATTTGCAGAACTGATGGGGATTAATAACTGGCGCTGTGACTTTAAGTGGTGCAGGAGGCGGCCAGTAGGGGACGCCAGCCGTTACGCCGGGAGCAAGAGGGCCCTGCGTAGTCCCCATCTGCCTGCATGTGGCGTGCAGCCACGACAATGGCAGCAAGAGGGCCCGGCAGTGTGCCCAGCTGCCAGCAGGCGGGTGTGCTGCCACTATAATGTGAGGAAGAGGGCCCTGCAATGTCCCTAGCTGCCAGCAGGCGGCGTGCCACCACTATACTGCGAGCAAGAGAGCCCTGCCGTGCCCCGGCGCCAGCAGGGGGCGCTGGACAGCACTGTAAGCAAGAGGGCCCTGCAGTTGTCCTAGTCGCCAGTAGGGGACGCAATGGCAGAGCACCGTGGGCAAGCTGGTCCTGTAGTGCCCGGCTGCAAGCAGGGGGCGCCCGAAACGGGCTTTTCAGATTAGTCAGGTTCCACTCGTCTCTGCGCCGCCGGGGACGTGTGTCTCTGCGCGTGCACCGCGCCACCCCCGCGCTCCCCGCCCGGCGGCGCGCGACTGTGCGACTGCAACACTCCCCGCCACCCTCAGCCCAGCGACGTGCGTCTCTGCGCCTGCGCCGCGCCTCACTCCCGCCCGCTCAGCAACCCCTCCCCTCCGGGGAGGCGCCGGCGTGCGTCTACGCCCTGCGCCGCGTCTCCCCAACAGCGGCGCGCCTCTCTGCGCCTGCGCCGGCGCCCCGCGCCTCTCTGCGCCTGCGCCGGCGCCCCGCGCCTCTCTGCGCCTGCGCCGGCGCCCCGCGCCTCTCTGCGCCTGCGCCGGCGCCCCGCGCCTCTCTGCGCCTGCGCCGGCGCCCCGCGCCTCTCTGCGCCTGCGCCGGCGCCCCGCGCCTCTCTGCGCCTGCGCCGGCGCCCCGCGCCTCTCTGCGCCTGCGCCGGCGCCCCGCGCCGCCTTTGCGAGGGCGGAGTTGCGTTCTCTTTAGCACACACCCGGAGAGCATCGCGAGGGCGGAGCTGCGTTCTCCTCTGCACAGACTTCGGGGGTATTGCGAAGGCGGAGCAGAGTTCTTCTCAGGTCAGACCCGGGCGGGCGGGCTGAGGGCACTGCGAGGGTGGAGCTGCGTTCTGTTCAGCACAGACGTGGGGGGCACCGTAAAGGCGGAGCAGCATTCTTCTCAGCACAGACGTTGGGGGTACTGCCTGCCTTTGGGATAACTCGGGGCCGCATCGACGGTGAATAAAATCTTTCCTGTTTGCTGCCCTGAATAATCAAGGTCAGAGACCAGTTAGAACGGTTTAGTGTGGAAAGCGGGAAACGAAAAGCCTCTCTGAATCCTGCGCACCGAGATTCTCCCAAGGCAAGGCGAGGGGCTGTATTGCAGGGTTCAAGTGCAGCGTCAGAACTCAAATGCAGCATTCCTAATGCACACATGACACCCTAAATATAACAGGCATATTACTCATGGAGGGTTAGGGTTCACGTTCGGGTTCGGGTTCGGGTTCGGGTTCGGGTTAGGGGGTTAGGGTTAGGGTTGGGGTTGGGGTCGGGGTCGGGGTCGGGGTCAGGGTCAGGGTCAGGGTCAGGGTCAGGGTTAGGGTTAGGGTTAGGGTTAGGGTTAGGGTTAGGGTTAGGGTTAGGGTTAGGGTTAGGGTTAGGGTTAGGGTTAGGGTTAGGGTTAGGGTTAGGGTTAG